>NC_000002.12:113247193-113550224 GCF_000001405.40 Homo sapiens
TCCAAATCACAATCCCCTATTTTCTTCCCTCCCTCTGAAAAGTGTGTAAGGAATTGAGGATGTGGGGTCTTCCCATACCAATACTGAGCCGTTTGACCTTGGGGAAAACCCCTTCTCTTCTGAGAGTCTCTTTTCCTTTTGTAAAATGACGGCACAGGTGATTTTCACCTTTCTCCTTCTCCTCATGGAACCAGATTTTAAAACACTACCTCATTGAGAAAAAAAAATACAAAAGAATAAAAGCAGAAACTCTCTGGTAGAGCTTGGGCAGAGAAGGCCTGAGCTCTGTCTGTGGACTTCTGGCCTGAATGACCCCCAAGGTTCCTTCTTTCTCTAATAGGCCAGAGCAGCAGGGACCTGGTGCAGGGTCCTCACAGGCATAGATAGCACTGGGTTCCAGGACTGACACAGGGGCTACAGGCCACTGTGGGAATCTATCCACGTCATGGATGTGTGTACACGTTCCCTTAGCTGCTTTCCTGACTTGGCCTCTGCTCTCTGGCCCCAGCCTGTGTTTCATTCTGAGCCCATCTATCCAGTCAAATCCATTTGTATTGAGTGCTAACTATGTGCCACGCACTGCACAGGTCCCTGATGATGCCAAGGTGAATAAGGCAGACATGATCCCTATTCTTCCCTCATGGGGTTTATTACAGTGAGGTCCTAGACCAGCAAACAGCCAGTTAACATATTTTGTGACCACTTTTGGGACTGGTGACATGCAGAGAGTTATGGGAACCACTGGAGGGGAACTTGACTTGGCTCAAGGAAACACAGAAGGGTTCCTGAGGAGGTCTAAGCTGAGACTGAAGATAAACAGGTACTAGCCAAGTGAGGGAGAGAGGGGAGAAAACTGTTCCAGGCAGTGGGAACAGAATGTGCAAAGACTCAGAGGCAAGAGGATACTTGTCTGTTAGATTTTCCAACATATTCAACTCTATAGTACCTAGAGCCATACTGGGCTAATTTCAGGGCCGAGATTTCCATTTTTCTCATGAGGAGACTGGGGCTCAGAGAGTTTTAGTGCTCTGATTTATATGACTTGTCTAACTCAGCTTATATGAGGAGGAGCTGAGATCCATCCAGAATTTAAGGCTCAGATCAGGGCTGCTCCTTGAGGGGAGCCCTGTTCTGGGGCTAGAGCTATGCCTGGATGCTTGTCATTGGCTCTGCTGTTTTGTGCTGAACATGCCATGGTCTTTTTCACACCAAGGGCAGGATTTGGTGATATGACTGGGAAGGTAGAGCCCTGCAGTGTGGGAGTCAGGGAGCAGGCAGGTGAGAAGGAAGAGCCAACCCCAGCCTTCTGTGTGAACCAGTTAAAGACTGTTTATGGCCGAGGGTGGGAAGTGCCTTTGCTGGGCACACAGTGCCCATTATCACCCACTGACTTAGCACATTCAGAACTGCCTTGCAATGTCTCCTCAGGGGCCCAAGCTGTCTTCAGCAGAACACTCAATTTCCCTTTAATAAAGGGGGTGGGGGCCAGGTGCAGTGGCTGACATCTGTAATCCCAGCACTTTGGGAGGCTGAGGCGGGCGGATCACCTGAGGTCAGGAGTTCGAGACCAGCCTGACCAACATGGTGAAACCCCATCTCTACTAAAAGTACAAAAAAAAAAAACTAGCTGGGCATGGTGGCACATGCCTGTAATCCCAGCTACTCGGGAGGCTGAGGCAGGAGAATTGCTTGAACCTGGGAGGTGGAGGTTGTGATGATCCCAGATCGCATCATTGCACTCCAGCCTGGGCAACAAGAGCGAAATTCCGTCAAAAAAAAGAAAAAAAAGGGAGGTGGGGGTGCTCTAAGCCTCTGCCCTGGGCAGTAAGTCAGGAGGAAAAGCCCTCTGGCCAAACACCCAGCAAGAAGGATGCAATGACCCATCTTCCTGGTGGACACAACGGGTGAGCTTGGGCACAGCTTCCACCTATGCCTGTCCAGGCAAGTCTTCCTAGTGACTGCTTCTCCACTAGGGCTGGAAGAGTGCTTGGAGGGCCTTCAGGAGAGCCCAGATGGTGGGCAGAGGGGCCTTTGCCCAGTCCTAAGCCCATTCCTCTGGTCCTCACTGGCCAGAGTGCCATTTGTGAATTGCTGTAGCCATTTGCCCTCACTGCATCATTGTTGCCTTCCGGCTCTTTTGGGTCCAGGCACTGAACACAAGGGGGCGCCAGACAGCCACCCAAACACAGACAAGACCTTCAGCAGTCCAGCTTTGTCCTCATTTTCCAGAAGTTTCCGGGCCGTATCCACCCAAACCTAGGTGTTTAGGCTGGGACCTCTATATCTGAAAGCAAGGTTTCTTAGAGGTGGAGGTTCTTCACCTCTACAAATGTGAAGCAGGTTTAAAAAAAATGCCATTCTGGGGTGGCATGAATTGGGTATTGTGCCTTTTTTTTAAAAAAAGAAAACGACGCTGTAAGTTGTGTGGGACATTGCTCTTAATTATTATGAAGGACTGACTCGCATCCTTAGAAACCCAAACCCTCAGGAAGCCACCTGAGAGGTTATTTACCGTTATCAGCAAGCATTGTAGTGCTGGGAAAGATGCATTCACATTTCTGGCCCCTAAACGGTGAATTCTCTGGTGCTTATTTTATTTGACTGTCTTCTGAATGACTTTGTGTTACTGTGGAAAGAGTCTTGGGCCTGATCCCTTCTTTGACACTGCCTGTTTTAGTCTTATCATTTGAGAAAGTGGGTTTTTTTTTCAACCTTAGTGTTTTTATCTATCGAATGGAGCTTAACAAAACTTATGCCTGCTGCTGACTTAAACCCCTATAAGAAGATAGGGGGGCTGGGTGTGGTGGCTCACGCCTGTAATCCCAGCACTTTGGGAGGCCGAGGTGGGTGGATCACGAGGTCAGGAGATCCAGACCATCCTGGCTAACATGGTGAAACCCCGTCTCTACTAAAAATACCAAAAATTAGCCGGGCATGGTGGCAGACGCCTGTAGTCCCAGCTACTCAGGAGGCTGAGGCAGGAGAATGGCATGAACCCGCAAGGCAGAGCTTGCAGTGAGCCAAGATCACACCACTGCACTCCAGCCTGGGTGACAGAGCAAGACTCCATCTCAAAAAAAAAAAAAAAAAAGAAGATAGGGGGACCAGGATGGAGAAGTGTTTATTTAGATAAACAAATCTTGCTATAAATGTAACGTTTTTCTAATTTGTAATATTCCCATGGTTGAATGTTATGACCCAATCTTGGGAGTAGGACTAGGACTAGGGAGTGTTTTCTCAAACTTCAGTGTGCATCAGAATCACTTGGCAGTGAGGGTTATTAAAATACAGAGTACTGAGCACAATGCCCTAAGTTTCTGAATCAGTAGGTCTGGGATTGAACTAAGAATTTATGTTTCTAAGAAGTTTCCACATGGTGCTAATGCTGCTAGGCCAGGGTCACACTTTGAAAACCACTGGTTTAGGCCAGGTGATGGCTGGTAAATTAAGCGTAAGAGAATAACTCTTCATACTCCTCCAACATTCTTCTGACAATAATAATGATTGTTTGTATATTATGGTTTTCATTTCTTTTCAACTCAAGACATTGACCAAGTGCCTATCATGACTCAGGTACAAAGCACTGGGAATACAACCTTGAACAAGACAAGAATCCTGGCCTTCAAGGAACTTCGAACCTTTTGGGGGATATGATAAGACACATTAGGAATCACCATGTTAATGGTTATCTTTCTTGAAGGATATAAGTCCAGGTGCTTGGGGAGACCCGTAAGTGGTTAGAGGGAAGCTGCAAGGAAGAGTATCTAGGAGGTAACTAGGTGAAGAATTTTCTTCAGGGGGAAAGAAATCCATGCATAAAGTCTTGGTGCCTTCAAGAAATTGAAAGACATTTAGTGTGGCTGTAGGACAGGCAGGAAAGAGAATTTGGAAAGAGCCTGCTGGCTGCAGATGGAGATGGCCCCTATGGTTTGAAGTTTTAAGCTGAGTCTCTGCAATGGAAAGACCTTTGTCTTTCCTGTGTCCGGTGTGGGGGAGTGGACTCTTCTGGGTGAGTCACCACCAAATGCCCAGAGGTGGGTGCAGACTTCCTTCCTGCACTGGGGTTGGGGGGACGATTGGCGCCCACTGTGCTGACCACCTCTTCATGCAGCTGCAGGTGGGGTGGGCTTTGAGGCCGGAAGCCAAAAATGAGTAGGAGCCTCCTGGTTGGGCGGGAAGTGGGGTGAGGGGGGAAGGTGTGGCCCAGGAAGAGGTTTGAAGCCTCATAAGCAAAGACTCTTTGTATGTCTGGAGGATTGTGAGTGGGGAGGTGGGGTGGGTATGGGGGAGGAAGACAAGACCGCCTGGCCGGATGCAAGCAGGTTCCTGAGTGAAAGGTACTCAGACGGGAAATGCAAGCTTTCCTGGGGTCAGAGAGGACTTATCGTACAGTAAAGGGATTGGAGCTCAGCAAAGGTCTAGGTGAAGCTTGCTGTCCAGAAACATATCCTTTTGAAAAGTGACCATTCAGGGAGGTCTTAGGACTTTGTTGGTAATTTCTTCATCCTTTATAGAGCTCTGAGTAGTTGGGATGGCAGAAAGAAAACAGAGACACTTATTGACCAAAATTCTTGTTATATGCACCAATATCCAAACCCTTAAGATGTGGAAATCCTTTCTCCATGTTCCTATAGTCCTTTGCACAAATTCCTATCATAGCACTGACTGCATTGAACAGTAACTTTCTCTATTTGAGTTTCTTTATGAGTTACTCAAAGGCAGGGGCCCTGTCTTTGTCTACTGTAATTAGTGTTTTCTTATATACAAGTGATAGAAAAATGGTTTACATTGGTTATGGTTGTTGCATGGATTCCCATGATTCTGCATGGTGGGACCCCCAAATCCCATGCTTCAGTACTTTCCTCTTTATCCTTTTGCTTTATCTTTTGCGGCTCTGCCCAGTCCTAAAGTGGCAATGGCTCAATGTGGTGTTCTGCAAAAATTTCCACTTAACTATCTGGGGCTTTTTGCTTTAGTCCCATAGAGTGTCAAGGTGATAGCTGAGCCTTGGCAGGGCTATAGTGAGAGGTGCAGTGGCCTCTTTGGGTGCCTTTCAAATCATGCCAGGCCTATACGCCTTCCACAAAGGAAAGGCCTTGTCCATGCGAATCAGTCCCTGGCATTCTCAGCTTGGTGTTGTTGCCTTCCCCAGCTGCTCACTTGCAGGTCTGTGATCTCCATGTGCCACCTCCCAGCTAATCCTCTTGGCTTGGTGCCTTTCTGGAGTAAAGGCCAGGGTCTGTGCCTCCAACTGCTCCTGAAGAAAGTGTCCCAGGGCCATGGAATCCCAGTGTCCAAAGTCTGCACACTGGATCATGCCAGCACACATGAGGTTATGGGTTACCTGGACACATGAGACCCTTGGACTGGGTAAAAGAGGCTGGCATGCTGGAAAGCAGCATCCTGCATCTGCTGTTACCCCCAACTTGCTGCATGACCCTTGGTTACCTCTGTGCCTTACACTTGTCTTCCTAAGGGAAACTGTAGCCGAAAGACAGCAGCTAGGCAAAGCTGCGGCTTGTGTTTCTCATTGATCTCTTGCCCTTCTACCTGTGCTGGAATCCTACTCCGTCAATTATCCTCCCATTTAAAAACATTACTTACCTCTTCTTTTATACCAGGTCCTTCCCCTAAACGTACAAATGGAATTAAATTAATCTATGTTGCCTCTCCACCCCCTGACCTCAAAATACATTAAACAAAAAAAATTCTTCCCTTGACCATGATACTCTTCTTTCCTATTGTTTTCAACTAAATTTCTCAAAAAGCAGCTATACTTGCAGCCCATTCCTCCCTTCACATTCGGTGCTCAGCCTGCTCTGTGCCTCCTGCTTAGCATGTGCTTGGTGATGAGTGGCCATGGATGGACAGTGAGTGGTTGGAGGGTGCCATGTTCTCCCTCTTGAAGAGATTTTAGTGACAATCCCATCTCCTGATTCCTTATACCTTCAGTCTAGGCTTTTTGCTTTGCTTTAATGGGGTTCTGTTCCCTTATTTGCTCCATGACATATGTTTTCTCCCTTCAGGCTTCTCTTAGTTCTCAGTGTTTCTCTCCCCCTTCAAGGCCATCCTTGGTGATCCTACACACCCTTATTGTCATACCTACTACCCATCTCATGATGGCATCATGGGCATCCCAGGTAACCCCAGTCAGGTCCTTCCCCCAACTTTTGTTTTCAATTTCTATTGGAGATTTCCTCTTAGGTGATAAGGGGGCTCCTCCTCTAGTGTTGTCTTGGTTGGTAACAATACCAGCTGTCATGCAAGCTCAGGGCCTGCCCCTTCCACTCAACCTCCTGCCACCTGCCACCACACTCTCTGCACCGCACTGTCATCGGTCTTCTGCACAACCTTGGAAGTAACAGTGTGTCCCCAGCCTTGGGGCACTTGCACATGCTGTTCCCTCCTCCTGGAGCTCTTGTCTCCCTGTCGTATCTAGTTAACTCCTGCTCATCCTTTATATTTCAGCACTGAGTCACTTCCTCGGTGGCTTTGCTTTATCCTGCAGAGTAGGTTCAGGCTTCTGTTTGGGTGTTCTAATAACATGCTTTACCTTTCTTGAATGGCTGTCATAGAAAGGTAGCATCAAATATAACTGCTGTTTGGAATCTGGTTGAAAGTGAGGGGAAGAAAAAGTCTCATAGTCAAGGGAGGAATTTTGGGGGGACTGGGGAGGTATCATAGATAAATTTAATTGCATCTTTAGGTCCAAATTTTAATTTTACATTTTTTGCATAACTATATATGTATGAATCATAACTGTCTTCTATCACCAGATAGAAAGCTCCATGAGGGGAAGACTTCTTTCGTTTTGATCATTATTAAATTATATTAGGTGTTCAGTAAACATGTCACATGAATCAACTAATAGCCTTTATCTTTTTCCATTCTCTGCATATGGAATACTCACAAGACCACGTTTTACCTCCTAAATATTTACCTAACCAATACCTTCCTGTCTGTCCCCAGCATTCAAATATTCCTGCATTCATTTATCCATTCTACATGTATTTTATATGCCTACCATGTGGCAAACATTTTAATAGAACTGATTACATAGAATTGATTTCTACCTTCATGAAGCTTTCAGGCTAGGGATAGGTAGGCTGGGGATGGGTATATATTTAAAAAGTAAATACAGAAATAAATGTGTAATTACTACTTGGAATAAGTGCTAAGAAGAACACAACAGGGTGTAATGGGGTGGGGGTGCAAGAGAGAATGAGCTCAAGCTGATTAGGAAGATGTCTCTAAATGACATGTAACCTGAGTGGAAGGTGAGTAGGAGTTAACTACTCACCTGGACTCATTGGTCTCCACATCCAACCTTGCTCAAGTGAACCTTTGCTACCCAGCTCGGGAGCAACACATCTAAATCCTAGTCTGGCCATATCACTCCCATATTTAAGAATCCTTGCAAGGCATGGCATCATTTTCTTCATGGCAAAGTCCAAGCTACTAAATCTTGTAGACAATGCCTACCACTACCTGACCCTGACTTAGTGTTCAAGCCTCATTTCTTACCTGTCTGAGCCTTGAACCTGATGCCCTAACAACACAGAATTGCTTGCCATTCTTTCGCTGCATCTGAATCCTCTCCTGGGTCCTTGACTGTGTCCTCCATGCCTGGAGTGCCCGTCCTCACCTTCTCCAGATTGATTTCCATTCATGCCTTAGGAGTCGGTTCAGGAAGCTCCCTCCTACAGAAAGTCTTCCCTGGCTTTCCCTGCCTGCTCTCTTTGGTCCTTTCTTTTAAATAAGCCAGGACATAGTCTCAGTAAGCAGAATATAAGTGCCTGTTGGTTATTGAAAGGAAAGAACAAAGGAAAGAAGGGAAGAAGGAAGGAAGGAAGGGAAGGAGGAAGGAAGGAAGGACAGAAAGAAGGAAGGAAGGAAAAAAGAAGGAAGGAGGGAGAGAGGAATAGAGGGAAGGAGGAAGGAAGGAAGGAAGGAAAGAAGGAAGGAAGAAAAAAAGAAGGAAGGAGGGACAGAGGAATAGAGGGAAGGAGAGAGGGAAGGAGGGAGGGGAGGAGGGAGGGGAGGAGGGAGGGGAGGAGGGAGGGAGGAGGGAGGGGAGGAGGGAGGGGAGGAGGGAGGGAGGAGGGAGGGGAGGAGGGAGGGGAGGAGGGAGGCAGATCTACAAGTCTAGTGAAGCCCACACCTTCTTTGCCTTAAACAGAATTCTGTTTTCCACAGACACATATACTCACAGAAATGAGTTATTTAAAGAAGACGGTCCAGATTCCACAGTCCAAAAAAAAAAGAGGTTTGCCCTGCTTCTGAAGGAGTCAGGGTATGAATGCAGAGGTCTTCCTGTTGGCTCACATATCAGATCTTCAACGTCAACATTAAATGCGTGAGTGCTTGCCAGGCTCACACTGTTGAGAGCAGCTTTATGGTTGAATGTGGCAGTGTGTTCTGCAGGAGTCTTCTGTGAGATTAGTGCTACTCTTGCCATTTTACACCACTAAGGAAACTGTCACTGACTCTAGTCTTTGGAGTCTGAGCCAAGAAGTCTTTTTCTTCTAACCTGGGCCATAGAGACTCTATGGAGAATGATGGGAGGTGATCTACACAGACTCCTCCCTCACTGGGTTGATAGCTCTGTTGGGAAGATGTTAACATCCATCAGGGGAAAAAACCACGAGAGACAGCTCAAGCTAGGGAGGCAGAGGGTTAGCAGCAAATGCTACCCCTTCTGAGAACTCAGACATTCCAGACTCAGAGACCCCATGAGAAGTTTCTGACTCAGGACTGTGTAGGCAGTGCTGCATGCATATGCCTGCCAGGGCTCAATCAGTAAAAAAAAAAAAAAAAAGTTCTCCAGTTCTCATTGTCAAGGAGCTCAGTACTGTGTTCAAGGCCAAGGACATGATCAATCCAGTCTTAAAATCTGGTTTCCTCAGATCTCTTCTGGTATCAGCCAGGGCTTGGTCAGAGGACAGAAACCTTCCTAGGTATTTCAACAAAGGGGCTTTAATATGGGGAATTGTTGTCTGGTGTTGGAGGGCTGTAAGAGCACAAAGGAAACACTGAAATAGCCCAGAGATAGTAGCTACAGGAAGCAACCACTGCTCCTCAGCCTGGAGGAATCAAAGGGAAGAAACTGGAGTTATCAGAGCTACATGTTTAGAGGAAGAGCCTGTGGAGCTGGGGATTGGATCTCCGAAGGGCTGGCTCATCCCAGCTATTGCTGGGGGCATGTGAGGCTGGCTCTGGGAGAGCTGAGAGCTGGAATCTGATTCAACTACTGCTGCTGAGGTATTGGCTGACAAGAGCCACATACAACAACAAGAAGAAAGTCCTTCCACTATCCTTTAAACTTCTACTACTTGCCGGGTGGCCCATTTATCAGTCCCTCATATATTCTATTATTCTATATATATATACATATTCCATATATGGAATATATATGTGTGTGTGTATATATATATATATGTGTGTGTGTGTGTGTGTGTGTGTATATATATATATAGAATAACACCCAAACTGAGAGGTAGCTTTCAAATCTGTCCTCTTGCCCTGATGAGTGGGTGAGGTTCATGTATTCATTTATTTCCATTCCTTAAAGCTATATGGAGAAGAGAGTCAGAAACCCCTGCTTCACCTCTGACTAACTTATTACTTTGGCATGAATTTCTGTCACTTCTTTCTGTCTTTCCTTCTAAGTGTGCCAAGTGATCTAAATAACATGGTGCACGTGCAGCACCTGACACAGGACCTGGGCTTCAGTAGACCGTCCACAAATGTTAGCCATTACCCTCACCACTGAGACCCACCATTTCCATAACAGGCACTGTTCCAGGTTCTGGGGACATAGGGGGATGAAGAAAGATGGGTCTCTGCCCTCTTGGAGGTTATGGTTTTATGGGAAGATTCTTTTTGTAATGATTTCAAGTTAATTAACTTATTTATTAGCAAATGGCAAAGATCCCCCACCCCTATCTGCCCCTCTTCTTGCCTGGATTGATTTCTCTTCTCTCTCTTCTAAAATCCTTAGTAATGATAAAAGGGCAGGGTTCTGGGATGCCTGGAGGGGTAGGAAATAATCCCAGCTCCTTCTTTCCCCTTCTAGTGCCCATGACTAGGCTGTTACCGATTGACTCCTAGCTTGTTATTGTTGCTGTGTGCTGGTCTTTGGGGCTCTGTTTCCCTGGTGGGGTGTCTATGCTCTTTAATGCATCCCAGGAGGATCCTAAGATGTGAGGCCATGAGGACCAACGCCAGCTCCTTGTCTACTACACTCTGAGGCTCAGGCAGATATAAGAGGGTCTTCCAATCGAATGTGATATTTGGCTTCCTTAGATGCTTCTGCCTTAGATCAGCCCAGAGGGTGGCTGTGGTGGAAGGCTTAGCATTATTATTTCATCCCCAATAGTGAGAGGGAGCTGGGGAGGGACAGGGGAGGGAGATAGAGGATGGATAAAGAGGTTTCCCTTGGATTAGACTCTGTCTGGGAGAGAATCAAACTAGGCTCGTATTTCACCAATGCTGGACCTAAAAGAAGAGGAAGTGGGGGAAGGAGGGAGGAAGAGCTATCTTTAGTACCCAGCCCCTCTTCCCCATTAGTCAATGCCTAAGAATAATAATCATAGCCAGTATTATGGGAGGTGCTTATTTTTGGGCCAAGCTGAGTATTTTAAATGCATCTTTTCAATTAATTCTTATAATAACCCTTTGAGAAATGAAGTACATTATCATTTTATTGATGAGAAGATGAGGAACAGATTCGGCATGTAACAGGTTCAAGGCTCCACCTTTACAAAGTGGCATTACTGAGACTCAAGCTGAGAGCTCTCAGATGCCATAGTGAATGCTCTGCACTGCTTACTTTTGCCCACCCACCTCCGGCGCCACCCCTGGCAGCAGCACTGTATTCCAGGAATAGCCAGACCCCGCCCTAAGAGCGAATATGTCCTTTCGTCACCTACCAAGTATGGGTGCTTTCCAAAACACACTTCCAAGTCCTCTCCAGCTTTTCATTTTCTTGGGGCCTAATTTTTCCTTTTTAAATTTTCTCCAGTCAGAGAGGGCACCTAATTCCTTTATTTCCCTTTACTCTTGTGTACTGGCTGGTTGTCCTCCATTCTCTTTGTTTACATCCATCGCTGCCTCCTTTCTTCCCAGTCTTTCCGGCTCTGGGTTTGCATCCCTGCCCTCAGTGTCTCCCAGTTTCCTTGCTTTCTTTTATTTCCCTCCTGATTGCTGCCTCCCCAGTTCTTACCAGCTCTCTGTCCCAGTCCTTTCCTGTCAAAGATGGCAGACTCCTCCAATGCCACCGCTCCCCTACCCATCTGCCCGGAGTCTTCCCTTCTCTCTCCCTCCCTGCTGGCTCTTTTGGCCATCCCCCTTCCCTGCATAATCTTTATTGCTTGCATGACTGCTCAGGTTCTTTATCCCATCTTCCCCTCAAAGGCATTCGCAGCTCCGCTGTTATTCTTGTATTAGCATTGAACCCATTAAAGCTAATTTGTTTGCCCTAATCTCCATTTATTTTTCCCTAGTTGATATTAGATTTCCCTTTCTATTGCTCCAGCATGATTTTCTCTTTGTCTTCCTAATGGTCTACCCCCCTCTCTCTTCCTCTATTAATCTGGTTGGCTTCACTGTGTGGTTTCAAGGCCTTTCTCCGCCTCCCCCAGCCCTTAGATTAACCCTGTCACCTCCCTCCCAAGAAGGGCTTCAGTGTGTGGATTTTTAGGGATGGAGCTGCTTCAAATGTCAATAGACCTCTAAGCTCCTTAAGAAAAGTACTACTTGACATGAGGCCCTGCCTTTTCCTGGAGCCAAGCTGGAGACCTTGGGAGCACAGGGGCCAGAGAGCTTGAGGCAAGTGAGACACACATGGGCTGCTCTGAGCCTGAAGGTCACCAAGTCCAAGGGTTCCCTGGGTAGGGTTGCCTTTGGTGCTGTCTCAGAGATTTCTGGAGGTCTCTTCACGCTGTCTTAGATCCTATAAATTATATCAGCAATATAAGGTATATAAAGTAACAGCAGATGAGCCACTTTCTCCCTCTGAGATTGGGCACCATTTCCCAAGCAGGGGACTCACTTCCTTTCCTTCCTGCAGGAGTGATGCTTCCCCCTCTGTGAATGTGGCTTTGGGTATGGCTAATCCACACCCTGCACTCTGGCCTTCAGAAGCCCAGGGAGAGAAGCCTCCCAGAAGCAACCTTCCAGAACCTTCTCCATCCTCCCACCGACCTCCCCAGCCCCTGTCCTCTCTTTGAATCTCGTTGTCAAGTTCTTCCCGCAGACACCTGGCTCCTTGAGGGGAGGTGCAGCTTTCATCTGACCATGCAGGCGTGCTTTGCAGTGGGTAGAGCAGTGCTTTCCTCCTCCCAGCTGCACACTGGAATCACCTGGAGAGTCCAGAAACTTCCCGCCTCAGGTCAGTTCAGTCAGAATCTTTTGGCATAGCATCCCTGAATCTGTATTTTTAAAAATCTCCTCTGTTGATAGCCTAGAGTTTATATCTACTCTGTGGATGTCAACAAACACTTATCGAAAGCATTAATTGATGAAACATGAACTTCTAGTCAGGGGCTGCAAATGGAGCTTCCCAGTGCTCCCTGCAGGTTTACTAGAGGTCATTCTTCCCAGATCCTTCCCACTGAGCTTCCTAGACACTTGCAGACTCCTGGCATCGCACACCAGGGCTGTGGAAGGGCCCTCTGGGCTGCAGAAGGAAGGTCCAGGGTCTCTGCGTTTGGGGAGGGAAACAGGCAAGGCAGGTATGGCAGCACCTGCCGAACACGCGTTTAGATGCTTAGCGACTGTACAAGTTACTGCACTACACCCTCAACTCCCCCTGAGGTCAGAGGCCTGTGGCTACTGATGCTTTTTTTTTAATGGGTTTATATTAAAGCAATTTTCAGTACATTAGATTTCAATTCAGTGAGCACCTACTCTGTGTCTAATAATATTCCAGGCTGTGTGTATGTGGGGTGATGGTTTCTGAGTAGAAGACAGTCCTTGCCCTTGAGAAACTTACAAGTTAATAGTCCCTGACATATTATAGAACCTTAAAGATTTTCAACACATTTACATGCACAGTCTCCTTCAATTCTGTCCACAAGTAGCTCCGTGGAATATCTGTGGAGGTGTGTATATGGGTGTCTGTGTGAATGTGTGTATGAATGAGTGGGTGTGGGGGTGTGTGCTCATGTGTGAGTATGTGTGTGTGTTGGGGATGGGGATGGATAGTAAAGGACATAAAGTACTGGTAGGTTCTACAGCTCAAAGTTATAATACTATAAATGTGAGTTTAGTGGGCACTGATTTAAAAATCACTCAGAGATGGGTAAGGAGGGAAATAGAGGGATGGTGAGAAGAACCCCTGCTGAGGGCAGGAAACCATGAGAGTAGGGGTAGGTAGGGAGGATGGGGAGAAGGGGGAATAGGAAGGAAATAACAGCTGTAGCTGGGGTGACTGCAGAGACTGAGAAGCCAGAGGAACTAGGGAATATTGAATATAATGAAGTCACATAAAGATGCCTCCCTCACCCGGACAGTTGAACTAAATGACCTCTAAGTTTCTTTTGAAGGCCGAGATTCTTTGCTTCTGAGATCTTAACTAGGATACAACCTGATGGGCTTGACTAGCTCATGGAGGAGGCATTTGTAAAGGGTGGGCTTTAGCCTGAATTAGGGCACGTTTAGAGAGAGAGAGAGAGTGACTGTTTTGTGTGTGTGTGTGTGTGTGTATGTGTGTGACTGTGTGTGTGAGTTGCAGAGTCTTCAGGGTGGGGGACAGAAGGAGGGCCTGGCCATCCTGGGGACCATAACAGGTAAGAACAAATGAAGGGGAACCGCCTTTCTGAGGGACACACAGGAGCAAAATCTGTGACAAAACCGTGCATCTGTTGTTTCCACACCTGTCGATAGCAGGCACCATGGCGAAGGAGATTATCCACTCTAAAAGCTGCCCTCACTGCTGCAGAAGAAAAGGGGAAGGGACAGAGGCCAGCAGATGCAGCCTGCAGGCTGCAGTTTCTGGAGAGGAAACAGGGGGTGCTGAGAATTAGGAGGCCTAGGTTCTGCCCACTCTGTGACGATGCCAGTCTGTGCCTCAGTTTTTTCATCTGGCTTGACAGAAGCAGATGATCCTTCCAGTCCTAATGTCTACAACTCTGGGACTGCCCTCAGCCGGGGAACAGAGGCCAGAAACCCCCAGAAGCTGGTACAGAGAGAGCTCTAGAGGGAAACATTGAGTAACCTTCCTATGTGACAAAACACCAGGGGTGACACTGGGCGTGCCATAAGATGAGGGAAGGTAGCACACAGTGGGGCCTATGGGCTGCCACATGACTTGCATGGTAACAAAGTGGGCTGCCACGGCTTACAGACTATGAAGGTGGATGTGCACAGTGTCTGTGGAGTGGCAGAGTTGCAAGGCACACTTCTGAGAGGATCCTTGACCAGGAAGGAGAGGTGAGCTGTCTAATGTCACAGATTCACCTCATGGCAGAACCAAGAAAGAACCTCAGCGTTCTGACCTAAATCCCTGTCTTAGCCCTTTGGGAGCTTAGTGGCTTCTTGGCTGGGGCCATGTTGGTAGAGTGGAGGAAGAAAGTGAGGTTTGCGCAGAACATGTCCTGAAGCAAGTCATGCCCTGAAAGATTTTAGGTTTTTTTTTTTTTTTAGACAGAGTTTCACTCTTTCACTCAGGCTGGAGTGAAGTGGTGCGATCTCGGCTCACTGAAACCCTGCAACCTCCGCCCCACCCGGGTTCAAGCAATTCTCCTGCCTTCAGCTTCCCAAGCAGCTGGGATTATAGCCGCCCACCACCATGCCCAGCTAATTTTTGTATTTTTAGTACAGACAGGGTTTCGTCATGTTGGCCAAGCTAGTCTCGAACTCCCAACCTCAGGTGATCCACCTGCCTCGGCCTCCCAAAGTGTTAGAATTACAGGCATGAGCCACTGTGCCCGGCCGATTTTAGGTTCTTGTATCAGCTTGTTTGCTTATCCTTTTTGTTTTCTTAAGTGTTTTTTATTTTTTGTAGAGAGGTGATTTTGCTATGATGCTCAGGCTGGTCTTGAACTCCTGGGCTCAAGCAATCTTCTGGCCTCAGCCTCCCAAAGTGCTGGGATTACAGGTGTGAGCCACCATGACTCGCCTTTTCTAAGTGTTGAACCTGGACTTCAGGCTCTCTTTGGGGGATTCTGGCTTGGGAGGGGGAGTCCCCTCCTCTGTTGGAGCAATAGGAAAGGTTCTGGAGGATGGATGTCACCTTCCCCTTCTTTTTCTGTCAGCTCCAAATCAGAGCTTCTGCAGCGGTGTTGCTCAGACCCAAAGCAGCTGAGAGTCAAGTCAGGGCTGGGTGGGGACTGAAACGGACTAAGGAGACACAATACTTAGGTGTTATGAATTGAATAGTCTCTCCCCTGTCTCCACCCACCACCCTAGCACCTTGGAAACAAGGTCTTTGCAGATGATCTAGTTAAGGTGAGGTCATTAGGGTGGGCCTAATCCAATATGATCAAGTCCTTGTGAAAAGGGGAGATTTGGATACAGAGATAAAGTGAGAAAGCCATATGAATATCAGAGTTATGCTGTCACAAGCCAAGGAATGCCAAAGACTTCTAGCAAACCACCAGGAGCTACGAGAGAGGCACAGAACAGATTCTCCTCCAGCCTCAGAAGGAAACAACTCTTCTGACCCCTTGATTTGACACTTTTGGCTTCCAGAACTGTGAAACAATAAATTTCTATTATGTAAGCCCTCCAGTTTGTAGTACTTTGTCACTGCAGCGCTAGCAAACGCATGCACAGATCAACAGAGTTTTAGAGCTTTAGCCCTGAATTTCACACAGCAGGCTTGGGCAGCCCCTGGAGGCTGCTCTCCTAGGGTAACTGGCTGCCCCTCCAGTTCCCTCCAAATGACTCTTAAGTGTAAGGCAGGTTCAGTCAGTCAAGTAGAGGGTAAAATCCTTTCTAATAGCTTACCCTCTTTTGGTGAAAACCTGTTTCTCTTGACATTACTATACTTGCTACCATCTTGTTCATCATCTTGTTCTCCATTTGTGATCCTTGCATCATGTGGCAATGTTTTGTTTTGTTTTGTTTTGTTTTTTTTCAGTGAAAGAACATCAGTGTATCAGCACAGCAAATATTCCAAATGCCAGGCTGGATTCCCTCCAATTACCAGGACCTCCAGGCTTCTCCTCCTTTCAAGAACTTTCTGACCCTGGATCCAGTCTAAATGTTGGTTATAAACTCACCTGACATCCACAGGGCCCTTCCAAAATACTGTCAAGTAAGTGATTCTTAAATTTAGTTCAACAAACACCAGTTGTTGGACTTGGTTGCATCCAGGATTAGTTTTCACAACAATCCCATGAGGTAGGTGGGGCTGGCACTTTGCCCCATTTTATAGATAAAGATGCCATCTCGGAGGCTCAAATGGCATGTGCACAGCCAGTTAGGGGCAGACCTGAGACTGCATTCAAATCTGATCTGCTTCTACCCATAGCCAGATGGGAGATCTCTGGGAGGAGGAGGCACAGTGCAAAAAGAAGGGCTGTGCCCCCAGCAGGCAGGCATGAGGGACTCCACATGGGAAAGACTGTGGGTGGGCTGTAGATCAGTGTTTCTTAAATGCTGATCATAAAAAAATCCCTGGGAGCTTGTGAAGGATACAGATTCCAGGGCTCCATATTTGCTAACAAAAATCCCAGGAGGTTTTGATATAGACCACACTTGAGAAACAGTTATCTAAAGCCAAGAAAGAAGAAGAAAAAAAAGGAAGTAAGGAAGAAGGAGAGGAAAAAAGAAGAAAAGAAAGATCCATTTTACAAATACTTGTGAAGCACTTAGTATATGTCTACTATGTGCTAGATATTGTTTGGAGCTGTATTCCCAGTCTGCAGGAATTACAGGAATCTTGTAATCTTTTATCCTCACAGATGCTCTCACCCTAAATCTGACCAATTACCCTGCCAAGTCGACACCCAGCATCCACTAGGAAGGTCCCTTGTTGGTTCAAACTCCCCAGGCTTGCCAGTGTTTTTTACTCCCAGTGCCCATTGCTGCTCAACCTGGCTATCTGGCCTTCAAGCATAGGCTTCTGTGCCTACAAGATGCCTCTAGGACCAGGCAGGTATCCCAGTGGGGCAGCTCCGGCCTGAATGGCTGCATCAGGTTCCCTCAAAGGCTGCATTTCTTGCTTTCTCAGTTCCCTCATTGCCAATTATTATAAAGAAAATAGAAAAGTAATATAGCAATATCATGGGAAAGGATCAGGTGTATTTCATGTTGGAAAAACTTCATGTACAAAACTCAAATGTGCAAGTTGCATCAACCAAGGAAGCAATAAAAAATGTTATTGGAGAATTAGGTGAAAACCAGCAGCCCAGACATTTGTAGAGTCCTCACTCCTTATGTAGGATTTTGTGTAAGGTGCTGGGGATAGAGAGAGATCTGGAAGGGTTCTTGTTCTTTTCTAGCTCAGAGGCAGGTTGTCACTGTAAGAAGCTAAGTGACATTTGTTGGAACAAGTACTGAGTACCCAGGGAGTGGAGCAGGTGCAGTGGGAAGTCAGACAGGATGGTCACTAAAGGTAAAGGGTGTCTAAAAAGGTCTTGGGAAGGAGGTGGAGCTTGACTGAGGCTTTGTCAAGGGAGTGGGAGTGGGAAGGGTGTTCCAGGTAGCTGCATTGAATGGGCAGAGACACAGAGGTGAGAATGTACATGGTGTATTTTGGAAACAATGACTAGCTGGCTGGAACATGGGTTTGCATACGGAAATAGTGGGAAATAGGCCACGGAGGTAGGAGAAAGTCTTCTCGGATTGTACATCAGCAGTTTGCCTGAAAATGGCTTGTTAATGATTGGATTAAAAGGAAGTGCAAGGAGAAATCTGATTATTTTGGAAAATCACCAGGTTAAGTTTGTCTGAAACAGAGCCAAGAGAGGAGAGAAACCAGAACATTTTGAAAAAGTGAATAACCTAGCTATCACAGATTATTGCCATGGCTTTTCCACTTAATAAAATCACCGCAAAACCTGAAGACAACAGCGTCAGTAGGTATGCAGCTGTGGCAAGAGAGCCAAGAAGGATATGAAAACTGCCAACAACAGAAGCGTGAGGCCAAGCCAGGGGAGGATGGAAGTTTCATGCACAAGTGAATAAAATGCCCTAAAACGTATACATCGAGTGCACTTTACCCAGACGTTCTGATGGCACATTGGAATTAACACCATAGCTTAGCTTCTCTTGTCAACCCCTGCAGTTGGGCTGAACCCTGACCATGTTCCCATTGCTGTCTCCTTCCCTCAGGGCTGACTGCTGGTGCCTGGAACCTGCACACCCTCCTGGGACTCTGCATCTCTGCTGGGGCTGGTTTCTCCTCTGAGCCACCTTAAGGAATCCCACCCTGACCCGGTCAGAGCTCACCATGCCTCCCTCTCCTACTTGCTCAGCATTTTGTGTCTATCTAGACTGAAGCCTTTGCTTTCTCTCTGTGATTATGGTGAAAGTTCAGTTTGCTTTCCTATCTCTAGAATGTCAGCACGAAGGCAGAGGCATGGTCTCCTGAGTTCCATAACCCCAAAGCCTAACTCCCTGCCTGCCACACTGAGGGGCTTAGTAGACATTGACTTACTAAATTGAATAGTTGAGTAATAATGCTCTTTGAAATAATTTGGAGTTAGATCTTGAGCCTTGTGTGGCCAGAGGATGGGTGAGGACACATCATAAAAACTAAAGGTAACTGAGCATGCCAGTGGTTGGGGTGAGAAATTTGCATGGAGCACTCCAGACACAGAGGCAGCAAAACCCAAGTGCTGGGAAGTCAGAGTGAGAGAGTGAAGGGGCAGTGAGTGCTTCTTTAGGAGCTGGATCAAAACCTAAGATGATCTGGCCACATGGTGCAGACTGAGCACACACTTGGGAGAGAAATGGGCCAGGAGGAGAGGAGAGAGGTTCACCACAGGACAGTGGATGACTGGGAATAGAAGCCCTCCCCATGGTGGACCAAGAAGTCTGTGAAGCTGAGAGAAAGACAAAAGAAATCACGACTTCTGTAGGTAGCTGGGATGGAAACCTCAGGGGTGACAGGGTCTTTAAAGGAAATCTCAAGGAAGGCATCATGTTCTGGGTGTGCTCCAGGGATGCTGAGTAAGAAAAGACCAGCCTTTCTGTGTGTGTCTTTACTCTGCCACAAGGCACCTGGGCTCCTAAATGACCAATACACATGTGCTATACTGGTGCCAAGAAAGAAGGGTGTTTTGTAGGAAAGTCAAGGTGAGAGGAGGTGCCCAGGACTTGGCTCCTTTCTTTGAAGGGTGACGGTGTAAATTCTCCATGCTGGGGATCCTACTGATGGATGGAGGCATGTCGATCTCATCATTTCACAGAGTGGGGAGCTATGGCCACAACGTGCCTATCACACAAGTCCAGCCTCACGTCAGCTGGACACCAGCTGTTCTGACACTTGTCAGCACATGGGGCACCCGGAAGTTCATGGTGTTCTGCAAAGAACGCCACAAAACAGTGAGCTCAACTTCTTGAAAGTCATAATGTGTTGCTAAGTCCGATCCCAGATCCTAAAAATAATATGAGGTAGTGGCCATTGAACAGAAAAAATTTACATCTTAAACTTGAAGATAAGTACAAGTGTACCTTTTTCTACCACTGTTGTTCAGTTTTATTATATTGACAAGCACCTCTGCCCACCCTGTGGGGTAAAACTGTTTGAAAGTGTTTATGAAAGTTTTATATAAATATTGGTTGATCAAATGTACAAAATATGCATGATGGCACCATATTGTGTATAATAGTGACAAATACAGTCTATGTGGGTGGAGAAACAAGCTCGGTGTTGTGCATGCGGCTGTGGTTTGTGTTCACACTTCTCCTTTAGAGTGTAGTAGACAGAACATGCCTGAACTGCCTGGGGCTGAGGGGTCTCAGGCGCAGAGTGGCCCAGGAATTCTGAGCAAGGACAGAATGTTAGAGAGAATATCCTGAGCTGAGCAGAGAGGCCTGCCCATGCTAGCTGGCAGCCACCTGCCTTCAGTGCTTCATTCTTGGGGGACCTTGAGGCCAGTTCTTGAGTGGATGAGTCCTGCCGCTACTGCTGCTGCCCACTTGGTAGCTCTGTCCTCATCTGGGAAGAGCCACTGTGAACCCCAGAGACCTAGTGGTGCTAGGGGCTGATGCAGGCAAATGACTGGCTGCCCCTGGATCTTATGTGAAAACAAGAATGCTGGACCAAAAGGTCTCTACAGGGCTCCATGACTACCCATGACCCGTAACTTCAGTGAGGAGCTAGTGGCCAGGAGGGGCTCATGGTTGGACACTGGTATTCCTCTACTCAGACCTTAAACCACAGGTTGCAAGAACAGGGAGGTCACATGTCAGTGACCTCATGCCTAAATAGATGCATAGCACAGAGCAGATTCCTGGATAGCTTACACCCTACTTTCCCCAGTGCATCGATTATGACTTCCTTTCTAGCAACTGTGAGTACAGCCGGGACTCATCAATCACACCTGTAACTTCCCAGCTGCATTTCTCAGGGTCTCTGAAAGCAGGGCCTTCTCTGGTCTTTTTAAATTACCCACAGACCTAGGACAGTCTTCTGCACATACTTCTACATTTTAAAGGCTTACTTTTAGTATGTTTATGTGTGTGAGATGGGGAATATTGTATTCATGTGTGCATGTATATGTCTGTGAGTACTGTGGTCTGTGTGTGTAACTGGGTATGACTGTGTGTGTCATATGGATACAGGGGACTAGAATGAGGACAGCCAGGTGTCCAGGCTATAAGATCTAAGGAGGCACTTGCTCTCAGGGCCAACCCTGCCCTTGCGTGAGCCTGAGAGAGAGAGCCTCCTGGAATTTTGCACCTTGAGTGCCTTCCTGCTTCACCCTAATCCCCCCGGTTGTCTGTATGTTTGGATGTGAGTGTTGTACATATGCTGTGTATGTGTGTGCATGCATGTGAGTGTGCATGGGTGTGTGTCTGTATGTCTCAGCAGCTGTCACTGGGCTTCCCAGTCCCTGTCAGCAGGCGAAGGAGGCCCCTTCATTTCCTTGGGTCCTGCTTATGCAGCACAGGCCACAGCAAAGGCTCCCTGGGTTGGGTCAGCCCTCACTCTAACTCAACATGCCCTGGAAGTCACCACAGGGTCATGGAAAGAGTCCTGGTGATGAGATGGAGTGTCTGCTCTGCCACAAGGGCTGTGGGACCAGGGTCGGGGCATACCTCTCTGGGTCTCAGTTTCCTCACTGGTAAGATGTGGCAACAGAATCTCATCTGTGAGCCCCCTCTAGCCTTGAACAACTCTGGATCCAGGTAGACCAGCATAATGAAAGCCTATGAAGCTTCTGAGATGTGCGAGGCATACATTGTCCCAGGTACTCAAGTAACTCAAGTCTGGAAGCTGCGAGCCACAGAGATCAAGCCTTCTCCAAAAATTGGACTGCAAGGCATGCCGTACAAACAGAGTGCTAGGAGACCTTGGGGAGGTGGGGAAGAGGAAGAGGAATCATGGACAGCTTCATGGGGAGGTGGCTTTGGAGCTGGGATGGGTGAGGACAGCTGGAATGTGGGCAGCACGTGACCAAGTGCTTTGCAGACATGGCATGGCCCCCAGCCAGGCCCTGAGGAAAGGAGAGTCTCAGGACAGCAGCTATGTCACTGTAAGCAGGACCCTTGAAAGCAGGTGCCACCTGCAAAAGGGGGAGCCCTGAGGCCCAGGCAGGCCTGTCACAGTGTGGGGCACCTGTCTAGACAGCCCCATGGCCAGCAGTGGGGGTGGGCCATGGGCCATGGGGACCTTCCTGGTATGGGGTACTGCCATGTCCCCAGGGAATATGGGGGGCCCAGGAAGGTCCCCAAGGCTCGAAGGACCCAGGTCTTTTCATACTGCCAAAGAGATGTAAGGCCTACAGAGGGGAAAGTTTGCATATCTGTGAAGGCATGGAGCCTAGGCATTGGAAGTGTCCAGTAAGCATTTTCATTTGGCAGAAGTATCTCCATGGCACTTCTACCTACAGCCCTGCCACATTTTGCCACAAACTGTCCAGCAGCCCTGAGATGGAGCCCCAGTGTAGACCGTCATGGAGCACACTGGCTCTGGAACAATGAGGAGCAGACTGGAGAAAGCCAGATGGGGTTTACCTGTCAACAGCCACAACATAGTTGTGCTGGGGTGACTGTTCAAGAAAAATGAACTTTGGTGCTCCTGCCGAATGGGTTGTTAGTGTTCAGTCCTTTTCCTACCACTGAGTTGTTTTGTCTGATCATTCTTCCTCCTGGTTCTGCGGGTCTGCCTTCTTGAAAGGGAAGAGCAAGACTCCAGCTCCCTGCCCTGTAGAGGTGCCTTCTACCTTGCTCAGTGTTGAAGCAAAGGAGCAAAGCAAAGCTTAAGTCAGAGATTTGGTGCTCAGCTAATCACAGAGACTTTTAAATGTCAACCAGGGTTTGCTATCAGGCCAAAGCTGGATTATTATTACCCAAAGTAGAAAATTGTGAGACAGAGGCAGGTGGGGAGGGAGGGAGAGAGAAGAAAGCAGAAGGTGGAGGATACGTGGATTTAATTTTTTAAAAATAAATATATGATTCCGTGTCAATTAAAAACAAGTACCCCAGGCAAGTCTTCCTGCAGTCCTGTCTTAGCCGCACACACAGCATAACTGCAAACCCACTTGAGCTCATTTTTGCTCAAAGACCAACTCTATTAAACCCTTAGAATGTTCTGGATTTCAACACACAGTCCACAGACAGCCATTCTATCAAAAGCTTAGTGTTTTCCCTATGACTGGGTTTTCTGGTAAGGTGAACTAAGGCATCCTTTTCCATTTCAGGCTGTGGTAACAGCAGATAACAGCCGCAGAGGTCATAGCCAGCACTTTCTATGCGTCCCTTCATTTAATCCCAGTACTCCTAGGTGGTAGATCTATTATTTTGTCCACATGAATTATTGAAAAGTCTGTCCTAAATTTTAAATGGAACGAAGTACTGGGTTGCAAGTTACTGGTGGCTGTTTCACAGGAAATACTACGACAATGGGACTTTGGGAATGTGTTCTGGAGACTCCACTCCTTGGTGACTACTACATGGAGCACAGAAAATTGTCTTGAGTGGCAGCTATGTGCCAGGTGAGGAGACAGGTTTTACTCACATGACTCCCCAGAAGCCCTGCAGCATCCCCATATTTTATAAAGGGGAAGTACAAGCCCAGAGAGACATCTGACTTGACTAAGTTCACACAAAAACAGCAAGGTCTGGGCCAAGATGGAAGCCCGGGCTTTGCCTTCTTCTTCTGCCTGCAGGGCAGGGGCTTTCATCCTGGCTTCACGCTGATTTCAAAAGCCTCTCATTCTCTTGACACCTCATGGCCCCTGAGTTTATCCCAAGAATAATAAGTTCTACTGTCCTCCTGGAGATGCCGAAGAATCAAAACTGCAACACACAGAGGGCCTGGGTGTGCGCGAACACTGTAGTACACACCGATGACAGCAGATTAAGCCATTTCTCTCTTAGGTGCGTCACCCAACCAGCTCCTGGACCCTTCTGCTGTGCTGCCCTGACAGTCACAATATGTCCTAGTGGACTAATTAGCACTAACTACCCATGTCACCCCAAGGCCATTTAAGAAGACAAATAAAAAAGACAAAACCAATGAGTATTGTGGCTGAAGATGACGAAAAAAAGTTAAAAGCAGGGAGGAATGAATTATTTTTTCTTTCTCAATCTCTCCCTCTGCTTAAACCAAAGAGAGGTTTTCATCTGAGAGCCCGGGAGCTAAGCAGCTACTTTCTACATGAAAAAGTGAAAACATTAAAATAAAATCCCTTTCTTTCAAGCTAACGTTCTAAAACTGAACCTCTGCAGAGGCTCCAAAAGAGAAATGCCTTGCTTTTAAGCCCCTGAGTGAGAGGGATCCTGAGGAAGTGGCAGAGGGGATGAACCTAAGCTTTGGGACATAACAACCGGCACCTCCAGTGGCCACCACTCCTAGCTATGCTGCCTGTGGATGGGGCCCCCAGTGCTGGCCCCTAACAGCATGGGGAAGCCTCCCCAGCCACTCTGAAGCTGTTCGCATCACATCCAAGATGAACCTAGGCAGGGAGGCTGAGTGTGCTTGGGAGATGCCAAGTTAGGGAAGTAAGTTCCCCAGGGTCCTTCAACTTGTGGTGCCTGAGGATAGCTGCTTTTTTTCCAGTGCAGATGGAGACACGGCAGCCTTGGGGGGATGTGTGAAAGTAAGGCCTCCCTCCCTCTGCCTTTCCAAGTGGCTGATCATCTCCTTCCTTCTCATAGCTACTTCTAGGAGAGGCATCCAGGCAGGAACCACTTCTCCATTTCACAGATGGGAAGACTGAGAACCATACTGGAAAGGGGTGTATTTTAATTAAACTGGAGAGTGGGGAACACTGATGAGGAAAGCAAGCTGATAGACGGAAGGCTCTGCCTGTCACTGCCAGCACGGGCACTTGGGCCTTCTTATCAAGGGTTCTGATGGGAGTTTCCACTAGGATTCCAGGTGTCGATCATCTAGTAGCCGAGTTCTGATGAGCTGGACTTTGGGTGGTTGAGGTAGGGAGCAGTGGAAAGGGGAATTGGAGTCTTATCAACCTCTTTGAACACCAGTTCCTTCCCCTCTCTTCTATAAAAATGTCGTAGCAATACCTGCCTGGCAGAGTTGTGAGAATTAAATGAGATGATGAATACATCTGCTCTCAGCACCACACCACACCTGTGGCAGTCCTCAGAGAGAAGAATCACAGCTTTCATTCATTGAGAGCTCACTAAGTGCCAGGTATGCTCAGCTCTTGTGCAGACGTTCTTTTTCTTTGGATGTAAATGTGACATGGGCAGAGCAGGAGGAGCTGTGAGGCTGGCTTGGCTGAGCCACAGGGATTGCTGGCATCTTATATGGCATTCAGGACTATGGAGGGTCCACGGGAAGAAACACAGAAACAGAACCCAAGTATCCTTCGGGGACTCTTGGACTTTCTTCCCCTTGATCTTAGACATGCCTCAGTAAACAGATGCTGGTTTCTATCGAGACTCATTCCTGGGGAAGGACCCCCACCAGCCAAGCAAGGTAAAGCCCAGACTCAGTTACATGAATTACAGGTTTAAGACAGAAGCCTTCCTATGAATATTTTTCTGGCCAGTGGCTTATATAAGAGAAATTTGCTCATTGTATTTCTATCTGGCCAACGAAGGGGTCTAGAGGGGCTTTCAGCAACCCAAACAGTCTTGTCAGCCCTAACTCTGGACCTAAGGAAATAATTATGAATCCTCAAGATCCATTTAAAAGTGTCATTACTGTAGATAAACAAAGACGAGTGGATGCTTCTTCCTACTCCACCTCACTGCAGAGATTCCATCCATCCCAGGGTCACTGACCACTGACTGGATGAACTAGGATTGGTGTGGCAGAGTGGAGTTTTCAGGAGCCAAGAGACTCCTGGATTGTCATGCTCTGTACTCCTTCCCCACGAAAGGAATGTCTAGAACTCCTGCTGAAAGTAGTCATTGCCTGCATTTCCTAGGCAGAATGTGTTAGCTCCCTCCCCAGAAGAACCTGGGCGAAGAAGGTGTTCCAATCTGCATTTGGAAAGAATCCCTCCCGCAAAGAACTCTACACCCTCTAAGAGAAGATAACGTGAGGGCATATTCTCCTCTCTTAGAGGGTGTTTTCAATACTAAATTCTATCTCTGAAGAGAATGAGGACCCGAAGGGGGGCAGTGCACCAAGTTTTCAACTAAAACAAAAGCAAAACTAATCTGCAGTCTTGAAGGTGGGCTCATTCATTCCCCTGCCCCCACTTTTTAAAACATTTTTTTTCTTAAATGAAACAGTTTCTTTTATCTTTTGGCTTCTCGTGTACTCAGAACCATAGAGCTCAAAGCTTCTCAGCTCAACGGAGAACTCAGCACTTCTTGGACTGATAAATAGAGCAGCTTTAAAATGCTTAGAACTGAAGACAGACCAACTGTGGCGAGAGAAAGTAAACACATCCATGCACCAGTCAACCCTAGCAAGCTCCTCGCTGAGATTACAAACTGCAGTTCCTGCCTGAGCCGGAGAGGATGCTGGAGCAGGCTGGGGGACCAGAACCACAAACCAGCCCTGGCTTAGCTCTGGCTTAGCTAGCTGTGCCCCAGAAGAGCTGGGTCCTCAGGGAGTCTTCTTGCGGCCCGGTTTGGATGTTCCTAAGCATAGAAGACTCTGCCAGTGTGTCCCTCATTCGTTTCACATTTGGAAATGTACCAAGAGAAGTGGGAACCAGCTTTACTCTTTGATCTAGATGGGAATCCTTTCCTTTGCATTCAAGCTCTCTGTGTACAGGTGTAACTTGCCAGTGAGAGACTTGGGATTTCTCACAAAATAGAATGTGATAACGACATAATTTGATATGAATATTTGAGGAACTTTATCTCTGGACAATATATACTTTAAACATCCCCCTCCCCAAGTCACACACACAAATTGTTTTTATGAGAACCAATTAATAAATGCTAATTCATTGAGGCATATCTTCACTAAATTACTGTTTCATTTAATTGCAGGGAATTTTCCATTACTAAACTCTCCCTTGCTGATTTTTTTTTGCATTATTTATATACTCTTTCAATTTCACTAATAGTGAGGTTGGTATGTGATATTATCTGATGTTTGTACGTCTTAAATTTATTTTTCATTTAAAATATTTCCTCATTCTTGCAGCTCCACATAATCAGGGAGAAACATCAATAAAAGCAGGCAAGATTTTACAATAAATGGTTGAAAAAGGCACTGGCTGAAATTAACCTGACAGGAACGCGTCCTGTGTGATTGTGTTTCTCTCATTCCAGACGTGCGTGTGTGTGCGTGTGTGTGTGTCTCTACTTTGGGTTAATGTGGGAATGCTTTCCTATATCAATAAGTCACAAGTCGATCTGTGAAAAGATTGTGCATACAAAATGGAGATGAAGATCACAGGGGCTTTAATAATAAAATAAACATAAACAACACTCGAATCTCTTTATAAATCCCAGAGCACAATGTGCGTTTTCTTACTTCCTTTTCATGGACCCCAGATAAAGACTTTGACAGCCAGATATCCAAGATCCGGATCAGCCAGCTTCCTAAAATTCTCCTCTTTTTTTTTAAGGGGTAGAAAACTGGGGGTATCCCTTGGTGGTTAGGGGTTGCTTAGAGACTGTGGTAGAGATTTGGTGTTAACAAAAATGTATTTTGAAAGCAGGATTTCAATTTTCTTATATTGAATGGCAAAGGTTCCATGCACCTGGCTATCTTCATTTCTGAAATGAATGCTTTCATTTTATTCTCTCCAGCTACCTTCTCCCTTTCTTTCCTTTCCACCCCCATTGCCTCCTTTCAGTGTCTTTCTTTTTCTCCTTATTCTTTCACTCCTTTCTCTCTCACAGCAAAATGTTCTGGAGGATGTGAATGATTAAACTGTTTACTCCAAGGTTTAGGTATGAAAAGGCAAGTCACTGTAAGTAAAGTTTCACCTTTATACCCAACTCCATCAATAATTACAGAACAAGGATGACTATTAGTAAATCTTTCTTACAATTGGCTCTTACAAAAATGATTTCATTTTTTCTGGGCATACCAAGTTTGACAGATTTTACTTTTCACAAAAATTATTTACACAGCAGAGGAACCTGCTCCAAAATGAAGGAAGCATATAAAGGGCCGTTGAGTGTATCCATAGGAAAATGAATACCTATAAAATGCATCTCAATAAATTAGAGATTTGAGGCCATAAATAGAACGTTTTGACATATTATATTAGTAGATGCCCTCTAATTTAAACCAAAGTGTCCCTTAGTAATTAAAATTCCATGAGATTGATTTTTTATTTGGTTTCCTTCACTTCCTTTGTCTTCTTCAACAAAATTAGGCAGAGTCCTTTTGGGGGTAGACTGATAAAATTAATTAACTTTCCTTCCACCCCCAAAAAGTTCCAAATAAATGCTTCCAATAGACATCAAAAAAGTGTCAATTAGAAATAATTACTTCTTATCAATCAGTGGGGCAATTAAAGTGACAAAGCTTAAAAAGATACTTATCTTAAAACTAATTCACAAGGTAGCTAAATTATCTCCTAATTAACTTGCATTGTGGAGGGTGGGGGGGAACCATCTTGAAACAAAGATGAATTGATGAACCCCAATACCTCTTTATGTTCCTCAAAGTTGCTTCCATCCCCTGAAACCTTATTTTCAACCCAGGCAGGAAACCTGGGAAGAAAACAGATCCTTTCCAAATGCATTTATTCCACTTTCCTCAATTCTAAAACCAAGAGTTAGGAATGGGGCTTTAGATCTCACATCAGGGAAGTTAGAGACATCGTCCTCTGCCTTGTCTTATTTTACCACTTGAATGAACTATTTTCGGGACTGGTGGGAGTGGGCTGCGACAAGTTATTTAAGATAACTTTTAATGACAGCCAGCCTGCTTGCTTTTACAAAACTCTCTTCCTCATTGGTACAGTATTGTTTTCACTTTTATATATATGGGGCATTTATCGTTTCTTCTGCATCTTTGAATTTTTTTAAAAATGTTTTTGCTTTAGAGAATTTCGTCCCTGATGCAACAAAAATAGCGATTTTAAGGAACGTTCAGCCCATCGCTGACCTGCGCACGTTAAAATGATTCGCGTTCAACATTCCTGCAGAATAAAGCTGTAGGAAAGACAACGTTAAGACTCTCTGCAAGGCAAGACCAGCCAACGACGAGGCGACCCCGTGGCAGGCTGGGCGGCGGAGGCCGCGCGGGGAGGTTTTCTCGAGCGTCCCCGGTTATTGGGAAGGGTGCGCTCGGCCTCGCTCCCGCGGAAAGCCGTGTGGCCGCCTGCGTCCCGGGCTCTGCTCACAGAAAACTCAAGGGGAGCTCCCTAAGCACGGCCGGTCTCAGGAACAGAGGTGCCTGGGGAAAAGGGGGAACCTGCTAAAACCCGAGAGATAATGGGCTTGTAAAAACCAGAGGGGTCCGCTTATGAGTTTAGCTCCGGTTATAGACAACAGTGTCAGGTAAGCTGATCAGAAAGACAGACGGCCTCTCCCTCAGGTTTGCCGAGGGAGGGTTCAGAAAAGAAACAGGGAGCGCCTTCAGCAGTCTATGCGGTTATAGGCCATTTTCTTGTTTTATTAGCGTTTAAATTAAACTATGAGAAGAAAGTCTCATCTTCCCTCCCTCGCCACTTTGTCTATTTGTTTTGGAAAGAGGGTAGAAGAAGCCCCTCTGTCTTCCCGAAAAGAAGAAAGGGGAAAAAAATTACCTGGTAGGTCCAGGGGCAGAGGGCTCCCTCCCAAAACCCAAGCGCGATTTGCATCCAAGCTAGTGGGAAAGCGCGCATCTCATCATCTGGGACTGTTCCTGATTAAAACTACAGTAAAAATAAATTGTGCCTTTATTTATTCTTTCCATACTCTATTTCCATCTATTCTAACGAGTACTTCTAGAATGAAAATAAGTAGCCGCGAAAAAAAAAAAAAGCTCATCTGAGGGACGGGGACATCGTCTCATTTCTTGGGCAGCGGCAGAGAGTAAGGGTCCAGCCCGGCCACAGTGAATTTGATTTCCGAGAGCACTCACTCCTCCTGCCACCGCCGGAAGGGTCAGGGGAAGGTTAGGAGGAAAGATGGACCTCCAGAGCCGAGCAGAAGTGCCATTGCACCAGCTTGGCGCAGAAGTGCCATTGCACCAGCTTGGCATGGGCACCGGGCACTGCACATTAGGCCTCAGGGATGGTCCTGGCGATGTCTGGTATCGTACCACGGTTTGGCTAAAGATTAAGGGACTAAAACCTGATCCTGACCTTAGATAGTGGCCTAGGAGCGCTCGTGGTTCCAGGACGCGGACCGTAAAGAGGTGCCAGGGAGCTCTGCTCGGTCCCAGGGCTCCCCAACCCCGCCGCGCCGGGGAATGGCTGCGAGGTCTCTCCCCTGAGGACCTTGAAGGGACCCCGCGCCTTCTGGGGGCAGCCGGACGATTCTGGCCCAGGTCTCTGAGGGGAATGGGGGCCGGGAGGGAGCATTCGTCTGCAGCTCTAGAGAGAACCCGAGTGAGAAATCTTCCGGCGCCCCAGGGGGTTCCCGCTCCCCTCCTAGTTGGGCCATGGCCCTGGGACTGGAGACTGCGCCGCAGAGCCCGGGCCCCCGCAGTGCGCTTGGCTAAATAGAGATCTCAGCCTCGCTGCGCGCCCGATCCGACCCTCCTTATTATAACAAATGTCCCGTTTGCAGAGCGGGACATCATATTCGCGGAGAATTCATTCTGAAATATTGATTTCCTCTCACTTCGCCGGCCCAAATCGATAGCGATGCGCCCTGGCCCCATAAATCGCCTTCTCTGCGGCCGGCCGGGCTCCATCCATCACTGCGGGCCGCGCTGCGCCTCCACCGCTGTCCGCACTCGCTGCGCGCCGGGACGGCTGCGCCCACCAGCCCTGACCCTGGAGCTCCTTCCCAGCAAAGACCCTGCCCAGCCCTGGCCGGGAAGGGGGAAAACAGGCATCGCGGCCTGGGAGCTCGAGTGTGTTTGAAGGCCCTGCTTCCGGGCGCAGGTGGGGAGGGGGTTTTGACTCCGCGAGCGGCTTAGTCCTCACCAGCCGGACGCCCCGCGCGCGGCGCCCGGCCTGCCCGGTGCTGGGCCAGGAGGAGTCGGAGAGCACCTGAGTGCGCTGCCGGCTCCCGGGCCCGGGACCACCGGCTCCATTGCCGTTGGCTTGAGAGATGCGGGGAGCTCACAGTCCAGCCAGGGGAGTCACTGGGAAGGACTGCGCGCACCCGAGGAAGAGGACTTAGAGGTCGGGGACGGGGAAACGGCAAGTCCAGCACCGGTGCAGCCCAGGGACAGAGCACGAAGAATGTCCACACTAATGCGCCATGCAAGGCTGGGAATGGAGCTCAAAGGAAACCCCCTCTAACTCCACAGAGATCCCCTCACCGATCCATGTGGTCCCTCGAAACCGGGCAAGGGCGGCTCAGCTGGCCGGGTGGAACCCCAGTGCCCGAGAACAGCGAGGCGGCTCCAGCGGAGGGCCAGGCCCCAGGCGCCCCAGCTGGGTCCCCACGCGGGTGGGTCCCGCGAATCCCGTGCTGACGCTCTCGAGATCCAACCACCCGAGCGCACGCACGGACGCTCAGCGGCGCGGGGGCTCGGGGATCCTGACCACACCGCGTTCTTACCAGATCTGATGGAGTTGTGAGGCATCGCCGGGGAGTCGCTCGCAGCCCGCCGAGGGCTCGGGGCTTCCTCCCGTAGGTCCGGGCCGCGCCTGCCGCTGCCCTGCACAAACCCAGGAGAAGGGCATGAGATGCGATGAGATTCGATGCCTGCATCCTCAGGCCCCCTCCCCAGGCCTCATCCTTTACACCTGCATCGTCTGCCAGGAGTAGGAGGATTTTTAGGCGAAGTAGGGCCAACCTCAGCCTAGCCTAGCTAACAGGCTTCCCGGGAGGATCAAGGATTGGGAGTGCGCTGAAGAAGCTCCAGACTCCAACCTCCGTGCCCACTCCCTCCGCTGTCCCAGTCTTATCCCGTTTAACTTGGGAGGGAAAAGGCTGCCAGGCATCCTGGGACCCTCTCCTTTCTTCCATCCCCCGTCCTCACTGCTAGCCAGCTTCCAGCTAACCCCTGGGTGACATACCTGGCCGGCCGGCTGCAGGCCCTCACTGCTTGGGTCCGCCCGCGAGGGTGCCCTGGGCCCGGTGTCTCTCCTCCTTCTGAAGTTTGTTCCCATCCACCCGGCATCACCGACCGGTTTTATCCCGCTGAGGCCCTGGGAGATGGGTCTGGCGAGGCTCGTAGGCCGCGGATTGGCTGGCTGGGTGCAGGGGGGTGCGGGAAGGGGAGGATTTTGCAAGGGGGACATGGCTGAGTGGACTCAGGAGTTAGAAACATTCGCTGGGAGCTTCTGTTTCCAGCGGAGGGAAGAGGGAGGCAGCTGAGCCCTAACTCAGCAGGCCTGGAAATATTGGAGGAGTGGGGAACAGAGGCCTAGGAGCCTGAGGATGAGGTTCTCTGGGTCCTCCTGGGTCACTGACCACCAGAAGTGAGAGGGATGGTCTCTGTAGGATGCCCTCCTTGCCCCCTGTCTCCCCTGGTTTGCTCACCAGGAAGCAGCCTTTTCTTTTGTAAAAGGAAGGAGGGAACTTCTGTTTTATGCCTGATTCTTTAGGTAGAGCCTGCTTTCGGGGCTGTAGGCAAGATGCTATTACCTTCTCACCACAGCTATGACCTCTTCCAGGGAAGAATCCTGAGCAGCACCTGAAGCCATTCCCTCTGTTCTACACAGATAGCGTTCACACCCTTGCATTGTCAGGCTAACAAAATTGTCACATAACCCATTCCACAGCAACTCCTCGCCTCTCTCCTCTGGAACACACACGCAGCCACCTGCCCTCTTTCTTGCTCCTTGAGGATTTTGAACTTGGAAGAAGAGTTCAGGGGAAGGGCATTGAGGGCCTAGACTTCATCTCTGTGTGGAAAGGCCTTAGAAAGGAACAGGACTGAGCTGACCTCTGGCCTGGTCTGTAGGAATCAATAGCCTCAGCAATATGGGGGCCTGGGTGTGGTTAAGAAGGGGTCCACTGGTGGGAATGATGGCAGGGTTGGTGAGCCCTGGGACCGAGCAGAGCTGCCTGGCACCTCTTTACCTTAGTGATGGCAAAAGCTGCCCCCTCCTTCCTCATAGTTCTCTCAGTCGGGGAACCGGGGTACACGTAAGATTGTGAGTGGGTATGAGTGAGCAAATGTCCTGGAACACTGGCAGGCCTGGGGGTCAAGGCCTGGATGCTCCTCCAATCTTTGGCCAGACCTCTGGACTCAGGATTACAGTCTAGAGGACAGCCATGCCCTTTTCAGTGATGGCTCTGCAGGCCTGGTGGGGTTGTTCTGGGACAGGAGGCTAAGAAGCCAGTGGGAGGGGGGCAAGGAAGGTGCAGGGGAAACTGGGATATTCAGGGGGATTGGATGTGTGTGTGTGTGTGTGTGTGTGTGTGTGTATGCACATATGTACACGTGTGTGAAAACACATGAACTATTTTTCTGAATTAAAAAAGTTTTCTCTTTCATGTCAATCCACAACCTCCTTCCACCCAGTCTTTCTCATTTCTCAATTTAGGAGAAATGAATCATCTTGTGAAAAAAGAGAGAAGAAGATGTGTATCCCTACATGTTTCCTCCACATTTGCAAAGAGGGGCTGTAAACAAAAATAGTTGGTGCTTCATCATTTTAAATCTTTCTCTAAAATTGTAATTTTAAATATCTCTGTGGTTTTCAAAGCTCCAGATCCCTAACTTCTCTGGCAGTCCCTCCCAGAGAGAGACAATCCAAGGGTGTTGGGATGGAAATGGATCTTGGCATAGGTCCTCCGGACCCCATGGGCCAGTTTGCTGCCCTGGATTGTGTCCTGCTGCAGGGGAGGTGTGGAGTGTGGCAGCCACAGCAGAAACTCTCTTTGTCCACCCAGGATTCCCTCCCACCAGGGAGGCAATGCTCCAGGGTGAATCTAATACGCCCTCATTTCAAACAGCTCTGACAACCTTAGAGATTCTACCCAATCTAAGGTTCTGATACGTACCAATAACCATTGACTCTCATGCAATCATTCTTGCCTGTGCACATCTTTTCTGCCCAAGCAATGAACCCTCTCCCTTTCCTATCCCCTTTTTGGGCAAAATTTCTTAGAGGACAAATCCAGCAAGTTATCAGAACATTCCTGTCCCATGTATAAATTTATCTTTAAAATTTCATTTCAAGGTAAAAACAATGTGCACTGTTCAAGGTTACTCCTCAGGGAAAAACACACCCCACACCTTGACAGTACCTCTTCTCCAGACTGCAGGTGACATAGCAGGTGACCAGAAGACTCAGCAGAGAAGATCTAGGACGAGCAAGAAGTGAGAATGCAGTGAACTTCTGCTGCAGAGATAAACACAGGCCTCCTGGACTGACCCTGCTTCTAATTAGAATCAGAAATCAGGCCTGGGTTCCTTGGTACTTCCTAATTCTCTGAGACCAAGGCCAAGGAAATGTCATTAACTGGTGCTTTAACTCTGTCTCTTTGGCATCAGTCTCCTCCTCTGCAAAACGAAAGGTTTGAAATACATATATTTTTAAAATCACCTATTATCACAGTATTTTTTCAAACTTAAAATCCATGATGCTTTTAGTTAAGAATAAAAATCATATGCCTTCCTATGATGATATTTGAAATTTTAAAATAAATTTGCACTGTGACTAATAGACTTTCAATGGGACTTTTAGAACTCTTTTTTTTTTCTTCTAGACTTAGTCTCACTCTGTCACCCAGGCTGGAGTGCGGTGGCATGATCTCGGCTCACTACAACCTCCACCTCCTGGGTTCAAGTGATTCTCCTGCCTCAGCCTCCCGACTAGCTGGGGCTACAGGTATGCATCATCATGCCTGACTAATTTTTTATATTTTGGTAGAGACGGGGTTTCACCACATTGGCCAGGCTGGTCTCGAACTCCAGACCTCAAGTGATCCGCCTGCCTCAGCCTCCCAAAGTGCTGGGATCACAGGCATGAGCCACTGTGCCTGGCCAGGCCTTAGAACTCACTTTTTAAAATGAATACCTCATTTGCCAACTTTTCTTCTCAGGCTTGAGGCCCATAAGGCTTTTGTGGCAATATTATCAACTGGCAACTAGTTATAATTTTTTTAAACTCAGTGTTTTTTTGAGAAAATGTAATTCATTGCCAATATCAAAATACAGAAGTAGAGACGAGAGACTAACTCTGCCTTGCCTTTGAAAATGCAAGAGATCTGGCCGCAGATCTGAGCGTTTCTTTGTGGAAATGAACATTCTTTCAGGTTTAACATTCCAACAATCCTAGGTAATTGCCTAACTACAGTGGTTTTTGAATTTGCATAATATCCCACAATTTGTTTAATTCTATGCTGATCTGCTGAGCCTTCAAAAGATGTTCTTTCTTTTCTGGACTCAGCTGTAATGCACTGGGCTGGTGGTAGGGTAATAAAGTGCCCTGGTTTGCCCTGGACGAAAACCAACAGTGTTTTCTAGATGCGAGTTAAAACTGGGACTTTCCCGGGCAAATCAGGATGAATTGGTCATCCTAGCTGATTAGAGTGTGGGAGTGGGATGGTTTGGGGGTCTTTTATAAGCTGCCGTGTTTCAACTGACTATTGGGTGGGTGATTGTTTGCACACTTGGGTCATTCTACCTGCTGGCTCAGGTGACTGAGACCCTTGAACTCCAGTAGGTCCATGAGCTCTTCCTCTTACTCCTATGTACCCTGGTTTCTCTGGGCACAATGCCCAGAGACCAGCCTCGAGGGAAGACCACTGCTCCCAACAATCCTCCTGGCTTACTTGCCACCATGCCACTTCCCCTACGTAACGAACCATTGTTGGGACTAAAGTACATCCCTTCAGGAAGAAAACAGCAGCTCTCTACTTTGCATCAGAGGTGAGTGTTCCAGCCCTAATTGTGTAGAATGGGATGATTTCTTCTGCCCGAACCTCAGTTTCCCCTTCTGCATGATGTGGATATAGACGGGGGGCTGGGGAGGGTCAGACCCACCTCGTAGCTTTGTTGTGAGGACGAATAAAATTATGAATGTGAAGGCCCTTTGAAAACTACACCTCTGTACAAAAGTTAATTATTATTAGACAACAAAGGCAGAGGAATACATCCAAAGAGGGCAAAGTTAAAATGTCCCTAAAGTTTTGCTGTGGAAGTCGGTTCCTTTAATCCTTTCCCAAAGGAGCCTTGGAGAGGAAAGGGCCAGTGAGCCCGTGCCTGTGGGTGCAGGCGTGGGTGCAAGGGTAGCAGTGGGGCAGGGGTGTCTGTGAGGGCAGCAATTAACATTCGTTGACCCAGAGAGAGGGGAGAGTCAATGGCAGAAGGCCAGCACCCCAGCAGAACTTCCAGCAGCGACTTCATCATTTTGCAGAGGGCAGAAGTGTTCAGGGCACTGGCAGTTTTCGCTCCACCCTCTCCCCTCACAGACTTGCCCAATCCTGCCGAAGCCACGTGGGATTTCAACCCTGTCCCTGCACTCAGGAAATGGCCGACAGCCTGCCCTGGGGCCTCCTGGTGGCAGTGCCTGAAAATCAATCATTAATTATTCCAGGTTCTCCACCTCCCTAGGCTTTGAAAACTCAGAAATAGAAATATAGGTCCTGGCAGGTGAAAGGAAAAGAGCCACTGGTTGGGCTGCCGAGGGCAGTTTGGAAGAAACCACTGGTGGCATTTGTCCAGTTGGTTTGGGTAGGGATGTGTCCTGGGCACTTGTCCCTTGGGCTCTTTGCCCACCCCACAGCCTTTGGCAGCAGTTGCCTGGGCTTCTGGAAGGAGACCCTGGTACTTACAAATGGGTGGAAAAAAAACTTCCTGGGGACACAAAAAGGAAGGTGACAGAGGGAGATAAAAGGATTGACGTACACAGCTCAATTTTTTTCTCTAGTAATCATAGTTTTTTTTTTTTTTTTTTTTAAGTTAGAAAAAATGAGCTAGACCCTTTTGGCAACCCATCTTGCAGATGAGGAAACTGGATTCTAGGGAAGGTAAGTAGAGAGCAAGGCCACCCAGCTAGCAGACAGCCAACTAGGTGGCCAAATAAAGCACCAGTGACTCAGGCTTTGCCTTAAATATTATAAATTCTACTCACTTCAGCCTAGTTTTTGCTACTCTCCACACCTGCCCCTTCCCCTCAGGAAGGAAGTTTCTGGAACCCAGGGAGTGGCCAGGGTGAGGTCAGACCCCCAAGGCTGGAAAACTTTCCTACCACGGGAGAGGAGAGCAGCTCACCAGGCAGGAATGCCCTCCCCTCAGCTAGGCCCCTGTGGTCCAGCCCAGAGCAGCAGGAGTCAGGACGCAGGAATCCTCTCAGACCAGTGCCAGGGCCCTGGAGTGGCTGCCTTCCTGACAGCTGTTCTTGGGGAAGTGCCAAGGAAAAAACCCAGGCCCAGGGCTTTTCATCAGATTCAGGGTTGGCTTTTGTTCTTTATGGCCTTGGAATGCCAGCAGTTCCTGCTGTGGGCACAAACCACGGAATAGGGCCTATCCTCCCCAGCTCCTGGCAGTGCCCAGGGGCCTGGTGAAGGGACCAGAGACTCTGCAGGTTTGAGTGGGGCAAGGGAACGAGGTTGAGGCATAGAGAAGATTCAAGAGATCTAACTGGCCTTTTGCTTACCCCAGGAGGGCTTCTGGCACATTCTGAGTGCAGTAAACTTGGGTGCTTCGCCCACTCCTTCATGGGGCTAGGCTCACTACAGGGCTGTGTCCTCTTGTGTCATGTTGTGGACCACACAGTGCCTGCCTTCCCTGCATCTGAAGGAGCAGACTTGAGGGCTTAGGGGTCTGGAGCCCCGTTTTCCTTTCTATGCTTCAGTGGCTATCCTTGCTACTCATGGCCCCCACACCAGGGTGGACATACCATTACCCCAAGAGAATGCTAAGCATGGTATTTCCTTCTAATAACAACAGTTACTACTACTGTTATTTACTAAGTATTACTTAATGCCAGGAACTGTGGAGTGCCTTATACACAGCCCCATTTATCTTTCACAACACCCAGTGAAGCCAGGGCTTTAAGGCAACTGGGCCACAGAGGGTGCTCTGGGTCACCCAATTGCTGAGCAGCAGAAGCAGGATCTGAACTCAGGTCCATCTAACACCTGAACCAGCATTCTCTTCACTACCCTATGGAGTAGCTCCAAGGCATGGACAACTGTAATAACTCCAAGGAAGCATTAGAATAAACTAGAAAATAAACTTAAAAAACAGTGTCAGTGTTAGGGGCCACTAGTGGACTGTTGAGAAGAAGCTTGACCCCAGTAACGAGACGTGTGATTTTTAGGCCCACAGGGTGGGTAGGTAACTGAAAGGATGTAAAGGAAATCAAAGGCTGGGATCATGGTGAATCCCATCGCTCTCCGACTGAACTCCTACTGTGCTTGCAAAGCACAGACACAGAACACACTTGTGGCAAGAATGAGTGAGTCATCCATTTACACATTTTCTAAACTTGTTTTAAAATTCTTTCTATTTTTAGGCCTACCATATTTTATGTCACATAGCGTTTCCTATTATTTGTTCCAAACACCACTCCTTTGAACCTCCTGGAGTGTGCTGTGTCCGTGGTAATTTCTGTTCACTTTGTCCACATTCCCTGCACTTTATAGATTTTGATCCCATCTGCTCTGAGATTTTATTTTTTTAAGTAGAATCACTTGCTCCAGTGAAGATGGCCTAGAGTCTTGAGAGAATGATTTTTTTCCTATTTGGGGTCTGGTACACTTTCTTCCATAATGCAGAGAGACCATAGGGGTCACACTGCTGGGCTGGGAATCTGGTGGCCAAAGCCGGAACCCTGGCACATTCTCATACTGGCTGTGTGACCTTGTGCCAATCACTCAACTTCTCTGAGCCAGAGTTTCTATGTCTGAAGACTGAGACTAATAATGGTACTTCTCTCGTAAGATATTATGATATTTAAGGCAGACAAAGTGTTTGTAGCACAGTGAGTGCTCAATAAACGTTAGTGGCTGAAAGTCGAACTAGCCACAAGAAAGATGTCAGAGAAGCATTGCTCATGGACCTTGGTGTGGTGTCACAGTCATTATACCAGGGATACCGAGAGAGAGAGAGGTCCCAAAAATGGCAGCGGGGCAAGGCGGCTGGGGAGAAGGGGCAATGAGGGCAACCTGAGGAGGTGGTCTCTCAGGTGTGAGTGAGCTGATTCCTCCCTTCCATCCTGGATCTGAGTGTGCACTCTCTGGGGCTCAGGAGTCTGCTCTTACGGTGTCCAAGACTACAGTCACAGACAAGAGCCTACTCCAGCAGCTCAATGGGCTGCCAAGTTCTACTGTCTGAGAACCCTCTGAGTTCTGAGAGAGTGTTGCATGCTACCAGAGACCTGTGGCTCTGGAGAGCAGAATCCAGAATAGAAGACACCATTCCCATGGCTTCCAGAGCCATGGCATTCCAGGCTCAGTTTCCCCATGAACCCAGGAGGTGGAGGTTGCAGTGAGCCAAGATAGTGTACTCCACAAAAAAAGATTGTTCTGTAATGAACTGTATGCATAAATATTTTCCTGGAGAGATGAGAAGTGACAAATGGAACTGTGGGAGTACAGGTTGGGCACCTTTAGAATGAATATGGACAAGTTGGCTTCCCTTAAACCTAGTCTGTCTTGTCTTTTTGCAGCTTTTGAATATCCCTTTAAAGATTAAAGGTAAGCAGGTAGGGAAGTGTAAGAAGGGAGTACCTGGAGAGATTCCCCAGTCCAGGGCCATTGCCATTTTCCAGGCAGTGACCAAGGTGTACAGAAGTTTAGGATGCGCGTCCTGACTAGGTAATGCTCCTGCTCCTGAAAGGAGCCTTGACTGCCCACAGGTAACCAGGAAATAAAGAGAGGGTACACGTCGACCCCCTGAGATCCTCAAGCCACTTTGACAGGTCAAATTAGGTGACTGAGTTCAGTCTTATGGTTTCTTGTTCAGGATTCAAGAGATAGCTGTACTGCCATGTTTGAAACTTAGTCTCTCCATTCTAGAGCCCAAGGATTTGTGAGTTCTGGAAAGCACCCTGGACTCAAAGTCAGAGAGACCTGGGCTCGTGATACCGCCCTGCTCTGAGCAGTGTGACCTCAAATTCTCAGGTTTCTCACACTTAGTAAAACTATACATGTAACAGCCACATCTCATTAGCAGGGTGACATGAAAATGATTTGTTAACTATTAAGAAATGGAGAAAAGTAAGCGATGAGGCAATTATGATGATCAATATAGGGCCATAGTTCCTTTACCAGGACAGCCCTTTCTATTTTCCTGTCTTCCTCTCCTTTGATGTATTTAGCTGTACAAGCATTTACTGAGCATCTACTAAGTGCTGGACTATCTACTAGGACCTGGGAACACAGTGGTGACTGAAACAAGAACCATGTCCTCATGGAACAAATAAACAGATCCTGGTAGGGAGGTGTGCTTCATGCTGTAATGTGGCTGGAGTGTAGAGGGGGAGGTGCGGGGAGCAGTGAGGGTACCCCACAGAGTCTTGACTGTCCAGAAAAAGAGACCTCTAAGCAGAGACTAGAAAGAAGAGTTGGAATCCACCAGGCAAATGTGAGAATGTGAAGGTAAAGGTGGAATGTTCTGGTACTGGCAGAAAAAGGTCCAGAAGTCAGAGAGGGCCAGGTACATTTAGGGAACTGAGTTCAGTGTAGTGGGAGATAAAAATACAGTAATAGAGTGCATGTTTGTATGTGCGTGTGTGTGTGTGTGTGTGTGTGTGTGTGTGTGTGTGTATCTGCAGTGAGAGCTGAGAGATGGGTCTGGGAAAGTGTGTTGCGTTAGATCACAAAAATCTTTGTAGGATGTTGAGAAATTTGGACTTTATACTAAAAAGCAAAGGGATCTTAGCTGGGGAAAGTGAAGGAACAGACATGTTTTGGAAAGCTCTTTCTGGCTACAGTGTGGCGAATGGATTGGAGGAGGCCAGGCTGCAGGCAGGGTGGTGTGTTGGTGGGGCACTGTGTTCCCATAATTCTAAGGGATGATGGCAGCCCTGAGGATAGAGGGAAGTGGTGATGGGGATGAGTGGGGAAATATTGTCATAGTCAGCTTTTGACTCTCAGTTCTATCCTTGACTGGTGGTGATGGGCTGCAGCCCTGTGAAGACCAGAATGAGTGTAAGCCCCATCCTATCCTCCCATGTCCTTTGGTGAGCTTCAGCTTCCCCAAGCCCAGTAGTCACTGCAAGCAGATATAACTCCTCCCACCTCAAAATCTTCCAGTGGCCCAGGGGAAGTTTCTGTTTGATGACAGTCAGATCAGAGAATTGAGGAGGGGATGCTGGTCTAGGACCAATATTGCCATAGATGGGCTGATGGGATGCTTGATCCCTCACCTCCAAGTCTTGGCTCCAAGATCAGCTTCTCAGGGAACTCTTCTCCAGTCCCCCTATTGCAAACCAACGCTGCCTCCCCCACCACGCCGCCACCGGCTTTATTCCTTTCTCTCTGCTTTATTTCTCTTCACCATTTGACATATTGTCTGCTTCGCTTATTTATTTGTCATCTATCTCCCCCTAGTAGATGGTAAGTTACATGAGGGCAGGAATTCTTGGTAGTTTTGTTTACTGCTGTATCCCCAGTGCCTAGAACAGTGTCTGGCACAGAGACAATGCTCAGTAAAAGCTTGTGCTTACACAAGTGTTCGATGGAATGACTGAGTGGCAAGGGTAACACAATGACCTCATTGTGATGGTGTGGTGCTGGGTGCTGGGCACACAGCAGTTAATAAGATAAACACTGGACTGAAGTCTTAGCTGTGCCTGCCCCTCATTGGTTCTTGGCAGCTAGTGGCAGAAGCAGAAACTCAGTAGCCTTTTATTGTTTACCTGGGCATGCTGCCTGCCTCTCTCTTTTTTCTGGATAGCTGAGGACCCTCTGAGTAGAATATGGGTGAGAATTGGGCACAGACCATGGGCAGGGTCAGGGAGTGACTTCCCCAGATCCCAAAGGCAGTGGGAGACAGCCAGACCAGTCTCCTCCTCATCGGCACTCAGTCTCACCACCAAAGGCTCCAAATCTCTGGGCAAAGGTTATAGCACCTGCTGCCCAGGGAACATGTGACCACTTGAGCGCTGCTGGGTTGGAACAATCCACACAATCAGGCCATTGTACTAAACATGCAGGTCTCCTTGCCAAGCCACACCTCATTCCAGCACTGCCAGACCCTTTTGGGGCCCTGATTTACAGGTGCCCTGAAGGGGGAGGTATTGTTCTAATGGCCCTGCGGGAGGATGAGGTCACTTCTGTGGGACTGTCTTACTCTGGCCTGCGCTGAGATCCAGGGAGAAGTAGATGGGAGAAGGAGTAAATAACCGCTTTATAGCTTCAGGCCCTATGAGGAGTGGTAGACAAGATCATCACTGTTTGACTCCTGATGACATTGGCATTGACTATTGTCCTCCAACATTTGCTTTGCTTGGTGAAGACTGTTGAGCACTTGCTGATTTTTCAGAAGTCCAAAAGATTCTCTTCTGTCATGACTGGGTCCAGAAATTCCCATCAAGTCACTATCCGTTCTTGAAGATCTTCTTTCCCAGAACTGGTTCTCAGCAGACCATTAGACAAGGATTTGGTGCTACTGAACTCTTGATCTGTCCAAGATTGTGTTGGTTATTGTCCTTCTAGGAGCAAGGAGTTCTACAGGGCTTTGTACCCTGTTGACACTCAGGCCAAGGTCACTGGTAGGTTTCACTCCACAGGACCATTCAGTTACTGCAAGGAAGTCCCTGCTTGGGCCGTTTATTTTTTTCTTTATAAGTAACCCCAAAGGAGATGGCATGATGACGTAGAATCCAAATTGACTAAAGCAACCTTTTTTTTGAGACAGGGTCTCAGTCTGTCACCCAGGCTGGAGTGCAGTGGTGTGATCACAGCTCACTGCAGTCTGAAGCCTCAACCTCCTGGGCTCATGCAATCTGTCTGCCTTAGCCTCCTGAGTATCTGGGATCACTGGTGCACACCACCATACCCAGCAAATTTATTTTATTTTATTTTAGTAGAAATGAGTCCCGTCATGTTGCCCAGGTTGGTCTCAAACTCCTGGGCTCAAGCCATCCTCCTGCCTTGGTCTCCCAAGTCGCTGGGATTACAGGTGTGAGTCACCGTGCCTGGTGTCCATAGGAACCTTGGTTCTAAAAGGCAAGTGAATAAGGATATACCTTTGCTTGGTACGTTGCAAGATATTTGAGTGCCTGGCATGTAGTGAGTACTAAAAAAAGGTGAATCCGAATCAAGAAGCTTAAAGCCAACCAGGGCCATTGTGGGTTCTGGATATTAGTTATAGGTTCAGAGATATCAGTTCTGCTTTATCCCCAATCCTCATCATACCTTTCCTCAAAGAGAGAGGAAGAGATGGCGCCAGCACTCACCCTTTCCCATCTTCACTTGCAGGAAAGACACTGGTTTAGAAGTCAGGACCCAGGCATCTGAGATGCCCTTGACCCTGACCCTGGCTCTTGGGGCCCAGCAGGTGGTCTCTGTGTCCCATGTTTTGTCTCTCCAGAGTCATCCTCCAGGGGAACACACACTCACCCCGACCATGGGAAGGGAGGTCTGGCTAAAGGAGGAGGCCACTGCAATGACTGAACACCTACTTTGTGAGCAAGCACCAACTATGTGTCAGATGCTGTCCAAAGTGCGGTGTGTCCAACATTTTCACCATTCTTGGTGCCTTATCTCTAAGGAAAAAGGTCTGCAACCTTGAACTTCTGAGTTGGACTGTCTTGGAGACTCCTCTATGCAAGTTACTGTGGGACCTTACAGGTGATTTAGCCCTTCTGGACCCCCAGTGACCTCACCTGTGGAATGGGGATCATGAGAACACCTTCATTTCAGGAGTTGTGTGAGGATTAAATGAGATGATGAAGGCATGGCACAGGGCTTGTTATAAGGGCTCTGCAAATTTTAGTCATGCGGGTGATGATGAAGAAGAAATGCGAGTGCTCTAAAGGCTCCCCAAGGTGTTATCCTTGGCTTCGCTGCTGCCTAGAATTTGCAGCGGGGCAGCAAGAAGGCCCTGATGCTGGCAGTCCTGGGAAGCCTGAGTGTTTCTCACTTGCCTAGTGGCCTGGGGACAATCACTTTCTCCTTCCGCACCTTCAGATCGGGGTCTGAGGGTTGAGTCCCCAGGGCTCTGGGTCAGAGGCACAATGTCAGAGTTGTTCCAAAGGACAGAAAGTCCCCTCTCCTCCAGGCGCCCAAGCCACACCCTTAACTCCTCTGGGTCAGGCCACCTCCTGTCCCCTCTGCCTGCTGAAGGTGGGAGGAGTAGGGAGGAGGGGTGGGGTAGCAGAGGAGAAGGGCCCTGGAGGAACGGCGAGCCCTCCAGGGCCAGGGTGTCTCTCCCCCTCCCCGCCCAGAGCACAGCGGACTTGCTCTAGTTCTCTCCTCCCAGCGGCTGGGTCTCCAGGTGCCTTCCTTTAATTAAAAGTATTTAGCCTTCCGCTACACTGGCCTTCATTTGCATGGGATCCTTCTTTTTATGCAGCCTCAGTATCAGAACGAGCCAGGAGGTTAACGGAGCGTCGTCGTGCAGCGTCCCGGGACACCAGGGCCCAGCGCGCGCTCTGCTTCCCGGCGCTGCCCTCTGGGACTCCGCAGGCGGCGGCTGTCACGGGGCTGGAGCTGTCAGGTTTCCAGCCCCTCCGCCCCGCAGGGCTGGGCCTCCGGCGCGAGGAGAGGCGCAGCAGGTTCCCCATCCTCCCCTGGCAAAGCGCGTTCACAGCCCGCCTCTCCATGGGCTGAACGAAGGAGGAAGACAGCTGTTTTCTGATCACCTACGTGCTCCAGACACTGGACTGAGTTCCATGGGTATTCCAGGGAAGGACAGTCACAACTCCTGCCTGGAACTCATAGCTCCTCAGGAGGAATCTGTATTGGTGTCTACACAAAGGACTATGACATCAGGTAGCAGGTGGTTAAAAACTGCAGGAATGTTTCACCCGAAGTGGCACTGCTTGTTAGAGAAAAGCGGGACACGAACTGTCAGCGGCAGATCCTTACAAATGTTTTTTGTTTGTTTTCTTAGATGAACATTCTGATGCTTAAGGTAATCAGGCAAATTCACCAAGGCCATGTAGATGGTGGCAGGCGGGCCTGGGGTTTAAACCCCAGCCAGCTGGTCTCCCAGGTCCATCTTTTCCCATTCAGGAGAGGAAGCTGACTGCGTGAGACCAGACTCCTTTCCCTCCAAGTACTTGCGCTCTGATGGAGGCTCAGACACAGACCTGGGAGACTCCAGATCACGGTGTTTGTTTCTGACTCCAGTCGCCTCTGTCTCATGGTTCTGGCTTCCTCAACCGACCTGAGGTTTTGTCTGTAAACTGCTCCTGGCCTGCTCACTGTCCCACTCCAGTTCCTCTCCATCCCCAGGCCAACATCCACCCCTTCCAGCTGCCCCAGGGTCTTAGGGACCAAGGGACAAGAGCAGGAAGGAGGCCTGATTCTTACAGATAAGGAAAGGGAGATGCAGAACAGGGCTTCTCCAGTTCTGCTGAAGTTTTTACTCATTACCCCAGACTGACTCAGGAGTCCCACCCCCCTCACTTCTGTAAGCTAGTTCGGATGGTCCTTTTCTACAAATTTCTCTTCCTTGGACTAGGAGACAGGCATCATGGGGGTGGGGTGTGGTAATGGGGGTTGCTGTGTTTCATTTCCATGCAGAGCGTCTGATGCAGAGTAGACAGCCAATATATAGTGAATGAATGAATGGATGGGTCATAGATTGGGCTCAGAAGTAGACGTAGACGCCCATGTAAAAGACAGAGGAGGAAACAGTGTGCACGAAAAGGTGGAAGGGGTGTGGAATCCCTTAGCCACCAGCATTCTGTAGTCTTCCAGAGAGTAGACACCAGAGGTCATGCCACAGCCCCTCCCGTGATGCTCCTGAGGAAAGCAGGCAACATTTCCTCTCACTTTGCTCTGTGGAGCCTCTGGAACTGGGAACCTAATGGACCACATTGCTGTCTGGAGTCAGCCCAAAAAGACAGCCAGTTAATACACTTCTAGGTCTGGGGTAGACCTAGGTCCAGGGACGGGAGAAGGAATGATGAGCTCAGGATTTATATTAGAGGTGTGTTTTCAGCACGTCTTTAGTCACTCCTTCCCCTTCCCTGCCCACCGGTGAAGGACCTAGAAGATGGAAGTCTTTCATTAGCACTTTCTCAGCCATGCACCCCGAGTGGGCTGAGCTCTCTTGTCTCACATCTCCTTTGCCACGGGTGCTGTGCTGAGTTGGGGGAAGGCGGGGAGACTGCTTGAAATAATGGCAGCATTCATATCCCAGAGTAATTTAATAACATTATCTCATATCATTTTCATGAGCAATTGATGAGGTAACTGTTGATCTGTTTTACGGATGAGCAAAGTGAAGCTCTGATGAGCTAAACACCATACCCAAGGTCAGGTCATTTAATGACTGTGTGCAGAAATCAGGACTTGGACCCAGGCCTTCCAATTCCAGAGTCTGTCTCTGGGACTGGGGAACACCATCAGGAAGGGAACTGGAATCTGGACAAGATTGAATCCCCAGGCTTTGCCCAGGAAAAGTGGAATCTTCGTGAATAGGTCACTTGGAAGAACAAGACAAGCGTCTTGCTTGAAATGACACCCAATAGGTCAGGTCTCTTCTCTATTTCAGGCACTGTGACTTTAGAGATGTGTTAAAACACAAATATTTTTGTTGGGAGTAGTGTGATGATATTAAGCCAAAGGCTCAGCAGAGTTATTAGCAGACACTGGACCCTTCAATGAGCTTGCCATCACTCAGAAACCAGAGAGCATGACCCTCAGGGAATAGATCTTTAGGGCAGGTGCAATTTGATGGAGATGCAGGCAGGCTGGGAATGGGAAGGGAATGAGGACAAGGATCTGAACAGTGAGCTCTGTGAGTGGTGGGATTCTGAGGGCTGCAAGGAGAACATTCTTAGAAGCTTTCTGAGGCCAGAACCTGGGACTGCCTTATCCTCTCTGAGTCCCCACTGACCTACACAGCTCCTGGTACATGTAGGTTCTCAATAAATATTGAAAAGCAGTAAGTAGTAATTGAGTGTTCCAAGAAGAAATAGTTGAGAGAGAAGATATGGAAGTAGGAGAGCAGACTGGAAGGCAGCTTTCATGTAGGCGAATTCCACTTTAGGGTTGGAGCCATGTGAGAGGGAGTGAGGTGGTGTGTACAGGTCAGTGTGAGCCGAAGCTCCAGTTTTCTCATAGTGCTTTCTTCACCTCCAAATGGACATTTCCAAAACATTTTTAAAAGGTTTTGTTGATTTTGTTGTTGAATATAAAATTGGGCTTACCCTGGAGTGGGTTGTGCTAGGGGTGGGAAAGGTGCTGGCTTAGTGGAGTGCAGACAGGTCCTCAACTGATTTAGGTGAAAAGAAAGGTCTTGATGGGTCTAGAGGCCCAAGGAATACCAACCCTGCACAAGGGAGGCTTGTTTCCACCCAGTGCAGACATAATAGCACGAGCAGTGCCAAAGGTCTTCTGGAAATTGTATTCTATTCACTGACACTCTTTAGTTGAAAAAATGGCAACCAATTAGGCCCAATTAGGCAAAAAATATAGGAGATGGGTTATAGAGATGCAGAGATGGGTTATGGAACCCAAGGTCAATGATGCAGCTGAGTTTCAGAAATGGCCAGAACCAGGACCCAGAAGGTCACTCACTGGGCTGCTGGCCATCTCTTTTCCTTCCTTCCTTCCTTCCTTCCTTCCTTCCTTCCTTCCTTCCTTCCTTCCTTCCTTCCTTCCTTCTTTCCTTCCTTCCTTTCTCTCTCTCTCTCTCTTCCCCAACTCTCTCTCTCTGTCTCCCCCTGCTCTGTTTCTATTGGAGCACTGGCTTCTCCTTCTGTATCTCTGCAGAGAAGTTCTCTTTTCCATCAGGCAAAAGGCAGGTCCTGAGATTATCCATTAGATCCTCACGAAGAGAGTGACCACTCTTCTTTCATCAAAGAGAATCCTCATCCCAGCCTGTGTTGCTTGACACCCTGGTCCAGTCCGCTCTCACTGAGGCTATTGGGGGTTCATTTTTGTGAATAAAGATTGCAGTTCTCAGAGAATAGGAAGTCAAGATCTTTTGGGCTGCTTAGACATCTCGAAGATACTCATTGAGGGTGCTTTCTCGGATGGCTTGGGAGTTTTCTAAATATCTGTTTGTCATAATTTACCTATCCAGTGTGCTGGGACTGACTGAAAGGTTGTTATATTCTTAGGTGGGACCAATAGGAAAAGCACATCCAAGATAAAAGTGCTATATTTCCTCTATACTTCTTTGAGTTGCACCACACTTGGGTTAATAGCTCCATTCTAAGCATTACCTACAAAGAAGGAGACTGAGAAAGAGAAACAGAAAGGACTAGGAACCATGAGAACAGTGTAAACCATGCCCACTGAGGATGAATTATAGGAATGAAGGATATTTTGCCTAAAAAATAGAAGACTGAGGGTGAAATAAAAGTCCTTTTTAGAAAACTAGACAGTGGTTATGAGGAGAGAGAATCCATATGCTTGGTGAGCAATGTGTGAACATCGTGGACAAGTCAGTTTTGCTTAAGTCTGAGCAGCACGTTTGAAGTAGTTGATCGGCCCACACTGTAATGGGCATTACCTTAGGGGAAGTTAATGGCCTATTGCTATGCTACAAGTCTTCTTTAAAAAAAAAATCAATAGGTTTTTGGGGAACAGGTGGTGTTTGGTTACATGAATAAGTTCTTTAGTGGTGATTTCTGAGATTCTGGTGCACCCATCACCCAAGGAGTGTACACTGTACCCATTGTGTAGTCTTATCCCTCACCCCTCCTCCCACCCTTTCCCCCGAGTCCCAAGGTCCATGTATCATTCTTATGCCTTAGCATCCTCATAGCTTAGTTTCCACTTATGAGTGAGAACATATGATGTTTGGTTTTTTATTCCTGAGATACTTCACTTAGAATAATGATCTCCAGTTCTATCCAGGTTGCTGCGAATGCCATTATTTCATTCCTTTTTATGGCTGAGTAGTATTCCATGGTATATACATACACCACAATTTGCTAAGAGTCTTCTTTAAGAGGAGGGTTGATGCTGGGGATGCTAAGCAGAGGAGACTTTGGGATTGGGGATTTCCAAACCTTATTGATCACGCAATTGCCTAGAGGAGTTTAAAAAATCATAGACTCTTGAGTTGGGGTGGGGAAGAATCTCCCACAGGTGATTCTGATGGTCATCTGGACTTGGAAACCATTGAATCGGAAGACCTTTAAGGTATGTTCAAATTCTAAATTTTGACAAACTTATCTACACCAAGTGTGGCCCCCAGACTAGCAGCATCAACATTATCTGGAAACTTACTTGAAATTCCAGTTCTTCAACCCCACCCAATACCTACTGAATCAGAAACTCTAGGGGTGGATTCTAGCAATCTGTGTATTGCTAAATACACACGTGATCCTGATGCCTGCTCAAATCTGAGGACCACCAATCTTCAGTATTTATTAGTAATTCTATTTTTATTTTATATATTGGAGTCATGAGTTCCGTTGCATTTACCACCTAATATGTTTTAGCCAGCCTTAAAGGTGGCCACTAGAGAATCCCAAAGGCCAAGTATTCCCTGCCTCCCACTATTTAGGCCCTTGTGTATTTCTTTCTCACGTTATCAGAGTTAGTCTATACGACCACTAGAGTACAGCAGATTGATGGTATATCAATCCTGAGGCTAGATTTTGAAAGACAAGTCTTCTGCCCTGCTCTTTCTTGGATCACATGTCCACTGCCATGTCATGAGAACACTCAGGTATCCCCACGGAGAAGCCTATGTGGAGAGAAACTGAAGCTTCCTGCCATCAGCCATTAGGAACCCAAGGCCTCCAGTCAGAAATTAGGCGACATTGTGGATGTGGATCCTCCAGCCTGAGTCAAGATTTCATATGACTGTAGGACTGGTTGACAGCTTGACTATAACCTCATGAAAAACCCTGAGCCAGAATCGCCCAGCTATGCAGCTCTTGGATTGCTGACCCTCAGGAATAGATGTCTGGATAATAAATGTTTGTTGTTCTAAACTTCTAAGTTTGGGGTAATTTGTTACATGGCAGTAGAGAACTAACACTAAACTCTTTTTCTCACATCTGCTCTGATAAATTCCACTCTTGGTCATATACGTGTTCAGACAGGAGACTCCTCAGAGAATATTTTCACAGCTAGAGAAGAAAGTGGAATTTCTTCTTCTTCTTCTTCTTCTTCTTCTTCTTCTTCTTCTTCTTCTTCTTCTTCTTCTTCTTCTTCTTCTTCTTCTTCTTCTTTTTAATGGACTTCATTTGAGCTGTAAATATGCCTCTAGCACTGACACTGAAATTTGGTGACACATCGATTCATTCTTGGCATTTTAAATGTGTCTATGATAAAATCCCCTCAGAGGATCCTTTCAGAACCCAGTTGGGAGATATCAGGGGCACTCCTTTAGGTCCAGTAGATGCTTTATTCTGCTTTGGCTGGACATTCTGGCTGGGACAATGGATCAACCTGAGGGAGAGGTCACATGGCCTTTTCTAGAGATAAGTCAGAAAGAATGGCAGTTGCAGGGGATGGGGAGTAGTAGTTGAGGCTGGTGACACTTCCCTTCCAGTAAAAGAAACAGAGTGAGAGGCTAATTGGGTCTTAGTCTTTGCATTTTGTATATGTATATGTATGTGCATGCATGTGGGTTGTTCTTTCCATTTACCATCTTGGAAGTCTTCAAAGAATTAGTGTCCAGGACCACTGGTCAAACATTATACCTTTTGTTGGTTGCTTTCCCCCTGGTTGGTATTTTCTTTTATGGAAAGGGAGCTACAGAGGAGGGATCACAGAACTGGAGAGAGGGCCAGCAAACATTCTGAGTCTCTGAGGACTAAGGCTAGTCCACGAGAAGCTGGCCTGGGTTTGTGAAGGAGGTCTCAGGTCTCAGCTCTTAAGATTTTCTTCTGGGATTCCAAGACAGTGTCCTCTGCTGCTTCTTTCCGCTGGCTGGACTCTGCCTGTAATTCAGGCAGGAGCCACCAGGTGGAGAAATGTGTAGATGACATCCTGGGGACACACACACACACACACACACACACACAGACACACACACACACACACACAGACACACACACACACAGGTTCATTCATAGCAAACATTGTACATTTATGAAAGTTAGTTACCATTAATTCTCTCCTGGCCTTAGTTGCCTCATCTTTAAAGTGAAAAGGTTAAGGAAAGTGATTTCTAATGTCTGCTCTGAATTTCTAGGATTCTATAGTATTGCAGTTATAACAAGGCTTCTTTTACTTTTTAAAAACGTATTGCAGGTCCTTAAGGTTTTGGGGTCACAGCCATGTTCCCCATTCCTTCCTTTCCCACAGTTTACTTGAGCTCTCTTTGAACATCACCTACCACTCAAAGTCAGTTTCCTCAACTTCTCTGTATTTTAAAAATGTCTCTATATTTTCATTTACTTGTTTTTCTTTTTTTTTCCCCCTTAATTTTGGACACAAACTTTGTGTGCTTTCTTGGATTTCTTCAACTGCCTCTATTTTCTCTCGTTAGGTGCCCAGACAATTCTGAGTTTTCCCTCCTTTTCCAGGCTTGATCACACCATGGGATTTGGTTTTGTGGTGAATGGGGATTGGATGATGCAATCCAGAAGCCCAGGGGGATTTGCTCACTGTTGGGTAAATCTTGACTGGTGGGAAATGGGAGACTGGAGGAAGATGGTCAGATAAATCCTCCTCCTCCTTCCTGTGAATACTTTAAGGTATGATTTCTCCCTGCAAATCCTACAGAGAAGCCCAGCATGTCAAGCAAGCGTGTCTCATGAGTGACCTGCTGTATGTCTGTGATGGTTAATTTTATGTATCAACTTGACTAGACCATGGGGTGCCCAGGTGTCTGGCTAAACATTATTTCTCGGGTGTTTCTGTGGGTGTGTTTCTGGATGAGATATGCATTTGAATCAGCAGACTGAATAAAGTAGATTGCCCTCCCTAATGTAGAAGTTCCAATCAATTGAGGGCCTGAATAGAGCAAAAAGGCAGAGGAAAAGTGAATTTGCCCTCTGTCTAACTGCTTGATCTGGGACATCAGTCTTCTTCCTTTGAACTGGTACTTACAGCATTGGAATTCCCAGTTGTCAGGCCTTTGGACTTGGACTGTAGAACTATATTGCTGGCTTTCCCGGTTCTCCAGCTTGCAGATGGCAGATCTTGGGACTTCTCAGCTCCATAATCACATGAACCAACTTCTTATAATAAATCTGTCTCTCAATGTGTCTCTCTCTGTGCCCCCTCCCCTGTTCTTCTCTCTCTGTCTCTCCATGTATAGATATATAGGTCTATATGTGAGAGATCTATCTCTATATCTATGTATCTATCTCTATCTCTGTGTTGTGTTAATTCTGTTTCTCTGGAGAACGCTGACTAATACAGCATCTTCGCAGTTGGTGTGAAGTTGCCACTAGGATAGCAATGCGTTTCATCACAGGGCCTTCCATCTGCACATGCCTTGCTTCCATTTATTCCTCACTTTCACTGTCCTGAGCTTGCACCCTTCCCCCACATAAAATGTCAGCACTTCAATCCTTGCCTCAGGCTCTGCTTTCTATAGGATCTAGGCCAAGACACCTGGCCCGGGATGACAAAGTGTCCCTCACCTTTTTGGCCGATTATGCCACTTGAGTTCTCCTTTTAATCTTTTTCTTCCTCCTCCATATTTTATTAACCATCCTTCCATTGTTTTGAATCTTCAACTTCTCTCTCTCTCTCTCTCTCTCTCTAGATTCTTTCCTCTTAGTCTGTAAACATTCTCAAGTATGTCCAAGGAAAACCAAACATTCTCTTTATTAAAAGCATTTAACTCCATCTCTTCATGAACACATTTCTTATAAAAGTGCACTTACTGCCTGTGTTAGTTTTCTAGGGATGCCATAACAAAGTCCCACAAATTGGGTTGCTTCAGACAACAGAAATTCATTCTCTTGCAATCTTGGAGATCTGGCTTACAAAATCAAGATGTGGCAGGGCCTTGCTCCCTCTGAAGGCTCTAGGGGAGGATACTTCTTTGTCTATCCCAGCTTTTGGTAACCCAGGAGTTCCTTGACTTGTGGCTGCATCACTTCAGCCTCCACGTCCATCTTCTGTCTTCTCTCTGTATGTCTGTGTCTTCACTTGGCATCTTTCTCTCTCTTACAAGGACACAAGTCATACTGGCTTAAGGACCAATCCTAATGACCTCATCTTAACTTGATTACACCTGCAAAGACTTTATTTTCAAATAAGGTTCTATTTCTAGGTACTGGGATGAGAATTTTGACAATTTTTGTGTGTATGATTTAACCCATAAGACTGCCTTAATGTCCTTACTGCTAACTAATTCCTTGGCTTTGTGTAGTTAGGTTTCATTCCACAGGTTTCTCCTTGTATGGTTCCCATGAAGGTCATCAATGCCAAGCTCAATGGCTTTTACTCATTCACCATCTTTGTGACTGTCCTGCAGTGTTTGTCATGATTGCCTTTTCCCTCCTTCCTGAAGCTCTCTACTACCCTCACATCCCAGTTACTGTGCACACCTGTGGCTCTGCCTGTCTTTCAGATTGCTCCACGTGTGTCCTCTTCTCTGACTTTTTCTTCATTCCCCATCTCCAATTCAAGATTCATTTTTAATACTGGGGCCTTGGTCACATTCTCTTCTTTCAACACACTATTCTCTGGCCTCCTCCCGACCTTCATGCATCAGTGCTCTCTTTTAAGTAGGGAACAGATATATCTCTCTGGCCTGTCTCCTGAGCTCAGGGCAAGCATTGCCACCGAAGAGCCTCGAAAGAAACATATCCCCATGTATCCCAAGCACAAGACATCCTCTTTACTTACACACACACACACACACACACACACACCACCCCAAACCCCATACTACCATCTATCCATTTTCTATTTTGCGTGTATCTATGTCAGTCTTTGTGATACTGCTCAGAGACTTCTACAAGTACTTGTGGTACTTTGAATATGGATAGACCCCTGAAGGAGTAGGTGAGATTAATCCAGTGAATTGTGGCTTATTGCCATTATTGTGACCCAATCTTTAGATTCACCCTATTGAGGCCTAGAGAAGTTTGATCTACACTTGATTCTATCGTCTGAGACCTTCAAAGCAGCACCAGAACAAGCATATATACGCAGACAACTTAGGGGTATTAGTTTTGTGGACTGCATATTTGTGTACCCCCAAATTTGTAGGTTGAAACCCTAACTACCAGTGGGGTGGTATTTGGAGATGGGGCCTTTGGGAGGCTATTGGGTCGTGAAGATGGAGCCCTCATGATGGGATTAGTGCCCTTATAAGATAAAATATGAAACTGCTTGCTTCCTCTCATTCTCATTCTTTCTTTCTCTCTCTCTCTGCCATGTGATGACACAGCAAGAAGATGGCCACCTCCAAGCCAGGAAGAGGGCCCTCACCATGCTCCTGACCATGCTGGTTCCCTTCAGCAGCATGTGAAATAGATGTTTGTTGTTTAAGCCACCCAGTCTACAGTATTTTTGTTACAGAAGCCTGAACTGACTTGACAATTAGGTAGCTCCAGGCCTAGTTTTAGATCAAATGAGGCCTAGGGGCATCCTTGGATATCTTTTCTCTCATAGGTAAATATATGATCTTTACATTAATTCTGCATTTTTTTTCCCCAAAGCCTCTGGTAGAGAGCCTCCCAAATAGCCAGCTTCCTGTAAATGTAGCTGAATGGTGGAATTTGCCTGGCTGCTTCTCTTATTCAGGAAGCCTGAAAAACTGGCCCTAGAGGATCTGTAAATGGGGAGCTGCTGCAGCTTCCTGCAACTCAGCTCCCAGATCCTTCATTCCCCGCCCAGCCAGACAGCATCCTAAGGCTGATGTTTAGCGTTCGGCATTGAGGTCAAATCAGGGATGAGCTGCTTTGAATCCTTCATTTCATTGATGGAGGCAGATGTTCTGAGACATTAAGGAACATCCCCACAGTCCTCCAAGGTCTTCTTATATGGCACCTACCTTTATTTACTTTCTTATTAGAAAAGATCGCATCATTCTTAGATGGCCATTCCTGGGATAGGCAGAGAGGGAACTCTGTGTGCACCCTTCCTGCAGTGTGTTGGTGGGGGATACAGTCCCATTGCACATTTTCATCCTGTGACTTTCACCCACAGCTCTGTGGAAATGCTGCCTGGAAGAAAAGCATATCAGGGTATCGTTGGAGAGGTTGTCATGGGTGGATCCTTGGGGTCTAGAGGTCTCAGCAGAGAGACGAGGGAAAGAAGGAGTGTTCAGGGGTAGTCATGTATTGGGAAATCCAAGCCTTTGTGTGGGTATCTCCTGTGTTCATGTGGAACCCAAGAATTCTCAACTATTCTTGAGGACTCTGCTTGGACCTTATAAGGATCTGTGCCTTCCTGGATAGCTGAAAATTGGTGTCAGTCACATTTTCAACAGCTTTTATTGGGTGCCTGCCTCTGCATCTTGTATTGTCATAGCAGTTTACACACAGCAAGCCAGACCAGGAGTGAAGAATTTATGTCATTTGTTATTTTCTTTTATTTGTGAATATGTGTGGGTGTGGGAGACTGGGTGCTAGACATGGGCTGAGGTCCAGGCTAGGCACAGGGAGCTGACAGCTGCAGGACATGCTAATTGGTCTGGGAACGCCTTTGGAATCTAGGGAATTGGTTTTCTGAGCCGAGGCGGGGTCCAGGCAAGGAGGCAACAGGCTGCCGGCATCACAAAGGGACCGAGGACCTCCATGTACCCAATATCTAGGTCTCATCACTCGGAGAAACATTCTCAGCTCTTGGTGACCTTGTCCTCCCTCAACATGATACTCACTGCATATGGACTCATTTGATAATTGCCACAAAGGCTTTGGCCTCAGAGGCACTTTAAGGATATAATAGTAGGAAAGGGAGGCTTGGGGAGCCAGAGAGTCACCCACACAAAGCCCCACATGTGTTCCTTCCAGAACCAGGATACACACCCAGGCTTCCTGAGGCCACATGTCCTCCCTGTGGCTGCCTGGTCATTCCCCTTCACGTAGCAGCTGTCTTGCTCCCATGTAGAATAGCAGGGCCCAGCGGCCACCTGCACCTTGCCATTCCCTCCAGCTCTGTGCTAGAAATGATGCAAGCAGGAAAATCATTTGCTTGTGGACCTACTATGTGTCAGGCACCTGCTGAACAGTAGCATTTGATGCTCTCGATGGCCTTACCATGTCGGCACTGATCTGTTGATGCTGCAGTTGAGGAGCTTTAAGCTTAGAGAGGTTAAATAGCACCTTCAAAGTCACCCAGGACATGCTGTGCTGCTGGAGGGGCTGGGACGCAGCGTAGGAGTGTGACCTCCTGAGCACGGACCGCATGGGCTGCCTTGCAACCAGCATGGTGAGGTGAGATGAGGTGAAGTAAGCTTGCAGCTCCTTGGTGCCAGCCCTCCCACAACCAGAGCTGGGCTGCAGCAGGCTCTGCCCCAGCTTACCTGGGCAAGACAGTGAGGACCGCACGGCTGGTGAGTGATACATGGAGAGCTTTGCCGCCTGCCTGACAGGCAGAAGATAAACAGCTCCCCGTTAAATCTCACTTAATGCTGATATTTATAAATTTATTCAGCTTGTGTTTACTGAATCGAGAGAATGCCTAATAACATAACGTGCTTCATCTCACATGTTCCTACTAATGAGAATGCAAGTACTGCTTAATTTTTTTTTTAACATTTCATTTGCTTTCCACTCACTCCACCCTGTTCTGTTGTTGTTGGCTTAGAGTTTAATCTGTTGCTAAACACTGGGAAGTTTGGGCTTCTCAGGTGTTAGTGAGGAGAGAGCCAAGTTGGGTCTGGGGCAGTGGCTGAACCAAGGCCTCCAAACTGTGCCCTGTCCCACATGCAGTGCTTGGTGGCCATGGAGTTGGCATACCCAAAGGATGGGCCATACTGAGGGAAAATGAAAGTCCTGGTGTCCTCTGCTGTATTTTGGGGTGGCTTCATGCATTGGATCAGGGTTGCAGTATTTGGGGGCTTTGGGACAAAACTTTAGAGTAGAGCAGTGTCGTTGGCTTTGGACAGACAGGAGGATGGACAGAATGACCAAAGAAACATGAGCAACATTTGTGGGGTGTGGTATAGCTGTGTGTGAGGATGAGTGTGTGTGTGAGAGGGGTGGAGGGCTGCGTCTCTACCTTCATTTAATCTGCTTACTGAGTAATTTTTTTTTTTTTTTTTTAGAAAGCCTTTCCCTGGCTGCTTATTGCCCCCAAGGTCAGCTGTGCTGGCTGCTGCAGGTTCAGTTCTGGGGTACCCAGGGCAGTCTTCACCAGGCAGGAGGAGCCCTTGGAGTGGGGCAGGGAGAGATAGCAAAGAGATCAGCAAGCTCATGAGGGTGTTTGGAAATGCATTTGGCAAAGAAGTGATGTTGGAGTGAGCTGAGATGGTCTGTGCTGGGCTTCCTTGGGTGGGGTGGGTGGGAGAGGGGAATGAGGGTGCCTGGCCTCAGAGGCCAGGTAGACAATGAGTCGAGTGGGGTTGGGAGGCACCAGGTAGAATTCTGGAGCAGGGAGGAGGAAGGCCGCGGAGAGGCTGTGTCCAGTGAGGCAGGACTAGGATGGGGGCACACAGGGGATGGGAGAATGGAGGCAGACTAAGTCTAAATCAGGGGAACAAAAACAGAATCTGGGATGAAGCAGTGGAGGAACTGAGATGGGATGCAGGCCTTCCACAACCTTTCCTTCCCCATCCTACCACGTCCTCTGTTTTCCCAGCTCCACATCCTCACATTCTATATCCACCCAGCACTAGATTTTCTTTTCGATGTCTCCTTTTTCTTCTCCTCTCCAACCAACCATATTGTGGGACTGAAGCATTCTTTCTAGTTCTAAAAAACATATAACCTTAAATATAAAAGCTGGGTAGAATAATTCATACTTTCCCCTCAAATGCCCTGACATATCCAAACTTGTAGATAAGCTATAAATGCTTTCTTATAATTCAGCTGATGGTCCACCTACCCACGCCTGTGTCCCGTCCTTGTGTGCTGGCTGGAGGAGAGACTGTGACAGGTGAGACCAGAGTTCCCGCCCTAACGCCTCAACTTTGGACGAGCTATGGGCCTCCTGGGGCCTCATGACCAAAAGCTCTGGGCCTTCTAGCCTGCTCTGGAGGGCAGCACACTGTGTTCTGGGCATCTTCTGCTGGGCTGGCAAAGCAGGAGGCAGACCAGGCTGCTGGAAGCGGCAGCTCTAGGGCAGTGCTCTCTGCCTTTATCTGGTTTGAAAGGCAGGACAAAGCTGTCTTCTATGGGGCCTGGCATCTTAGGAAAGGGACTCATGCCTTTAGACATTATCCAAGAAGCTGGGATAGGCCTGGGTAGGGCAAAGATGGAGGCTCCAGCCAAACACCAGAGGCCCAGTTTTTCTCAAGGGCAGGGAACAGATAATGTATCAAGTTTCAGTTCTGCCCATTGCTGGGTTTGTGCCCCTGATAGAGTCCTCTCCCTGTCTGGGCATCAGATTCCCTGTCCCATTAAAAGCAGATTGACACTGAATAACTAACGCAACCTCTGCAATTCCATCTATGGCCAAATTTCCACCACCACCTGCCCAGACAAGCCTAAACCATGGTGTCTTTGCCAACACCGTCCAGACCTGCAGGGGCTGACACGGGCAGCCTTGGGAAGAAGGGCAGTTTTCTTTACCAGGACCAACATATTGGGGTCCCTCTAGTTTGCTTCTCTGAGGGTTGCGGCACAGGCGGATGTCACGGACATCAGAGGGCTTGAGTAGCAAACACCTATTTAAGGAGTGAGTTGAGAAGCCCCAAACGCAACCTCTGCTGCCGCCTTCTGTTTCCCGTCCCCCCTACCAACCCATTCAGTCCTCTCCACGTGCAGCCTGTATCCCCATCCACGCTGATACCTCCAAAGCCTATCAGGATGGTCAGCCATCCCAGCTGCTTCTGTCCCGCTGCAGCAGCAAGAACTTCCTCTGAAAGCGCCTCCACATGCCTCCCTCTGGGCGCAGCTCTGTTTGGGGCTCCTTCAGGGGAGGGGGACGGGGGTTCATCCCTTTCTTTTGTGCTGCCTCTCCCTCCCACTTCCGCTCCCCTCGCTGCTCCAGTGACCTTTCACCCCTTCCTTGGACGTCCCTCAAAGGCAGCTCCCGTGGTTAATAACTTCGGCTGGCAGCCCCACACAAAGCCAGGGCCGGAAACCATTGTCCCGGGGACAATGGCCGAGCAGCCCAATAATGAGGTGGCCACAGTGTTGTCTGACATCCCACGTTGCCCTGGCAAAGGGGGAGGGGCAGCGGGGCTCGCCATGCCCTCGCCTCCTGGAGTTGAATTATTCCCCTCGCACATGGTGGTTCCTCCTTCTGAGGCAGCACCAGGCACCTGTGCCCTCCGGTGGCTGCATTTCCCGGGGACTGCATGCTGAGGGGATGTCACCCAGAGACCCTGACCCCCCTCAACACACAGCACCGTTGTTACTTTGCCTCATTTTCCTGCTCCCATGTCCCAGGGAGCCAGTCAGTACCGCATAGTAGGGCAATTGATCGATTCTGGCTAATCCATAAGGGAGGGGAGATCTCAGCCTGCCACCCAATGGGGAGCATGTGGCACTCTGGAAAGAGCATGTGCTCTGGAGCCAGAGGGCATGGGTTCAAGGTCTCCCTTCTACCTTTCTAGCTGTGTGACTTTGGGGAAGCTACTTGACTTCTCTGAGTCTCCACTTATTAATCCATAAAAGCAGAGGTGGGATGGGAGCTGAGAGGAGGACTCTCAAAAGCAAACTCAGAGGTGAATAACTGTGACCTCCAAGAAGTCGCCATGTCCTTGCCACTCTGGTGGGTCTGGGCATCTTCTGCTGGGCTGGCAGAGCAGGAGACAGACAAGGCTGCTGGAAGCAGCAGCTCTAGGGCAGTGCTCTCTGCCTTTATCTGGTTTGAGAGGCAGGACAAAGCTGTCTTCCATGGGGCCTGGCATCTTAGGAAAGGGACTCATGCCTTTTGACATTATCCAAGAAGCTGGGATAGGCCTGGGTAGGGCAAGGATGGAGGCTCCAGCCAAACACCAGAGACTCAAACTCTTTGTGAGAGTGGCCCTGCCTCAGTAGTAACTTCATGCTTTTTGGGTAGGTCCAGCCTTGTATTCCAAACCAGACCATCAATGATTGAGAGACGTAGTGTGTTGCCTGCTTTCCTCTCTCTCTCCACCTTTTGCCCTCTGCACAGTGCTGCGCACTCGGAAAGATCCCAATGCAGCGGTATGGTAAGGGTTGACTGCTAACATCTGCAAGAGGCGCTCAAGCAGTTCTCAGCCCTGCTGCCCATTGGAATTTCCTGGAGAGGCTTAAAAGATACCCAGAAATTTTGACCTAATTGGTATGGGCTGTGGCATCAGGTAAAGAAACATTTATTTATATCCTTAGAAAATGAGCCGACTCAGACTTATTCCTGAGCACAGCCCCTTCTTTGGGGGAGAAATACAGTATATTTTAAGGCAGTCTTTATATTCTTAAAATATAGTATTCTTTATTACAGCTTTACTGTAAGTAATGATTTAAGTTTAGGGATAGTTTTTTTTTTAATTAATTTTATTGAGGCATAGTTTGCACATACTACGATATCCCCATTGAAAGGGTACAGTTCATGAGTTTCGACAAACGTAGACATTTATGTAACCACCACCCCAGTGAAGATGTAGAATAATCCACCATCCCAGAAAGTTCTCTTGTGGGCATGGGATTTTCGAAGCTCCCCAGGTGATTCTATGGTGCAGCGGACTCTGAGCATCATGGAGGCTCACTCAACAATCTCTGCTTTAGAATCTCAGAGAGGTTGTCCAGGACAGCACTTCTCACACTTTAGCATGCATCTCCTCGGATCTGGCTGAATGCCCATTCCATCCCAGAGTGGGGCCCGGAACCCTGCATTCCTAACAAGCCCAAACCACACTTTGAGGCTCTGCTACAAGTCTCTCATTTTGGAGGTGAAGGAAACGGAGGCTGAGAGTGTTGATGTGAGTGGCTTGCAAATCCTGATTTTGAAGCTCCTGGACTAACGACAATCATATCACTTGCCCTTCAATCTCTTTTTCGATAGCCACCCTAACCCGGAATCCTAAACAAGAGGTGTGGCCATGATAGTATCTCTCCCCTATTTCCCTTCTGAGTGTTGTCCATTGCTTCTAGCCTATTCCCATCTTTCTTGTCCTGACCCAAGTCACCTTCCTGGGGAAGGGCCCCCTCCTCTGCCTGTTTCTGAACCAGCACCTACCTTTTCCCTATCAACAGCTCGCTTTCCTCGTTCATTCCATTCCTTAATATGTATCAACTCAATTTAATAAGCAAGAGTTTATTTAGCAATAGAACTGGGTCAGACCCTATCGTGCCCTTGAGGAGGAAGGCAAACTAGAAGCTGTGATTAAGTTAACAGATAAGACAAATAAATAACAGGATATATAAGGTGAGGAGAGACCTTAGTGACTGCCCAGCTCAGTTCCTCATTTTATAGGTAATGTTTAAGAGCAATGACCCACTCCTACTTTCAGCAAGGAGGTGCACATAGCATAGATCCATAGAAGAGGAGGGATCTGAGAAGGAGTTTGAAAAAGGTGTAGGAGAGGCTGTGAGAAAACAAGGCGGGTGTCCTGGCTGAGGGCAGGAAGGAGACATTGCGATGGAAATTGGGCCCCACTGTCTTGGAGGATTGGGAAAAGGAGCTGTGGACTGAGTGGCCCACACAACTGCTATAACCTCAGGCAGTTTTCAAGCAGATTGACCTTCCTGCTGGAACACGGCAGGTGAGGTGAGGTTCTTCTCTATCCAGGTCTGTCCTTAGCACCTTATGCAGGGTTTAACCCCCATGGGCATAAAGAGGGTGTGTATCTGGGGTGGTTTGGGGATTAGGTCCCATGAGCACTGGGACCTGGAGATGCTTGGTCTAGAGAAGGAAAGATGTTTGGTCTGGGAAACATGGGGGTCATGTTTAATATTAGATAGGCAGTCACATGGGATATTTAATTAGCACTGTGGAATTTAGAGAGAGGCAGGTTTCACTTCACCTTTGGGAAGTGCTAGGTTCTAACACACCTCCCTCCCCTGGAAAGAGATTGAACTACCACAGATTGAATCCCTTGGGAGGAAGGAATTTCAGTCCCTGAATGTGGACAGCTGAGGCTGGATGAGAACAGAGAGATGTCAGATGTCCAAGCCTCTGTGTCCATCCCTGAGAGTCCACTAGGGGAAGCCAGTCATCATGGTAGCCTGATGTTCATCTTCATGTCTGAGGTTCTGCCCCAGAGCAATTTCCCTGTGGCCATCTGGCTGGGAAACATGTTTCATTTCCCTCCCAGAGGAACAGGCACCTCATTTGCCTCCCAGAATAGATCCACATCCAGAAGAATGTAATGGAGACAGGCAAGAACACAGAAGATTGCATAGGTTTAGGAAAGAAGAAGGCAACAAGGTTCTGTTGGGTTGCATCTGAGGAATCTTAGGTACCTAAAAAAATAGGTCTGGAATTAAAATAAGATGTTAGTGTTGAAGGTATAGAAATGGGAGTTAAAATGATGGCATGAAGCTTATCTAGGGAGATCATGCAGCTCCAGATGATTGTGGACTGAATGTCTTGTAGGGTTTTGGGGAGGATGAAATGTGAGTGGAATTTGGCCATGATCAGCCCTTAGAGTCGGCCTGAGCCCTGCCCTGGCCAGCTGTGTGTCCTTGGATACGCCAAGGTGAAGTTTCCTCTTCTTCATAACGGTGAGCTTGTCCACAAGATATTTAAGATTCTTCTAGCTTAGACACTATAGAATTTACATTTTAAGGTTTTAGGGATTCAATTCAAATTCCGTTCCAGAAGCAGATATCAGGGCTGATCTGGACCACCTCAGGGGAATAGCAGGGTCAGTGCCCAGAGGGGCTGGTCATGGTGGGAGGGCCTTGAGGAAGGGAGACAGAAGAGAAGGATAAATGTGATTTGAGGTGGGAAAGAAAAAATTGGACTGTCCTCAGTCCCTTCAGTCAAGCATTGCAGAAGCTGCATCTGCCTCTGCCAATTGTCTGCCAGACTGAGAATGTCCCCACAGGACCTCACGGGGTTTGCCTGGTCCATGTTCCACAAAGCAGGAACAACTGCTGGTTAATTATGTAGACACAAGGTGAGGAGTGCAGCTGTCTCTGGAGTTAACTTTCAAGGAGCTGCAACTTTTACAGTCAGCTCCCAGCCAAATGTGGGGGACAGGCTTTTCATGGTCCTAGGAGAAATAGGTCTATTGGGCTTGTCCAACCGAAACCCGTTCCCCTCTATCGCCCCCAGGGTTGCTCGGCCTTGCCTCAGCCGTGCCTGACACTGGCTCTCTGCAGGGAGGAAAAAGCTTGCTCTGTTGCTGGCTGTGTGGAACAGAGAGGGAAGTGGCAGACAGTCTGGGCCTAGCACTTGGGTGTCTTGCTCTAGCCATGTGACTCATCTCTCCAGTTCAGACCTGCCCCTGGAAAAAAGAGCCCAGACCTCATCATGAATGCTGTCCTAGGAGAAAATGAACAGCTGGAGAATGCTCCTGATCAGTAGGCCTGAAGGATGCTGGGATACAGCCTTCAAGATGGAGCAGCCAGGATGCCAAGTATCCCTCTTGCCCAGATCTAAGGCACTTTTTCCTACTGATCCATATTGGCCTCAGGAGATGTCTCAACACAGCACCCCAGCCAATGGAGTTGCCACATAAGATGAACTTGTGATCATCTCTAAACTAGAGAGTTAAACTCAACACTAGTAAATGACTTTGGGTTTATGTATATGTCATGTTTTCTCCGGCAACTGCTCAGAATCATCTCTAAATATCACGTCTATGGTTGGCAGGAGTGGCATGTATAATACAAAATGTCTGGTGGCCCTATTGTCACAAAACCTGTATAAAAGTAAATTCACAAATGGCTTTTTAGAACTGATGACAAAAAGTTACTCGTTATCACTTTTCTACTTAATTTCCTAAAAGGGCAATTTGAAATCACACTAGGATTCTCACAATTTTGGTTGACACTCAAGTAAACTGCAGCTACTTATCAAGCACTTTTGAATGAACATATGAAGAATGAATAAAATGAAAGCTCTCCTGTTGCCCTCAGCGTCACCAGTGTTCTGTATTTCTTCCTGAAACCTTTCCATTGGTTTAAAAACCTTTCTCAAGTGAAAGCAATCTCTTTAAAAACTGCAACATACTGCTGATAGTTTTCGCTGTGGAAACATTCTCTATGCCTGCAAACCAAATCACCCACTCTCTTTTCCTGGGAAGCACATCTTTCTCAGAGCAGAGCTTTGCAAAAAGGGGAAGCCAAAGCTTCCAAGAGGTGATAGTTACAGCTGCTCTCTCTTCCTGTTGCCCCAGGTGCCAAGGTGCAGAGGGGCAAGGCAGCAAGGCCTAGCCTGGGCAGAACTTGTCGGTCATTAACTTTGCAAATTGACTTTCTGAACAACTGTGGTTTATTTCACTTTGGTGTATATCTACTCAACTCCTCTCTAGTACGTTTTCCTTCCTAACTGTGTTTGCTCTGACTTACAGTAAGATCTGAGTGTAGTTCCTGAGATGCTCTATAGGGTCAACAATGGGGTGTGTGGTGAGGCTTGATATAAATGCATAACCAGGCAGCACGTGGCATGGTGCACACTCAGACCTGCCTGTGGGAGCGAACAGCATGGTACACACTCAGACCTGCCTGTGAAGGCTTGGCATTTAGGTAAGCAGCATTCATACATCCTCCTGAAAAGAGCCACCAGTGTGGGCTTATTGTTGTCCAAGGGTACCAGGGACTCTAGGTGACCTTTGGTTTGCTAGTAATCCTGTCCTTTCCTTTTCTGCTTCCTGCTTGGGTTGCAAAGCCATCACTCCCCACCACCCCTGCCCCTGGCCCCCAACAGAAGAGAAGGGTGGAGCTAGCAGGCTGGTGTAATGAATTCATGCTGAAGTCTGAGATTGAGGAGTAGAGTGGAGGAGGAGAAACACTTTCCAAAGAAGCCACCAGGCATCACAGAATTCTACATGCCTGAGATGGAAGGAGCACTAAGGAGCATCCAGTCCAACTTCCTCACTTCAATAAAGACAAAACAAGAGCCAGAGTGGGGAGGTGGCTTATAAAGTTCACAGAGCTCATTTTTGAGAAAACTAGGACTGTGCAATTTGGGTCTTCTGACATCCAATCTCCTGCATGTTCCTGTCCCATGCTGCTCCAGGGTGGACTGTGAACATTAGTCAGAAGGTCCCCTGAGAGAATCAGTAGTCTGTGAAACCTGAGTCTCAAGGCTGAGAAGCTGGTGGAAGTAGCCTTGGGTTTCTGGATAAACACACTTTTATCCCCGCCTTTTCTAGGCTCTGCATTCCCATTGAACTGGAAGATTTTATTCATTTCAAGATAGTTTAAAAATATTTATCATGTCATTTAATTCTAAAACCAATTTTGGGGCAGGACTATTGCTTCCATTTTATAGATAAGAAAACTGAAGCCCATCCAGAGATGGCGAGTAGCTTATTTAAAGTCATAGTAGAGCTGAGAGTTGTAAGTGGCTTGTAAGAACCCCATGGCTGGGTTCTTGGGCTTCTCTTGCTGGCTGTCCAGCTGGGCCCTGCTGCACTTGTTAGTTACATGAGACAGTCTGCATAGATGGTTAGGGACACCTTCGCAGTAGGAGGAGGGACTAAGTGTTATAATCTGTTTTAAACTATAAGAACTTATCTCATTTGGATGTTTACTGGTCTGAAGTATGCATCCTACTTCTTCCAGGGAATTTTAGAGTTTGAGCCACTGAATTCCTAACGAGGGATTTCATCTTGTGCACTGAAAATAACAGTCTTATTGTCATACAACCATGGGTCTGAGCCCAGCTCTATCACTTAAAAGCTGCATGACCTAGGGAAAGCTACTTAATTTCTCTGAGCCTCTGTTTCTTCATAGGGAAATAAGTGTGCAGGAAGTTTATTGTGGAGTGTTTCTGGGAGCAGAATCTGCTGGGGAAGAGAAGGAAGTAGAGTTGGACAGAGGAAGAAACTGAGCAGCAACGTAGGTGATGCAGAGCCCTGAAGCTGGATGGCTCTGCAGAGTGGTACTGACTTGGGGTGAGGGGGACCAGGCCTTTAAAGCCCCTTATTGACGACTCATTGGATGTGGGGCTTGACCTTGGGTGAGTTGGCTCTCTTTATAAAGGGTAGTTCGGAGAGGTCCAAGAGCTGGGAAATGAGTCCTTTAATCTTGATGGGGGATCAGGGTGAAGCAGGACAGCATCCACTGTAGTATTTGCAGTGCTGTTTCAGGATTAAGTTAAATGATTGGAATGCACATACAGCACAGAGACTAAGGCAGAGAACGTGACTAGTTGATAGTAGGGCTTGTTCCTACTGTCAGTGTGGCCTCCTCCCCGCTCTTCACTCCACTTCTTATTCTCTGGTAAGGAACCTCTGCTTGATCTTTCAGATAAATCTATGGGGGCCACAATCCACAGACCTCATGGAGAGCTCAGAGGACCAAAGGGAAGAAAACTCCACTAGAGAATTTGCCTCCATTCAACAACCTAGCCTGACCATCTTGCTGCAGGGGCATGGAAGTGTGTGTTTATGCTGGGGGTGATGAGAGGGGTTTGGGTGTCTCTGTCAAATCACTTACAAGCTTTTTCAGACAGAAAGCATGTCTAATATTCCATTCTCATTTCCCAGACAGTACTTTGGCTTAGTGTCGCAGGTCACAATGGATATTTGTTAACCTGATTTAAACCTAACCATATGGAAGAGATTATTTTGTGTCTGTGGGGCTGACACAGTAGTAGTCATAGCTCCCTCATGCCAGGTGCCCTGCACACGATTTTCTGTAATCCTGAGAACCCTTCATTGTAACTGCTACTCCTGTCTACCTTATACAGATTAGAAACCTGTGGCTCAGAGCAGCCAGGTCACAAGGCCAAGCTGATCCCACTGATAAGTGGCAAAGCTGGAACCCCCTCCCAGGAGTCTGACTTGTGCCATTCCTATGCCCCAATGCCTTGCTCTGTGTCCTGTAGTTCTCTCTTTTCAGGAAAAATAAGGTAGACCTGGGTGCCCTGTGTTAGAAGAAAAAGCAGAATTATGAAATTCATATGGCTTGCTAGCCTACAAAGGAACTATAGGGGATAGTGACCCAGCCTGTTCATCTTAAGGGGGGTGGTGGGAGATTGGCAGCAGAGGGGAAGCCTCAGCCTGGAAGAAGGAGAGGAGCTGAAATGAATTTGTGAAGACGCTTGTGGATCTTCCTCCCCCGAGACCACTACAAATAGGACACAGCAGCCATCAGTGGCAATAATCAGTGGTTCGCTGCTCATCAGAAACTGAAGTGGGCTGATAAAATATCAGCTAGGGTCAGCCCAGCTGTCCCACTTCAGGAAGACCTGCTTTGGGAGAACACGAGCTTGCAGGCCAGGACAGGTGGGGTGGCTCCTTATTTAGTCGTCTTAAATTGGCGCCCTATTTAGTCATCTTAAATTTCTTTATTCTTCTTAGAGACCTTTTAACAAGTGCATTTCCCTGGTGCATTGAAAATTGGACTTGGTCCATGTGTAATATATAACATTGCAAAGCCCCACCTTCTGCCTAAGGTGTGTGTGCTCACATGCTCTGCAAGTGATTGCTCCATTTCTGGCACTTTGGTGTCCCAGTTGCCTTGAAATCCATGACATGTCTGAACAGGTGTGCATCGTGGAGCCCTAACCTTCCCCAAGGACCCTACCCTGAGTCTTGGACCTGGGGATGCCTGCTCTTACTGCTCCTCTTTTCAGGCCCATTGCTCTGCTCCTTCTCCCCTTACCCCTCTGATTGGATCTCGGTTGCTTTTCTCTAGGGCTCACCTTGGTTTCTGTATGCATCTCACACTTGCAATTTGGGTTTTGTCTACTGTGTATAAAGTGACTCCTTGGATCAGGAACCCAGACACACTCATGTCAGCTCCTAGGACAGAGAATGGACAGGGGATGCAGGGGCTTAGAGGAAAGAGGGCTGCCAGAGATGTTCAGACCTCAGCTTCCTGACCCAGTCTCTGTCATTTAGCTTGAATCCTCTCATCTGCAAGTTGTTTGGCAGTGTTTGCAAAGGGTGTGGCACACACTTGGAGATGCTCCATGAAAGATGGCTGCTGTTGTTGCTGCTGCTGTGATTTTTATGATCTTATGACTGCAGGCCCCCTTGATGGCTGGATGGTGAGAGAGGAAAAGCACAGCTGTACCAGAAAGACAGGCAGAAAGAGGTCCCAGGCACAGCAGATCCCTTCAGGGTGGTGGAAATGGAGTTCTGCAAAGTACTGCTGCTGTTGCTGCTGCAGACTTTGCATGAATCTCATTTACCCTGGATCCTGGGGCCCATGCTGCTGAGAGCTTGTTCCAGGTCAAATGTCTGGGAGTTCCATCTAGATCCTAAAGCAAAGACCTGGCATTCTCAGGCCATTGCCAGCATTCTTTAAAATTTGGGTGGTCTTATTTCCAATGGAGAGATCTTTCTCCATGATTACCAGGTTGCTTGCAACTCTCAGAAGGGAGATAAAAATTACAAAGGAGCTCAGGAGTCCAGACCTTTTGTGTAGAAACAATAATATAAATTATCCTTAGATTTCCCTAATCAACCACTCACAGTATAGCTAAGACCCTGCATATCTGTGCATTCAATGAGATGAACAAGCATATAATATTGTTGCTGTGTGAGTAATTAAACAATGCATCTGAAAACTGAATATACTAGTTTTTGCATGTACCCTGAATGCTGACCTCTTGAAGAAAGAGAATCAATTAAGGGATGTTGAAGGGGTAGACTTTTGAGGGGACTCTGGAGAAGGATGTGGCATATTCAAGGACTTTTTAGGTTGGTGGCACCATTTCTTTATGACATCTAATTCCACCTTCCTTCTCATTGATTCAGACAGATCACTTGAGCACTGCTCTTGCATTTATCAGTCATTATTAAGGTCAATTTTTGGCTCACAAATAGAATGGATAGAGGGAGAAGATGGTGAGAGAGAAAGAGAGAGGAATGATGAGAGGGGAAGGGTAAAGTGAAAGGGAAGGAAGAAAATGCACAGATTTCTTTAAATATACTAACCAGTAGCTGATTTGTTAAATAAAATGGTTTAGAGTTTTCTGATGATTCTGAAAGAGAGAGGCAAAGAGGGAAGAAGGACAAGATGTTCATTTGGGGAAAAAAAGGAAGCAGTGGAGAATAAGCGTGGAGGCAGATGGTTACCTGTGCCTGCCATTAAGGGTGCTATTCACTCAGGACACCCTGGCTCAGTAGATCAGTGGTGGGCAGTGGGCATCTGGCAGCTGGCAGAAGGAATGAGACACTTGTAAGATCAGGTGTTTATGATTCGAGATGATATGTTCCTGAAGGTCAGGGTCATGTACTGGGGAAGGGTGCAGTAAGGGTGAGAGTCAGCTATTCTTTTTTATGATGATAGTGATTCAGGTGGATGTCATCCTGTTTCATATCAACTGATTGATTAATGTTGTCCCTTCACCCATGACACATGAATTGAGCTCCCACTATGGTGTGGTTCCTGGGGTATGGTGGTGAGTATAAACAGACAGTGTCTCTTCTCAGAAACCTGTAGTCCACTGGTGGAGATAAACATGAATGAAATCATCACACCAATGCACAGAAATCTGCATCAGCAATAAATGCCACGAAATGTGAACAATGATGGAAGGATTTGACTTGATCCTTTCTGCACTGAGGCTTCTCGAAGAACCTGATGCTTGCTCTGAGACATGAAGGGTGACAGGAGCTGTGTGGGCTAAAAAGGGAGAACAGTGAGCCAGGCAGAATGGGCAGCAGGCTCAGAGGCTACATGGTGGGAGGTAGCCTGGTGAGGATGTGGCTCTCTAAGAAGGGAGTAAAGCATGGGGAGGGCAGGGCTTCAAGGGTAGGTCTCCTTCAGAAGGTACAGATGAGGAAACTGAGGCTCAGGGAGGTGAAGCAATTTAAGCAATAATCCACAACTCAAAAGAACAAGAGCTGGATTTAGTCCTCATAGCTTGGGAAGCCTGTGGCTCCTAGTTAACGTTTCTCACATATTAGGGACTTAGTTCAGTGCGAGTGCTTGGGAAAGACCATGGTATTATCCTTCATTAAAACATTAACAATATTATGTATTGCTAATCAAGCATTGAGAATAGGCATATAACACCATATTATGACTTACACAAATAGAAGTGTTAATTAAATATGTACATAATAACCAGTCATGTCCTTGTTTAACTTGCAAACGTATGTTTCTGGAGTGTTTCTGGTTAGTGATATCACAACAGCAAGAATGACTGCTGACTGCTATACCAAGTTGAAAATAAACTTCCAGTAGCATGGGCAGGTGATCACAGTGTGGCTGCCTGCAATGCTTTCTAGGGTTGTATACCTGCAAATCATCATCACTTTACACAATAGATGCATTCTAGAAAACTCATGTCTAAGTTGAATTTGGGCAACTCCAACCTACAGGTAACCTGAAGAATTCTTTCCTCCAGAACAAAGTTTGATGCATTTATACATTTGTATAACACGTTTTCTCAAAGCAGAGCCTCCTTATAATATGTTGACAAGTTATTTACTTATCAATTTTTTTTTCGAGATGGGGGTCTCACAATGTTGCCTAGGCTAGTTTCAAACTCCTGAACTCAAACAATCCTCCCACCTTAGCCTCTGAAGTAGCTAGGACTACAGGTGCACTCCACCATGGCTGACTTCAACTCACATTTGAGCGCTAACTTTTGGAATATTATGGCAATTGTTCTGCAGTCTTCATAAGTGAGAAGCTGGTAGGTATATAGATTGTAAGTTTACATGTATACTTTGGTATTTTTTAACCTGGTAGTTACTACACAGAGTCTACAGCTCTAACTAGAGTGACTTTGGCTTTCTGTACTGGCCTGGAAGCCTTCTTGACACAGATGATACAGAATGATGGAAGCTGGGTGGCTGACCTTCAAGGATTCCGCCTATCCAGCCACATGCAGCATCTGTAATGGAATTCTTTCTCCCTGGCAGGATGTGCCTTGTGCTAAAAGCCACTTCTTACTGCAGGCTCACATATCCTGCATTGGTTTATCAGGCTTTCTGCTCTCACCTGCATTGTGTCTGGCTCCTTTTACCTCCCTGACTCCCAAACTCATTGTTTGTCTCCTCTTAGTTTTTGCTTGTGGTCTCTGTCTTTCCGCTCAAATGCAAATCACCTGCTGGCATGTCCTTAATGCTTCTCCCTTCACTTCTTCCTTGCACTCTCCCTCCCATCTTCCTTCCGGCCCTTCTTCCTCTCTTCCTGTCCTCTATTCTTCTCTACCTCCTCTTTTCTTTCTTCTTTTCTCTCTTTCCCTTCCTTCTTTCTTCCCCTCCTCAAACATTTATTGAACACCTAGTCTGTAGGTTTTATGGATTAGGACAAGGTCAGGTCAGCTTTCAACCCCCACTTTGCTCTTGTCAACATTTTGTTGCCCCTCTTGGACAAGGTGAAGTTACCGATAATTCATAGTGTGACTATCTAATTATTCCTTGAGGGGTGCTAGGTAGACCTGGCCCAGGGGCTGAATGGGGTAGGGGTCTAGATGTTAGAAAAAGAGCTTTGGATGAAAGCAGACCTGGGTTTCAATCTTGGCTCCCCTAATTACCGGTGTATGACCTTGGCAAGTTATCTAAACTCTCTGATCCTCAGTTTCCTTTAGTATAAAATTTTGGAGAGAAAAATTCCAGTCTCCTAGAATTGTTGGAAGGATTTACTGAGATAAAGCACAACAATCATCTGGCACATAGTAGGTGGTACACTTGATAACTCTCATTATGAATAGGGTGGCATAAAAATAGAAAGATCTTGAGGGTGAGCCTAAAAGATCAGCAGAATTCTATCAAATCCAAGGGGAAAGTGGAGAATCAGGAACAAGAGATGATCCCCAAATCTGAGATAAGACAAATGATGAGCAGATTAAACTTGAGAAAGGATGGGAGGCTCCAGGCCTGATTCACTGGCCACAGGTTGCCTGGGTTCCAATGTGGTTATGATGGAGGTGCTTTAAGGGGAGAAGAACATAGTTCTGGATTTCATTTATACCAGTCCTTACCCCAAGAAGCCCCCACAGTCTGATTGACCTGTGTTCTTCCAACCCCAAGATTGTTTTACGTGCCACTCAGTTTCTCCATCAGTTGTTTTTATTTCAACCAGAATAAGTTTGAGTCTATGTCACTTTGACTAATATGACACTAGGGTTACTAGTCAGCAACTTTGTTTCTAAGGCTGAACTTCCACTTGGCTCACCAGTAGCATTGATTTCAGCAGGTCTCAGGTTTCACACTATAAAATTGTGATGGTTTTATTGACCAATTAACATAGGTTAATGATGATTGTTTTTATGAAAGTTGGTGGGTCACCCTCTGGACAGCGGGCTGAACAGTGTCATCTCAGTCTTAATCATAGATCATAAAATGTTAGCTCTGGAACGGTCTCAGAAGCCACGTAGTGCAACCCTCTTGGTTAACAGAGGAGAAAACTGAGGCCTGGAGAGGCTAAACCCTGGATTCAAATGGCCAGCAGGATTGGGAGAGACATGGAAACACCCAGAACAGGCATTTCTCTTAAATAATTCCATCAAGAAACTCTGATCTCTTTCCATAACCACAAAACTTAGGCCTTCCAAATGCTAGGTGCAAAGATGATGCTGTGATGGGATTTGTAAGGCCACCTTGAGGAAGTGGATATTTTAAAGGCTAGATGACCTCTAAAATTTTGATCAATTTTGACATTCATCGTAGGGCATTATGTGCATGAAATACAGGACACTATATTATAATAATTTACTTGTTTGTTTAAATTATTTCTCCTGGAAAGAAGCTCCTTAAAGAAAGAAACTGTGTGACCCATCTTTGTTTCTCCTGTAGCCTTGCATATAGCATGTTCTTGATAAAGGATCCTCTGATTGAGTGAATGGCTGAAGATTTTTTGGAAGCCTGTGATGAAGAGTAACCAGGTCATTGACACAGAGGGCAGAGTGAGTTTCAGAGCAGAGGAGACTCTCATGTGGTTAGCGAAACTTAAGGAAAGATCAGATGTATGTGGAGACGGAGAAGGATTTGTGTTGAATAGAAATAATGACAGCTGCAGTCTAAGATTTTTTCTAGGAAAAAAAAAAACTTTCCAAATCCCATTTAGAAAGTCTGTATAGACAAACTGTGACATGGTACCACCTTGAGCAGTAAGAATAGGTTTTACAGATTAGGACAAGGTCAGGCAAACAAACAGCCCAAAGCCATGCCATCAGCTCGAAGCAGCTCTGCCCCAGCCTGCTGCTCTTCCTGGGCCTGGCTCACCCCTGCACATGGGACAAATCCTTACGCTGCTACAAAGAAACCAGCATGAGAATCCGAGGTCCACTATGTCTCAGAAAAAGGAAGAGAAATGTGAGAATACATTTCCATTTGGTTCACACTTCCGTAGACTGCATTTTTCCTGCCCCATATGCAAGGCGCAAAGCCCCTGGACCTCCCAGCCATCACCATGTGTCTGCCATCTGGCGGTTGTGTTCTCACCTGGAAGCTCCAGTTGCACCTGGGCCAGAGGACCCTGGCTGCTGGCACTTCCCTTCTGCCTGGCAACCTCCTGCTCTGAAACGGGGTAGTGGTGCTGACGGATTTTTTTAATTTTACTGGATCCTGCTCAAGGTTGGTGATCTGAGCCATCTTAATCATCCTAATGAGTTTGCAGGTGTTACTTCTCATTGGAAACACATATTCAGTGCTATCCATAATGTGTTGGTTTCCACACAGTGTGCTTAGGAGACAGGGGCTGTATCCCCAGGGTGATAATAGAAAATTAAATCTGTTCCCAGGGCCCCTTGTTGGCACTGAAAGAGCACGGAGAAGAGCCCCTGCATTTATAGGGGATTGCTTCCACCTGCGGGCATTTCCTTAATGCTCCTCCCTTCACTTCCTCCTTCCGTTCTCCCTCCCATCTTCCTTCCAGCTCTTCTTCCTCTCTTCTATTCTCCTCTACCTCCTCTTCTCTTTCTTCCTTCCTCTCTTTCCCTTCCTTCTTTCTTCCCCTCCTCAAACATTTATTGAGCACCTACTTAGTATGAGGCATGACATTAGGGGGATGTTGTGGACGGATGGGATACAAAAGTTGATCGAATCTGGCCTCTTTTCAGGAGGAATTCGCCAAATTGAGTCATAAAGAGAGAAAGCAAAGTTGTGCACAAATTTAACTGTCCCAAACTCCCATAGAGAATCCACTAAGTGTCACAAAGTGAGTCCGGGGAAACTGGGGTGTTTCCTCAGAAGCTCAAGTGCAGTTGGGGGATCAGAGAAGCTGTCCTGCCGGGCATAGCATTTGAGCTGGTCCTCAAGGATGGGTGCATCCCTGGATTCTCCACATCCAGAAATGGATTTTTCCTTCCCTAACATCCACAGCATTTCATCTCCTCCTCCAACGACATCTGCGTGGCTCCGGCTGCTCTGTGGGTGCCTTTCCTCTCCTCCCGAAGGCAGCCCTGGCTGCCCCCTCCTGCTATGGCCTCTGGGCCTTGATACCCTGAGACTCACACAGAACTGAGATTCCTACCTCTAGAGGTTTCAAATGCAATACAATATGGCTGGCATGGACTTTTATATTCAGGAAACACAGACAAGATAGTATACATTTTGAAAATGGACTTTAAAAAATGTCAGCCATATATATTATCTCAACAGAGAGAGAGAGAGAGGTGCAGTTTTTAAAAGGAGATAAAAATACCTGATGCGTATAGCTTCCAAAGAGGAATGGTGCCCTTTGGGAGGATTTGGGAAGCAGCCTTGAATTAGTCAGCCAATCTGGGAGGGCTTCATGGAGGAAGGTGGGCTTCAGGGACTGACAGGGCAGCTTGAGCTGCAAGGTTAGGATGGGAGTCTAACTGGGCATGTGGCACCCACTAGACTGGGGTTCTGTGAGGGCAAATACTGTGCCTCAGATTCTCCTGTTCCCACAGTAGCCAGTCTGAGGCCTGGCACATGCAAGAACAAGCTCTGAAGGAATCATATGGGAGAAAGCTTACTGGCAGGGCAAGACAGTCAAGGAAGTAGAGAGTGACAGTAATCGGAAGGGGCTGGAAAGATGGGCTGGGACAGAGCATGGGCAGAGGGAGGCCGGGCCACGAAGGCACCCTTGCAAAGGGCTTTGAGAAAGGGCATTCACAAAGGCAGCCAGTCTTGGGCTTTAAGGAATTCAATGCCCTGTCGGGGCTTTGGGTGGGGACAATCCAAATGATTGGCTTCATGAGCCTAGAAGCGGCTCTGCCCATGTAGCACCCCTGTGACTTTGGGCAGGTCCCCTCCCCTCATCTGCATTCCCTCCTCCTCATGTGGTCTGGCTCCCTGGGAACCCATGGTGGTGATAAGGTCAGAACAGAGTGCAGTGGGTGACTTGGGGGCCGGAAAAGGAGGCTGTGGTCATCACTGAAGGAAGACAAAACAAGGACATGCACCAAGGAACTGACACTGGGACCATCGAGAGAGAGGTCACAAGCTATGAAGTCTGAAAACTGATTCATTTTTCAAGAGTCGAGACTAAAACAAGAGGAGATAACAACAGTAGCCATTTATTGGGTATTTAATATGTCCCTAGTGCTACATATACATTATCTACCTGATAAGAAAGGAATGTTACATATACATTATCTACCTGATAAGACAGGTATTATTATTATCCTACTTTATAGATGGGGAAACTGAGGCTTAGAGAGGTAAAATGATTGTTCAAAGTTAACACTGTTAGTAAGTGGTAGAGCTAAAAATTGGAGACTTGATTTTTTACTCTTGCTAGAGCTCTTAGCCATTGCTTTATTCTGTCTCCCATAAGTAGATTCACTCGTGAGGCTTTATTTGGATTTTGAATGGCGACATATCATGGTTCTTCATGAAGCAAAGGTGGACAGGCATGTGTAGTGCTCAGGGTACATTGTGCCGGGAGAGCAAGAACCTTGGGAAGGAGAGCTGGGGATTTGCCATCAGAAGAAAGTGAAGAATAGGAGGCTTTCTCATTTGTAAAGCACTTTCACAGCTTTTGCCTTAATCCATTCTCGTGACAGCCTTGGGAGTTAGGCATGGATTTTTTTTAAAATCCCCATTTTCCAGTTGAGAAACCTGAGTCCTGGAGAGGTGAAAAGAATTGCCCAGGGTCATCTAGCTGGTACATGGCAGGAGAGCGGAACCTGGTTCTCTTTTCCCTGGGCTCTGCTGCTTGTCAGGGTTGGACATGAGATCCCCAGAGAAAGCCCACATTGCTGGAGGGTTAGAGGGGAGGGGGGGCAGAGCAGGTATGGCTGGGGTCCTAAGAGCTGAGGTGAGAGAAGTTCTGAGGCATGTGACCTCATCTTCAAAGTCCCAAGCAGGGCAGGGGGCTGGGGCTGAGGGTCTGAGAGCGGCATAGCCTGAAGTCCAGAGCTAGAGGACAATGCCAATGGCAAGGAGCCCAGAAATGAATGGGCCACCTCGAATGGAGTGCTCTGTGGGGTGCCCTCTCCAGAATCTAGGGGGTAAGGAGAAGGTCCAGCAGGAATCATGGGTTTGGGTCTCTGCCATTCCTAACTCCCTGGTGCCTCAGGCATCGACGGGCAGGATGCCTGGAGGCCATGGGCTGCAGCGGAAGGAACACATGCTTTGGAGACAGATTGCTCTGGATTCAACCCCTGGTTTGATCACTTCCTGCCTGTGATTTTGTGTCTCAGTTGCCCTTTCCATAAAATGGAATAACAGCTTTTTTTTAGTCATAAGTTGTGAATAAGTGAATGCATATTCACAATATCAAATGACTTATTCATTTCATGAGCTCAACATGTGCCAGCACTGTGCCAGGATAGTTCTGTGGGCCATGCAGACAAGGTCCCTGTCCTCATGCAGTTTACTTTGGTGCCCAGCACAACATAGGCCCCTAAAAGCACCACTTCATTCCTCCCATCTGTAAAGTTACCTGATTTCTGTCCTGCAGTGCCTGGCTCCATGCCAGTAATCAGGAAGGAGAAAGGGGTGAATCAGAGAAGCAGAACCTCAAACTTTGTTCTGAGCCCACAGTTTCTGAGCTAAGCAGGAGCCAGAGGTCAGCAGGGTGAGGCTGGGGGCTGGGGACCAAAGAGGAGGGTTGGCACGTCATATTCCTCCTTATCTGACTGCCCTTGCACCAGAGCCCAGAGAGTTTGACAATGATGATCTCAGTAGTGTTCAAAGCTTCCCGAGGGAGGCCAACAGCAAAGCAGAAAGCACTGGAGTGTGCTTGTGTTGACAGCTGCCGGATCAGAGGGCCTGGCTTGGGATCACAGGCTGCGGGGGTGGTGAAGCAGTGTGCAGATTCTGAAGCCTGGCACCCCCACCCGGGGCCCCAGGAGCCAGGTTCACCCACACAGAAACTCAAGGGAGGCTGCGTTTCCTAATCAACAGCCTGCACCGTGTGGTAGATGCTTTTCCTGTGGGTCATCTCTTTAAATTCTCCCAAGCCTGAAAAGAGAGATTATTGTTCCCATTTTCGAGATCAGAAAACTGAGGCTCAGAAGAGTGAAGTAGCCTGCTTAAGAACGCATGTCTTCATCATAATAGTTGGTATGCAGGTTTCCCTCCCTGTCTCCATCACACACACACACACACACACACACACACACACACACACACACACACACTGCAATGACTGTCTCTCTAGGCCGGCTAACAGTGGACCAAGATGAGCCCATCCTTGCCTGCATCCTGCATCAGTCCACCGGGAGCAGGCAGCAGGGATAAGGATGGGGAGGACGTGGTCAAGGAGTCGGACTACAGGCACCCCTGTGGCTCAGGGCATAGAGGGGGCTCAGGACACATGGAGCACCCCCTCGCCCACATTCCTTTTCCGGGTCTGCCTCTCTACCAGACATCTCTCCTTCCTCCTTTTTTGCATCCTCTTTGGATTCATTTTCTCCTCTCCTTTTATTTCCCCTTCTCTGCTTCCTGATTCACCCCTTGCTGTCTTTTCCAGTCTTTTCCGTTCCTCTCTTCAGTCTCTCCCTCTCCCTTTGCTTCCTTTCTCTGGACTCCCCTGGCTCCTTCTCCCTTTCTCATCCTCCCTCGTGTTTTCCTCTCTTTGTCTCTTCGATCTCCTTCCCTCCTTTTCCGTTTGTCTCTCCCTGGCCTGCGCCCCTCCCCGCCGCTCGCAGCCTCCCGCGCGCTCCTCCCTCGGCGCCGCCAACCCTCCCTCCGCCCCCTCGGCCCCGCCCTCCCCTCGCCAGTCTCCCCCTCCCCTCTCCGCTCTCGCTCTCCGTGATTTATTACTTGCCCTGCTGCTTCTGACAAACTATTTGTAGGAAAATGAGATTTGGTCCGCGCTGGATGGCTCCTCTGGGAGGCAGGCGTGGGGGTCGGGTGTCGGAGGCCCCGTGCGCCCCCCCACCCCCCACCAGAGCCCACGGCGCTCACGGAGCTCTTTAAGATAAATGAGCAAAATTAAGAGACTCACTGGGGGAAGAAAACACTGGATGGGAGCGAGCGAGAGCGGATGGTACTTGGTTTCCTCCCAGAAATGCATCCACGTGCGCCCCACTGGGGCCTCCCCCATCTGCTGCAGACTCCAGGGAACTTCCTCCCCTCAAAGACGAACTTCCAGCCCTGGAGCATGTTTCTTCCTTTCCTGGGATGTGGCGCTGAAAAGGGCAGAAACCTCTAGTAAGGCACAAGCAACAGATTGGGGGTGGAGCAGCAGGTCTCTTTGGAGGTGGCCTGGAAGAAACCGGACAGAGAGGATGGGAAGGGGAGAAACAGAAGAGTGTGACGAGGTGGGTGTCCAAGGGCAATGGGACAGGCAGTCCGGGTGGGAGAGTGGACCTGAGGAAGTAGCTGCAGGCCCAGACTACTTCAGCCACACCCTGATCCCCTGGGACCCTCAGGGCACAGGAGGCAGTGCTGGCTCCAACCTCAGTCCAAGGAGCTGTGGAAGCCTCAGAGGTCCTTGGCAGAGATGAGCCCTCAATTCTCACCTCAAAGGCAGCGATTGAAGTTTTCTCTTGTTTGGGTGGCAGAACTATAAGTTGTCAGAGGGCAGGTAGTGGGTCTTTGGTTTTTCTGCAGTGCCACAGGGCTAGCTTACCTTAGAGGCCATAAGTATTATTTGTTGAGATGCATGAATACAAGAATGTCTTATAAGCTCTAGGCTCAATTTTCAACTCCCACAGATGTGCAATGAAAACAATTTTCCAGACTACTTTTTTTCCCTCTTATTTTGAAAGCAATACACTTATTTTTTCCATCAAACATTAAGACAACAGAGATAAGCAACATAGAAGAAAATAATAATCACCTGTTATTCTACTACGAACAATTTGGAATTTATCTTAAGTCTCAAAATATATATGTATTAAAACACAAGGTCATATTGTAAACATTGTTTTGACCTGCTTTATTTCATTCGATGTTAAATTGTAAATACCTTTTTTTTTTTTTTTTTTTTTTTTTGAGATGGAGTCTCGCTCTGTCGCCCAGGCTGGAGTGCAGTGGCGCGATCTCGGTTCACTGCAGGCTCCGCCTCCCGGGTTCACGCCATTCTACTGCCTCAGCCTCCTGAGTAGCTGGGACTACAGGGGCCCGCCATCTCGCCCGGCTAATTTTTTGTATTTTTAGTAGAGACGGGGTTTCACCATGTTAGCCAGGATGGTCTCGATCTCCTGACCTCGTGATCCGCCCGCCTCGGCCTCCCAAAGTGCTGGGATTACAGGCGTGAGCCACCGCGCCCGGTCCCTTTTTATATCATGTTAAATATTTCTTCTAAAACAAAATTTTAAGTTGTTACAGTGATTTTTTATAGGTTTGTATGCTCTATGGATGATTTTTTTTAACAAGGCACATATTTTTGTTCATTTTGATTGTTTCTAAATTTTTGCTATTATCAAGATTTCCTAACTTTTGCATTATTCAGATTTTTTTTTTTTTTTTTTTTTTTTAGACGGAGTCTTGCACTGTTGCCCAGGCTAGAGTGCAGTGGCGTGATCTCCTCTCACTGCAAGCTCCGCCTCCTGGGTTCACGCCATTCTCCTGCCTCAGCCTCCCAAGTAGCTGGGACCACAGGTGCCTGCCACCACACCCGGCTCATTTTTTGTATTTTTAGTAGAGATCGGGTTTCACCGTGTTAGCCAGGATGGTCTTGATCTCCTTACTTCGTGATCCGCCCACCTTGGCCTCCCAAAGTGCTGGGATTACAGGTGTGAGCCACCGCACCTGGCCTAGATCATCCCATTTTTATCATAGTCAGTGTCTTAGTCTGTTTTGTGTTGCTGTAACACAATACCACAGCCTAAGAAATTTATAAAGAAAATTTTTTTTGTTCTTACTCTTCTGGAGGCTGGGAAATCCAAGGTTGGGGGCTGCATCTGGTGAGGACCTTCTTGCTGTATCATCCTAGCCGGGAAGGAGGAAGGGGAAAAGAGCAGGAAGGAGCAAGAGAGAAAGCAGGGCAGACTCATCCCTTTTATCAGAAACCTGCTCCATCAATAACTAACTCCCATGATAACACCATTAATCCATTAACGAGGACAGAGCCCAATAACCCTTAAATATCCATCCTCTTAACACTGTTGCATTGGAGATTAAGTTACCAACATTTGAACTCTGGGGGACACATTCAGACCATAGCAGTCAGTTATAAAAGCGTGATTTATGCTTTTTCCTAGTTTCATAAGCATAAGATGTGACATATTTTAATAGCTGACAATTCTACAGGGCCTGATCTGAGTTCCTAGCCTAGATCAGCCTTTCTAGAACTTTGTAGATTTTCAAAGATGACCAGTTCTGCAAGCCAGGGTAATCTGGCATGTTCTGGAAGCAAAGGAAGTGGATATGGCTTCAGCCATAGGAAACAAAAAAGATATGATATTTAAAGAAAAAGATTATTCAGTTCAAATCTTCCTAAAACATTTACGAAACAAATGTGCACCAAGTTTTAATACTGGGTGAAGTTACCTCTGATTGGTGTTAACTATGTTATGTGAGGATACCAATTTCAAAGTATATGAAAATGTAAAACTTGAAAATGGTGGAGTCATCCTAAGTATTACTTCATAAAATACAAGTAGAGAAGAAAAAGAAGATTTGACATATAAAGATACGAGAGAAAAACACTCAAAATTATGTGACCTCACACAGGTAACCCTTTCAAGTGATGGGGCACTTTTCAAGTGGAAGCTTTCCTCCCTGCCTTGAAAACAAGAATGTGTGACTGGTGTCCATTTGTATGTCTGTCTGTCAGTCTGGAGTGTGTGGTCTTAGGAAGGCTGGAAGATGATGCAAAACACTTTGATCATTTGTTCTTTGCGTTTCTGCTGCTATTAGCACTTGCATGTGCTGTACTGAGACTTCTACTGACACAACTCCTCCAATCAATGTATTTCTTGGAGGACACCTTACTCACTTGTTCTAAACTTCAGTGTCCTGGGTCTCTGAGTGGCTCTCTAGGGCAGTAACGGTGGGAGGGCAGAGTTCACAAACTATGTTCAATATTTGGAAAGGACTGATTACCTACAGTAAAGTGACTTGGGCTAGTAAAATGTCAGGTTTCTTTGCTTTGGGTTGATTTATAACAACTCAATTTGGGAATACGTACTATCTCAATGGATTGCTCTGATTGGCATTTTTCTAGGTCCTTGATTTATAAATGAAAGGGAGAACTGATTATTCAATAAATACAGTCTATTTTTCCTAATTATGTAGGAAATCATGTCTTTGTAATAAAAGGAGTGTTTGATAGAATGAGCTCATGAAGAAGAGTGTAGTGTTCAACTATAGTTCTCTCTACTCCCCAGATGCCATTGGGGTAAAAGTTACCCAAACAAGAGAAGATTCTGTTGACCCTGAAGTTGAAGTATGGTGGAGATTTTCTAGAAAAATCCATTCAAATCTTTTTCTCTCCCAGATCATGAAGGAAAGAGGAGGCGTCTACTGAATGTAAGGTAGAGCCAAAGGCATCTATTGATGACTGAAGAAGAGGCATGAATATGACAAAAACAGGAAGGTAGGCCAAAAAAGATGATTCATAGATGATTCAACATGGAGGCCCCAACCTTATTTTATTAGTAAAAAAAGATGTGGTGGCAAGTGTATGGGGAGAGAAAAGAAATTAAAACACCATGATCCTTTTAATACAGTCCAAGATTTACTCTGCATAATCCAGTCATATTTTTGACAGTAAATTCATAGCTCCTCTGTCCCCAGTAACAGAACGGTGATCTTTATGGGGCCGGCGTGAGGAAGCTGGCGGGCACGGCCCCCGTCACATTAAACTGTCTCAGTGAAGAGGCAATTTGTTTGATATTAAGAGTTATAAAAATATCAGCACAGAGCGGTTATGCCAGGGATATTGCACAAGCCAATCTGAATTTTAATGTAGTGTGAGCAATAAGCACCGCATTCCTGAGCTCCTGCCACACTCCCTCTGCAAATATTTGAAGAGAAAAAGACAGAGGTTTTGAGTGTCTTGCTCTTTTCCACTTGTGCTTCATGCGGGCTTGCTCATCACCAGATGTGTGGGAGCTGGCAAGGGTTTCCAGGTGCCTGGAAGGGGGGTTCTCAGGAAGCCCCACACAGGAGATCCAATGGCATCCCTGGCATCGTGTGCAGAGAGAATGGGGTCGGCTTCCTAGCACCTCTGTTCGTGCCCCTCACTCACTCAAGGTGTCATCTAGCAGCCAGGACTCAGCTCCTCCACCCAGTGTCTCCTGATTTTCATCCCAAGTATTCTTTAGTGTCTTATTCCAATGGAACGCCATTGCCCAAGCATCCCACTCCCCTCCCCATCCTCTAAGTCCACCATAAAATGCCCTTCTTATCTTCTTACTGTGCCCCCATCACACCCCGTCTCTTTAGCCCATAGGTGTACACTCTGACCTCTCCCCTCAGGCCCTTCCATCAGTTTTCTCATTATTTCCCTTTACCGCCATTCCTCTCCCTTCACCTCCCAGTCACCTCTTCCCAGCCTCTTCTCCCATAAATATCCATTTAACCTTACAGATAGATCTTTCTGAAACATGCTAACCAATTAATTTCACTTCCACAGGGTGCCTACTCTGTGTCAGGCATTGGGTAGTGGCTGAAGGAGACACAAACATGAACAACACCTGGTGGTCTCTGCTCTTCAGGGACTCACAGTCCAGTTGTGAAGGGGAAGAGGGGGTGCCAGAGGTGATGGGGGTGCCAGACAAGGATTCTGGTCATTTTTACTTTGAGGACAGAGTGAGATAAGATCCCCAGGAGAGGTCCAAACACAGGCAGTAAAGGGCCTAAGAAGGAGAGATGTGTCTGAAGAGGGGAAAGAGAGAACATATCATGGTGGCGACTGGCTATGCCTTCAAGAAGGGGTACAGTTGGCAGGTGGCAGTTGGAGAACTGGGCAGAGAAGAGTCTATCTTAGGCAAAGCAGAGAAATGCTCTGATGGGGGAATTCATGGGGAATTGTTAAGAAATAGTGAGTCATCCAGCTTGTCTGACAGGGCTCAGAGAAGTGCAGGGACATGCCCAAGCTAATGAAAAGGTGAGTCCGATATAGCATGCTGTTTGTCTGATTCCCAGTTCAGAATGCTCTTCATTACACCACAGCAGTAATTCTCAAGGTGTTAGCCTGAGACTCCTGGACTCCTTGAGATCCTTTCAGGGTGTCTGAGAGGTCAATGCTGTTTCAAGGTCGTTTGCCTTTGCTTTCTTATTTACCTCCGGGTGTACAGTGGGGCTTTTTACTGTGCATTTGGAAGATCTTTGTAACTCAGTGATCCAACATTTTCCAAGTGACCAGTGCATGATATTACAAATCATGCATGGGTGAATCATCCGCTCAAGGCCTCTCTCTCTCTCTTCTTCTCTCTCTCTTTCTCTCTCTCCTGGCTCTTGCTCTCATTCTACCCACCTCCATCACATCAGGCTTATCCTTGAATCCTTTCATCTGGAAGTTTATTTCCTTCCCCTTTCACCCAACTTCCTTTCTGCAGCACCTTCCACTGTACTCCCTCACTCCCTTCCTTCCCAGATTCCAGATCTAGGCTACTTACATTTCTCAAGCCAGCCTCCATTTCTCCATCTTCTGTTATCCCTCAAACTCCCTCTCCAATGTTTCATAATTCTTTCACAGGCATGGTCTCCGTTTCTTCTAGAGTTTTTGGAGGCTATCTATGCTTCTTAACTTTGGTCACCAGCTTCTCAAAAGTTCTTATTTGTTGCTGCAATGATAGATAAGTGTTCACATTTGTGAATTATGCTCATCACTTTTGAAGTTATGAGAGACTCTTCTGAACCTCCCAGCCCAGCCCTGGGTCCAACTTAGTGCAAACAAGGAGGGGTGTCCTGGCTCTGATGGAGGGAGCATGGGCTTGGAGACAGGCAGACCTGTTGCAGAGCCAGCTTTGCCACAATCTAACAATGTCGGTTTAACCAAGCCACTCCATCCCTCTGAGCATTAGGCCCCGTGTTTATTGAGTGAAGATAATAATACTCACCCTGCAAAGTTCTTATGAAAATTCAATCAGAATATACACATATGGCAGAGAGTAAGTGCTCATGTAGATTCACTATTATTATCAGAAAGAGACATGATGGCAATCAGTGAATGTGAGTGGTCATTACAAGGCATTTAATTATTTGTCTTGATTATTACAAATTAAACTATAACCTAAATCACTAGTTCTCCAACTTACACAGCACAATCACTTGGGCAGCTTGTTGAATATAAGGAGGCCCCAGATATTCTGATTCAGTAGTTTATGAGTAGAGTCTTCACATCTATAATTTTAATGAACTGATGTATACCAAACACTGGCCCATATATTTTCTGAGTTTTCTGGAATCTTAAATTTTCCCACTATTTAATGAGATTATTCAGTTCTTAAAAACCTACACAGCTTGTGTTTGATGATCTTTATTAATATCTCACAGGTTTTCATTCATTCTTTCATTCATTCACTCACATGCATTCTTTGTATTGAACTAATGGTTGCAATATCTCACCAAACTGTCCTCTGCATAACCCACTAGCCCCTGCCTCCCACCCCTTCCGTCTTTCACAGAGCATGGTGTGCAGTGGAGCCAAGAGACCTTGGGCACTTTCTTTAATATTATCAAACCTCCTATTTCTTTGCTTTTGCAGTGAGGACAGCACAATCTCATGGGGACATTGTGAGGATCGTCCAGGCTAATGTGTGTGTGGGCCTTCTGTGATGTGCCACCCAAATGCTACTTCTAACCATTTTCTTTTGTGGAAAGCCCAGGTGCTTATTCATGTAAAAGAGGGATTGGACTTGCCAGTCTCTGAGGCTTCCAGTGTTTTTGTACTTACTCAAACTCTCCATCGCTCCAAGGACAGTGCTGGCTCAGGATGGGCTGAGTGGACACCAAAGTCTGGCCTCTCCTCCCCCTCCCATTCAATCCTGACCAAACAGCACCTGCACTGTCTATACTCAGCTTTTGCAAATATGCTCAATGCTTTGCAAGCCTGTTGTCTTTTTTATTCTTCCTACATAATTGTTTGGACTTGCTTGATGTACCTTGAATGGAGGATTCTTTATATAATCTAAATGCTTCTTCACCTCACTACCTGTGGGTACAATGAGGTCACAAGGGACTCTGTGCTTGGCTCCTGGGACTGGAGAGGTGTGGCTAGGAACTTGAGGCCACCACCTTCTGCCATCCTCCTGTGGCTCCTCCTAGCCATCTCAGGTGGTACTCTGGGCTTGCCATGATGCTTTCATGAATCTCTTTGCTGTGCCTCTTGCTTGTTGTATGTCACCATCATCACTCTGCTCAGGCTGCCCCTTGAAGTGTGGCCACCACCACTTTCTCTGGACAGCTATTATCTGAACATCTACAGAATGGGAAGGGAAAGGCTTCTCTCTTCCTTTGTGACTCCTTTACAGGGATGCCTGAGCTCCAAGATGTTCCAGCTCTTTTCACTTTGCATATGCACGACCTTTTCTCTGCAAGGAGGCTCAAGCAGTGTTGGCCTCATTCTATGCAGAAACATTTCCATTTACTGCTCAGGTCCTGTTTCCAGATTGGTTCATAATGGTGGCTTCTTTCCCTTGGGATCTATCTCCTAAAGTTCATCACTGCAATTTGGCTTTCATGAAGGCATTGCCAATGTCATCAGACATGTCTGTATATGTCCAAATCCCAAATTGTTTGTTTGTTTGTTTTTTGGAAGCTTCCCAGCCCTGCATAAATCAGTTGGCACAAACAGACTGAGGTGTGGGGTGCAGGGAGCCCAAAAGCTTATCCGGGACATAGAGTTATACCCAGAAAGCATGCTAAGGTGGGCAAAATCCTCTCTGCCATTCTTCAAGTGAGAAGCACCTACAGGTAGGATCGGGTAATTAGAGTGTGCAATGGAGGTGGATGGTGAAGAAAATGGCCTGCCCTGCCTATATGAAGAGTTATTGTTTCTTTCTTTGTCATTTATTTATTTGGGAAATAGTACCATAGGGTCAGCATTGAGAGAGCAGGAAGCTTTGAAGTGTTTTCCAGAGAGTGATGAAGGAGAAGCCAGGGAACACAGAATCAGGAGAAGCCAGTAGGTGGGTGAGGCCAGGACCCTCTGCCTCCTGCAGGCAGGCTGTGGAGCTCAGCAGTGATTCCTGTCATGGGCGCTTCCCCAGCTGTTGTGTGGAAGCCACTCAGTGAACGGCTGTGGCCCAGAATCAGGAGAAAGGGGGAAGGAGTGAGGGTGTAAAGGTAGTGGAGGGGGGTAAAATTTCTAGATTAGTTTCAGGGATGCAATAAACTTGATGAATTGAGAAGAGCCTCCAGTCTGTCTTCAGAATTATTGTATTAATTGCAAAGGTATGATAAGCACAGAGGATCCTTCTCCTCAAGGAAAAGGAGATGTGGCATCCTTTACTCATCTCTCATCCCACACTCACTGCGTGCTCTCTGTGACATTCACTTTCAAGGCCCTCTCTGTCAGGGGACTGGCAGGACCTGCACTTGACTGGTGTTGGTGAAAAGTGGGAAGGAAGACCACCCGCTGGTGCTTCCAGTGCAGAGTCCAAGCCTGGATCAGGAACTGCTGTGAGAAAAGAGAGTACAGAGACTGGGAAACCTTGCTGAGAAAGAACAGACAGGAGTCAAAGAGGGAGTGAACGCCAAGCAAAGAGAAAAATGAAGAGCAATGACCGTGCGGTCCTAAGGCTAATTGTGTTGCTAGCAATAACTGGGAAGTTGGGAATGGGCTCTGGCTTGGAAGGAAAGATAACAAGCTTTGCTTCAGACAAGTTTTGTTGCAGGGGTTGGAAGGCCAACCAAATAGAGATCTTTCATAGACAATAAGAAATATGAGATAGGAGAAGGACAAGGGGTCAGGGTTTGAGAGTAGGCCGAGCAGCTGTCAGATAATGAGAGCAATGCCGGGTTAGTGAGATAATTCGTTTGTCTGCTTAAGAAACATTCATTGACTGCCTACTGTGTGCCAAGCATGGATCTGAGCCCTGGGAATACTACAGTGAATCAGACAGGGAGGGCATCTTGAATGATTTGTACAGAGGAAGAGAATAAGTGCTGTCAAGTCACGAATGGGGCCGGGGGAAGGAGAGAGCATCAGTGTGGGAGGTCAGCCTGGGATGCAGGAGGCCAGGAGAGGAATAATAGCATGATGGATCAGCTGGGGCCTGAGCAGACCTGCATATAACAGAAAATCCAAACAGTGGAAGCCTAAACAAAGCAGGACTCTATAAGTATTTCACAAAGCAAGAAATGTGGAGGCGACCATCCAGCTCTGGTTCAGGAATGCCATCAAGCAGAGGACCAGGCACTCTGCCCCCCAGAGCTGCATAGGCAACTGCCTGCATCGTGTGATCAGAGAGTCAACCATGGTCCCCTGTCCCCAACTTCAGAACCTTGCATTTCTTCCTTCTCTGGTTTGAGGTTGTGGTTTTCAAAGTGTACTCTGTGGTGCCCTAAGGAACTGTGGACATATCTCAGGGGTAGCCATGGGGACTAAAAGGCCAGCCAAGGGGGCTGGTCCTCAGGCACAGTTGGCCACATTTTAAACACAGCCTTTATCATAGTTATATTATATATGATTATATGCATATATTAACCCCAATTGCTCTTTCTCAGAAGAGTCCCTAAAAATGTTTCCTAGAGGAACAGTTTGCCTGAATAGCTTTCTAGAGTGAGCAGGGGCTCATTTGTGAAGACTACCCACTGCTGCCAGAGGTGTGGTCTACCAAGGCACTGGATAATGTGTACATATATGTGTGTATGCATGGGCATGTGTGTGCATGTGCTGCATATGCACTCATCTGTGTGTCTTTCAGTGCCATGTACCTTTCCTCCCCTCAGTGACCTGAGTCCTTCCCTCCCTGACGATGTCTGCATCCTACCCCCGAAAACATCCCTTATCCATTCCATATCTGGGGTCTTCTTTCCCATTCTTGTCCTAAAGCACAGTACCATGTTGTAAATTTATTTTAGAACTTGTAGCTTTGGGGCATTTGAGGTGGGGACAGAGGAGAAGAAACAGGCAGGGAGAAAGGGAGTCTAGAGAAGAGGCACAGGATGCCAAGTCATGCTTGCTTCCAGGGAGGAAGCCTGGGCTGCTGGAATTACAGTTGTGAGACCATGCATTGTCCAGTCTCCGTGTCAGTACCATCACTCTCCTAGACTTGAGAAGGGACCTCACATTTGGTAAGAGTAAACTGTGTGCCTGACATTGTCCTAGGGGCTCTCCTATAATCATTTACTCTTCATACCAACCCTGCAAGACAGGCAATTTTACCCTCATTTTATAGATGAGGAAGACTTGCTTCATTTATATTTGAAGGCTGCTATGAAGGCCAAAAGAAAATGTGTGGAAGAAAAATTTAAAATAGGGGAGGTGTTGTCCACGTGCATGGGTTGATATCCCTGGCTAACTTTCCTCTTGACCCATAGACCAATTTAGTACCAAAGAAAATTCATCTACCCTCTTTCTGTCCCTAGCCTACTGATGACAAAAATGGAACATAGAAGGAGAAGGTCCAGGAAGATTCTGTATTTCAAGGGAATAAGATACAAGTCCTGCCATAAAAGCCTCCAGAGAAGCAGGTAGAAAAATAGCCAGTCTTGTGGTTGAACTGAAGGTGCACGATATAAGCTCTGGCTGGTGACTTTGTTTCTCCAAGCTTTAGTTTCTTTATCTGTATAATGGGATCATAATAGGACCTGCCTCATCGGGTTGCCGTGAGGAGTGAGTAAGTGAATGCACATAAAGAAATTGGCAGTGTCTGCCATGGCGATGGCTTAGTAGCTGTTAGCTTCAGTTATTAAGGTTTACAGATGAGGAAACTGAGGGACACTTTCCCTAAATCCCAAGCCCGGAGAGTTCAGACTGATCTCTCTCTCCTTCTCCTGCTCAGAGCCTGGCTCCCTGGAGCCCTTTCTGTTGTTTACACATGTGTGTGGGAAGTGCTGCTGGGGAGGGTGTGTGAACAAGGCTTTATGGCTAAGGAGGGATTGGAGTCATGTTTCCCTGTGGGTCTCATTTCCCAATCTGGCAAGGCTTATTCAACTCCCCACTTTCCTCACTGCCCCTCCCTGCCATCCTCCCTGTCGCTCCCTTTGTGAAGGGCCTGTTTCGACTCCTGGCTAGGAGAGTAGCAGTTGGGAATCCCTTCTTTTTCTAAATTTCTAATTTTATTATAGTCTTTTATAACTGTCTCAAGAGTCATCCTCAGGGACGATATTTCCCCTATTTTGTCACAGACTCAAACTAAGATTCTTAAAAGTCTCTTTAACTTTAACTTTGAAAAAAGATCCATGGAATTATTTTAAAGGAAGGTGAGTATGAATAAGAAAATGTGAAAGAAAGTGTTAGGAATGGGGAGAGAGAGACAGAAGTTTCTACACTGGTTGATGTAAGATCAACAAGACCCTATGGAATTGAGCCATTTGTGGAGACCCTCAGGAGGGAGAGATGGCCCAGGACAGTGCAGAAAGTGTGGGGTAGGTGGGGTGTGTGACCGGGGTCCTAGGTCTTCCAGTAGTTTGACCCTGGTACTTTCCACAGAACTGAAATATGGGTGTCTCAGGAACCTACTAATATGAAGGGTTTGAGTGGAAATCTCCTGCCATAGTGGCTTGAGAAGACTCCAGGGAAAGGTAACCCATTTACTCACAGCAGCCATTAACGTTCAGACCCAGAGGAGTTTAGCAGATTAGCTCTAGATTTATAAGACCCAGGAAAGTGGATACTGGGCTGACCAGGAAGGGATGGGGCTGAGGGAAAAGAGGAGACCAAGCCTGCTGGACCGAATTTGGAGGCACCGGTGACCCCCTGGGGGAGAGGCAGATTTTGTAGGGTCTTCATTTTCTTCTGGGGCCAGTCCAATTATCTTGGGTGGTGGGTCTGCTAATGGAGGTGGGTTGGCTTGTGGAGGACATGAGAAGGGAGAGAGATCAGGATATTATATTTAAGGAATTATGTTAAAGGGTAAAATCTAGAAGCCATAGTCTAAAAGAATTTATATTTAGTTGGGGAAAATCAAAGGATGCAGAAAAGAAAACAAGACAAGGAAATTCTGGTTGTGCCTAAATCCCAGGAACAGGTGCTCAGACCTAAAGAGCTGCTGCCAACCAGAGCTCTTGGTGGACTGACTGATGGCAAGGTGTCCGACTTCTTAGGGTCTCTTGAAATTCCTTTCTTTTGATGCCACACAGAGGCTCTAAGAGAGGAGGTCCTTGTTCTGACACCCTGAGGGTGGGCTTTGAACTCTGCCTCCCCTTCACTATCTCATCCTTGGGAGCACCCCAGGCTTCCTGGACTCTCAGGGGGTAAAGCCAAGATTCCCAGGTGGGACCTCTCATCTTTGGGGAATGCCTGCCCCACACACCGAGCCTGAACTTAGAGCACACAGCTGTAGGGTGTCCTGAGTTGATCTAAGGTATGAGCATCTGCTAGGGTTATTTTATTATCTCCTCTGGCCTGAATGATTACTCTCTGTATTTAAACAAACATAAAAAGGTAAAACAAAAATAACAAAACAATGTATTCTCAGTCTTGCATCTCACCAGTCTGTAGGTTCGGATAATGACATGTGAATCATAGCTTTGAGCCTTGCTACCTTTGAGCTCCCACCTGCTTCACAGTGTCTTACTGAGTTCCCTCCTCCCAAACATTCTTGGACTACCCATGGGGTAGTTGCTAGAGGCTGTGCAGTCCGAGCTACCATTTGATGCTGGCTTCTGTTACTTTGGCCTGTCACCTCTACTATTGAGCAAGAGTCTTTGTTTGTCCCAGGATTGCCACGATAAGGGGCTCTCTCTGTCATCCCAAATTGCTGCCAACTGGCTCAACCACTGGTGTTCGTAGGAAGTGAGAACATTGTGTCCCCGGTGCTTCATTGAGGAAGATCTCAAAATAGCTTTGTCTGTACCTCAAAGGGTCACAATTTAGTGGGACAAAATTTAGTCAATTTACAAACGCACAGACGTTTCTTCTCTTTGTGTCTTTTGGATAGCTGAATGGGGACGAGTTCCTAATGTTACTCAAATGCTGCACACAGAGCCACCGTCACCCTAAGCCCCAGTCCTGCTGCTGTGTCTGGTTCACCTTGGCAGACTTTCTTACTTTCAGTGAATTATCTCACAGGGTTCATATCATTCCTTTCTGCAAATGGGCTTCCATAAGGAAACACCAAGTAGCTCACCAGACATGTCTACTTATGTGCAAACTCCTATAGAATCAGTTTAAGATTTTTTTTGAGCAATATCTCATTTCTGCTGTAATCAAGGGATCACATAGATTTTTGAGAGAAAGGTATTTTCCAGCTCCATCTAGCAGAGTGTTCCAGGGGCTCCCTTCTGGCCCAGCTGGGACACCTAGTTATTCCAATTAGCAGCAATACCTAGGCAGAACTTTCCTGAGGACCGAATCTGCCAAGAGTTAGTCCAACACATCCACTACCACCACAAAGCCCAGGACCAACTTCCCACTCCACTATGGCTGAATAAACCATACTCCTGGGGCAAGACATGCTCCCAGATCCCTGCACTGAATTATCTCATCATGCAAGACCTCCACTATTTTGGGAAATAGTTACTGTCTTCTGTCTTATGCAACAGGGCACACTAAAGACCCAGAAGGGAGAGAACATTTACTTTAATTAGTATGGACTGTAATGCAGAGAACCTGTAGCCATGAATCAAGTATATTCAGACCAGAGTGGATCTGTCTGAGAGAAGGCAAAGATCTCCTTTTTCAGACTCATGAAGCTTCATGAAATGTCTTTTCTTGGTCACTTATTATTTATGGGCCAGGTTAATGTGCCTTATTGGATCCTTGTCATAACATCTCCACTGCCCATAACATCTTCTCCCTTTTCTTTCCTTCTTTTCTTTTCTGTATCCCTTCCTCCTTTCCTCCATTTCCTTCTGTACCTTCCCTCTCTCCTGCCTTCTACCTATACACCTCACACGCTGCTGGGTACTAGAGGGATGAGGGTTGGGTAAGGCATTGTCCTTGCCCTTGAAGGGCAAGCACATCATATGACGGGGAAGGCAGATGTGTACACAATTAACTATAATAAAATATGGTGAGCAGTGAAATGGAGATCTGCCCAAAGTGTCCTGGGAGCACGGAGGAAGGAGCAAAGAAGCTGCCTTAGAGGTCATCAGGAAAAGCTCCACTGAGAAGGTGATTTCTGAGCTGCCTTTTGAAGACCAAATAGGAATGTCGAGGTGCGTAAAAACGGGAAGGGCTTTCGAGGCAGGGAGACTGTGAAAATAGTGCATGGCATATAGTCTGATTTGGCCAGCGGATAGAGTAAGGAATGCAGGAACATTTGAACAGGTAGCTCAGGATCACTATGGGCTGGGATCTGAGTGTCATGCTTAGGAAATGGCATTTTGTTCAGTATATGGTGGAGAGCCACACACAGAATTTTTATTTGGGCAACACTTCTTGACTGGCAAGGCTCACACAGCAATACTCAAGGTGGGCAGTGAAATTTGTGTGTAATTGTGTTTAATCAATCAATGGATCGAGTTTTTATTAATGGCCAGTGTTTGCAAGGTTCTGTGTTAGCTACAGTGAGATTGCAAAAGATACATTATGATTCATATACTATAGGAGGTCAGATTCATCCTCACTTAGAAAAAGTTAAGGGTAGGGAGGGGGAGTACAATACAAGATTGTGTGGTTGAAGGGCTGAGCAAAGAAGAGAGAGCAGAGGAGTCTGAGTAGGTCTACCAGAGGAGGAGGTCTGAAGGATCAGCAAGAGGCCATTCTTCATAGGGAAGCCACATGGGCAAAGACTTACATGGAGTGTGTGTGGACAGCGAGGTGCAGCATCACAGGACCTCTGGGTGGGGAGGAACTTAAAAACCCTTCTAGAAAAACTATGCATGCCTTCCCAGTCCTACATGTGGGTTTCTTCTGTAATATCCCTACACGTGATCATCAGTCTTTGTTGGAAATATTTCAAGATGGGAGCAGATAATTTCACCTTTAGATGTCTCTGTTGGAAAGTCCTGTGGAGCCTAGCTCATGGTTTCTGGTGTTCACTGATTTCAGATATCTCCCTCTCTGTCATCAGTATCTCTCCCTGTTTGCTGCAGAGCAGCCCTTCTGATTTCCTAAACAAGCTCGGCAACCTTTTAACTTCCCCTTTTCCAGGTTGGAAACTCAGTTTCTCCAACTGTTGTTCCACAGGTTCAGCTGGTGAAAACCCTCCCTTTGATTCTCCTTTGAAGTAGGATCTGCTCAGGGCTGTGTAGTCTGGACACAGTTCAGTGGGTGGCGACTAGCCTCTGTAAAATGATGCGTTTTAAATGGTATTTTGTGAAAATGAGGTGGGGCTCAGAGTTCAGGATAGGCTGGGATGATTCAACTGCAGGAAGGCAAAATTTGGGGGACCTTGGCAGGAGTTTAGGCCTAGGACTTGGATCAGGGGTGATGGGGGTCAGGGGATAAGTAGGAAAGATGGAAGCCAAAGGTCATTTCAAAATTTTAATAAAAGAAAAGTGAGACAATGATGACTTTAAGTTTTCTAATCTGAAAGCCATGGCAATAGCATGGGCGGAAGTGGGGTGGTGGGGAAGGGAGCTGACTGGGGAACAGTTCTGAATTTGCTGCTAGAGGAGGCTGTGGGCACACTCTGGGAGCCCAGGTTCATGGTTAGATTGGAGACACGGGCTTTGGATTCATGAAAAACAGGGAACCTGTATAGGGAGTGAAAATATACAGAGGAGAGAGCCATCAAGAAAGACTCCTATAGGAAATCCTCAGCGCGCAGACTAGAAGAGCCCAAGACCCCCACAAAGGAGATAGGGACTCACTGAATTTTCTGGAGAGCAGCACTGACAACGCCTAAGTAGAGGGCTTTCAAAAGGAAAGAGCGGTTAGTGATAGCAAACGCTCAGGAGGATAAAGAAAATGAGGCCGCTGAGTTTACCTAGGGGGAAGTCAGTTTCAGTAGACTCAAGGGGGCCAAAGTGACCCTGGTGGAGATTCAGAAGGGACTGTGTGTCTGGATACCCCCTCCCAACACCCCCACCGCAGGAGAGCTACATTTCCCCCTCTCCCCTCAGCCCACTGGTCCCTCCCATTGTCTACCTTCCTGCCTTCACTCCCAATTCCTCAGTGCTGACCACCAGTTGGTGGTCTCCTTGGTGGCATGGCTGAATCACTCTTCCCCGGTGGGGAAGGTGGGGTAGTCTCTCAGCAGGGTGCAGCTCCTCAGCGGAGGCCAGGCCCACCCAGGCTGGCCAGCCCACTGTGAGAGCAGCCTGCACTGACAATGCGTCTGCCTGGCAGGTGCAGGAGAACCAAGGTGCTGCTCTGGCAATGACAGCCTCACAGGCCCCTAAGGTTGCAGCTGAACTAGGGAAATATATTTTACTTGACATCTGAATGCCATGGTTCCCAGGGGGCAGAGGGCGAGCTGGGAGAAGCTCCACCCCTCCCTCTCCCTGGCCAGCCCTTTCCCTACAGGGAAACCCCAACACCCTTGTGCATCCTGTGAACTCCCTGTTTCTATCTCCCTCAGCACCGAACAGTCTGCTTTCCCCTGGCCATCAGCTTCTTACTGCCTAGGAGCTCACTCTGGTCTACGCCAAGGGCAAATGTGTCTGCTAAAGTTAAGGGCGATTTCCAAGCTTCTTCGGCAGAGACCCCAGAATTCTAGTAATGAGGGAGACAGGTTATGCCAAGCCTGCTTCTCCCAGGATGCACTGGGAGCCTGGGAACCAGGAGGGAGGGAGGAGGCTCAGCTGAGGAGCTCAGGATTTAATTCTATGCATCATTAAGTAGTCCTCTGAAAGTGGTGTCCCCCTATACATCATCCATGCTTAGTAAACAGCACGCTGACATTACATTAGTGGCTGGAAATGAATTTTCTTTTTTATAGGGAAATTGAGAATCCGCCAAGAAGAAAGAAAGAAAGAAGAAAAAAAACCTCAAAACCAATTATCTAGGCATTTATGAGTTCCACCCTGGTCCCTCTCTCTCTCCTCTCTCACTCAGATGCAAAGAAGCATTTAATATTTAATATATTAAGAAAAGAAAGAAACTTTGATAGATTATGTGGAATCTGGCGTTAATTCTCTCTGCCCCTCCTTACTTCCTCATTCTCCCCTCCCGAAAACCCTTCGCCTCGTTCTAGCTGACATTTAAATGGATTAAGGTGTTCAGATTTCCTTAATAGTGTTGACATTTTGGAAATATTTCTGGCTTTTTTTTTCCTCTCTCTCCTCTAAATAATAATAATAATAAATAAATATTGGAATGGATATTCTCCCTCCCACTGGAAGGCGGGCTCCAGCCCTGTCCTACTCTCTAGCACTGAGGCGATTTACATTTTTCCTTCTTATTTACAAGATGAAGGACAAAGAGAAGTCAAAGTCCTCCTTGGGAGATAGTGGGCTGAGTGTGGGATCGGGGGTGCAACTGGTCAGATGGAATTCTGCTGCTCGCTAACTTATTTCCCAGACCTGCAGCCCCTTCCCCGCTTCTTCAGGGTTTGGCATAGGGGAATCTGTCTGCCTCTCCCAGGTCCTGCACTGTGCCTCCACCCTGGCTCCGTGGCTCTTCCTTCTTGTCACAGGCACCGTCCTTCCTCTTTGTAATGTGGTCGGGCTCCTTTGCAGACTTGCCCTCACTTACCAGACAGACCCGCCTGGGAGTTCCCCTTCCCTTTAGAAATATAGCCCTGTAGTCTAACGAGGAACCCAGAGAAAAGGAGGTGCATTTGATTCTGTCTATTCACTCGTCTCCCTGGAATTTGAGTATCCTTTCTTGCACTGAGCATTGGTGTGTTCCCATACCTAGATGCCAAGGCCTTTGAGTGGTCCATGTCTTTTTAATCTCTGTGTCCCAGCTCACAGCACAACACTTGGTACATAGTAGGCAGGCAGGAAGGAAGGAAGGAAGGAAAAAGGAAAGGGAAAGAAGAGGAAAAGAAGACAGACCCCCTGCAGTTGGAAGTCTTCATTGGTTAGCTAACATTCTCAAATTCCTGATGCTGTATGTGGCCTCCAAACAAAATTAATCAGCAGATGTACAAAGAAGCATGATGCCCAGCTCTGTGCTGAGTCCTGCCCATGAGTTTCCCGTAGTTTAACGGTTGTTGTTACTGTTGTTTGCAGAAATAACTGACAATGTGTATAGAGAACCCAGTGTTCCCAAGAGCAATCCTTCTTCATGAATATCAACTAGAAGGAGATGGAATCAGATGGCCTTGGAGAATAATCTCAGTGCTCTTATTTAGTATAGGCTACTTTATCGCTCAGGACTCAGTTTTCTGATATAGAAAGCAGGGTTGATAACAATCCTGACCTGAGGACACTACTGCGACTATTATAAGGATAACACACATTCACTGATTAAAGACGGTGACCACACCATGAGTGGTCAACAAGTTGTACCTGCTTTGTGTTGTAATGTTAGTTAGGCATTTAATCCAGTAGCTGATCAATAATGGTTTTCACTAACCAGGCTACACTGGTCAACATTTGAGAATATTCCCAAAAAGAAGAAGAAAAGAAATCATCGGAACCTATTATGAGTTCTAACCTGATCTCTTCCTCAAGTTCTGTTTTTATATTCATATGCAAGGAAGCATTTGATGTACAACAAAGTAAAGCAACTTTGAGAGATTTTTGGAAGAGGAGTTTCCAGAAGTATCTGTTAGAAGAATTTCCACTGGGTTTTGGCCACTTTGGCAGAATTAGTACAGGTTCAGTGCAGACAGTGAGTGGCCTGAGTGATAACAGGCATGATTCATTCTGACGCTCACACTTCTCTGTGGGTGGGTCCCCACCCTCTGCCTTTACCTCCTTGTGTTTCTGCACCTACCCCTGGCCTTGCCACCTTGCCACTGGCCTGCTCCTTTCAGTATGCAATGATGTGAGTGTTTTCTAGGGACAAATACCCCAATTTTTAAAAATCTGGATTGCCCCATTTCCACAAAGTTGACTTTTATTCTTTCTTCCAAAGATATCCCAGCCCAAACTTCATGGAACCACTTTCTCCCTTGGGCTGTGTGTGGCCTGCAAGGGTGTTATGTGCATCAGACTTGCTTGGCTTAGCAGGGGACGCAGCAAGACTTCAGGGCTTGGTTTAAATTGCTTTTTTATATCTTAGTTGTAATCAGCCTGGAGTCTACTTTGTATTTTTGCCCTTTCTTTTCATTTTGAGATCCCTACTCTGTTAATCTATTAATACTTGCGTTTTGAGTCATTGACTTTAGATTCGCTGCTTTTCATGGTCTGTGACTTAGTGTCTGTTAGATTCAAAAGAAGTGTCCAGCACATATGATTTGCCAAGCACTGTAAGAGGTGCAGGATTAACCGATGACTAGGACATATTTCCCTGCATCAAGCTTACGGCCTAGAAGGGCCTAGAAGGGCATCGAGCTTGCAAACCAGTAAATAGTGTCTACAATTAAAGAGCATTCAAAGGACTGAATTGGCATAGATTGGGGAGCAGGGGTCAGGGAAAAAGCAGGAGGGAGTCAAGAAAGAAGAGGGCATTCTCCAGGGAGACTGGTGAGGGTGGGGTTAGTGGAGAGGTTGTGCAGAATGCAGAATTCACATACTCTCATTCTTCTTTTCATTTAATAAAGAAGGATTTAATTAGGCTTTTTTTTTTTTTTTTTTTGAGATGAAGCCTCACTTTTGTCTCCCAGGCTGGAGTGCAATGACATGCTCTTGGCTCACTTCAACCTCCACCTCCCGAGTTCAAGTGATTCTCCTGCCTTGGCCACCTGAGTAGCTAGGATTACAGGAGCCTGCCACCATGCCCGGCTAATTTTTGTATTTTTAGTAGAGATGGGGTTTCACCATGTTGGCCAGGCTGGTCTTGAACTCCTGACCTCAGGCGATCCCCTTGCCTCGGCCTCCCAAAGTGCTGGGATTACAGACATGAGCCACCATGCCTGGCCTAATTAGGCTTATGTTGGATTAGATGACCCTAATTCTATCTGATTGAGTGCATTCAGAAGATAAGAGAAAGAGATTCCTGGTTGCAGACCTCAGGTCTTAGCTTCTGCTCTTCTGCTTTCTTCCCTCAGTTGCCCCAAGAGCTTCTATTAATTACATTCATGTTATATAGGCTTTGAGCTGGTCACCCCATTCATTCACCCATTTTTTCTGCTTACTGGTGAGGTTGAATGGATTTTTGTATGCTTATTGGAAACTTGTGTTTCCTCTTCTGTAAAACGATTATTCATGATTTTTTTGACATTTGTTGTTGTTGTTGTCGTTGTTAAGCTGTTTGCCTTTTTCTTACTGATTTGCAGAAACTCTGTCCTGAAAACCTGTGGTTGATTATATGTGTTGCAAATATTTTCTCCCAGATTGTGCCTAGTCTTTTCAATTTTTTATAGTGTATTTTGATGAACCCACATTCTTGATTTCAACATAGTCAAAGTTAATCTTTTCTTTATGAGTTTTATTTTTATATGGTGTTTTAAAACAAAAGTATTTCCTATCTTAAAGTCAAAGATATTCCCTCATATTGTCTTCTAAAGTTTTAAATTTTACCCTACATATTTAAGTTATTAAGCCACCTAGAATTGATTTTATGTACGCTGTGAAGTAGAATTCCAATTTAGGTGGTTTGTATGGTTAAATAGTTGTTGCAGTGAGATTTGTTGAATAGTCTGTTCTTTCCTTGTTGAGCTGCACTGTCAGTTGTGTTTATATTAAGTGGTGTTCATATATATGTGGATCTATTTCTGGGTTCTGTGATCCTTTCCACTGGATAATTTCTCTATCTCAGCCCTGCTGACAGAGTAGCATATTCGATGAAACTCTTGAGTCCAAATAGTGGGAGAAGGAGCTCAAAATAATTCCTTTGGTTCACAGAGACTCTTCCTTATAGGGGTGGTTTAATGGTGGTATATAGGGGTAGACTTGAAAAAAAGGATTAAAATCTCAGCTGTGGCACATATATATGTGACTTTTGGCACATTTTTCAATTTTTCTGAGCCTCAGACTCTTCATCTGTTAACTAGGAATAGTAGTTTAAACCCGAGAAGCTGCTTTGAGGATTAGGTTAAATTTTGTATTGTAAAGGACGTGAAAGTGCCTGGCAGTATAATGGGCCTGGGAGGTGGTGTTTTGCAGCTCTCCTAAACTAAGGCTACATGGACATTTTCTAACAGCTTCAGCCCAAAGTGAGTCAGGTCTTGGAATTGCCCTACAAGAAAATGAGACATAAGCCCCCAAATGAATTATTTGTTTCAGATCACCGAACTGTCTTCCCAAACCTCCTGTCTTAGTTCCAAACTCATTTTAGAGGGCATGGGGCTGTGAAGTTTCTCTGCTAAAAATGATTGAGGATAACTGGGAAAAGGAAACTTGCTATGTATTACTGAATTAGGAATAGCAGATGAGGGAAAAACTCATGCAGGGAAAGTCATTGTCAAATGCTTGAACTCTAGGTTCTGAAGTCCAACTTAAAGAAAGGCTCTTTTACTACTTATTGGCAATATAATAATTTAAAAAGCACTTTATAATTCATAAAGTCCTGCTATGTAATTTAGTCCATTTTATTCTTTTTACACCGTGAGATGGTCTGAGATTTGAAGTTGGCTCTGAGAGTCTGAGACATGCTCAAGTTTACAGAGCAAGGAGGTGAGGTTGGCAGGTCTCAGACTTAGGCTGGGCAACTCAAACTCTCTAGTTACACACAAATGGTGACTCTACCTTTATGTACTGAGATAATTTCAAACATATTTTCCACCATTCTCATATGTATTCTTGTAGGTCAGCTCACACTCTTCATAAAACATTAATTATCACTAGCTGGGCCAAGATTTCTAGTAGAACTGGGGTTGGGCATTCTTCCAGGCAACCACCAAACTCAACTCCCAAAAATGCAAGCAGTTTTTAAAGTATTGTTTGTACACAAATGGAAATGCTTTCTAATGCACTTCCCCTCATGTATTTGTTATGGAGTTCCATCTAGGGCCAAGATTGTCCAGCATATATTGGTCTTGAGACAATGGAGAGGCTAGTAGATACCTGTTTACATGCCAGCGTGGCACCAGGAGTTCCAGACCAGGTTTTACCAACCTCAAAAATGTGGCCAGCGTCTTTGGGCACTTGGTCCTACCCTGGCAACACCTTGAGAGCAGCATCCTGGGAGCTAAAGGAGTTTGACAGTTGCCTGAAAGAACTCCAAGTTTCTGGGTTTCCTTGCCTGTTCCAGGCCATCCTTCACACACACACACACACACACACACACACACACACACACACACACACACACACACACACACACACACACACAGTGCTTCCCCTTCACCAGTCTTAGGTACTCAACCCAAGAGCACCGACGACTTCCTTACCATCTCTAAGTTTTGATGCCTTCAGCTTCTTTTTCCAGTATCTCTCATTATTGAATTGAAATGCTTTTTAATTGAAATGTTTCTTCCCACTTCCCTAGCAGATAGAAAATTTCTCTGATGTCACTCAAGGCTCAGACCATGGCCTTCTGCTTCTCTACCTTGTTCCCCACACTCAAGGAGTCATACGTCTCTCCTTATAGATGACCTCTGAATCTCATCACTTAGACCTGATCACTGATGAGAACATCAGACTGTGTCTCCAGGTATCTATGCATATCTCCCTGTGTTCTCTTAAGCTCTCCTCTCCTCATTAACTATGACTCTTCTAATTTTTATTTATCCATCAACATTGCTATGATTTCATTGATGATCAAGACTCATTCTTGACTTCTGTCTTCTCCTTCATTCTCTATGTCTTATTCAGTAACCAAATCAATTTATTATCCCTTTCATAACATTTTTTCCTATCATTATTGCCAGAACCCTAGTTTAGGCCTTCACACCGTGTTTCATTAGCCTCCTAACCTGATTTCTCATGGACAGTTTCAATGCCATGTTGACTCATCATGCCCCTTCTCCACACCAGATTTTACAAAGGCTTCCTTTGCCAACCCTTATGGGAGAGCTTTACAGCCCTTTTAGTAAAAGGACTTGTCTTCAGCCAAACACATTCACTAACATTAAGGTTTCTTAATTTTTGTAGCTACTCTCACCACCATGCTTATACATGTGTGAAATTCTGGGCTCAGCAGTCCCCAGAAACCTTCTCAGATCACCCCCTTCCACCGAGTCCTCTTTCTTTCCTATGGGTCCCTTTGCAGGCACATCAATCTTTGGTAACATCCTGCCCGGCATGACCATCATCCTGATTCATGTACATCTTATACCTTGTACCCTGTGTCTGGCCGCACAAAACTCCTGCTCCTGCTCTGAGTCACCTACTGTTTCTCTGATACACTGTGGCATTCATTAAATTCAGTGGGATTAATGGGTGGAGTATTGTTTCTCAGGACACAGGAGTAGGTTGGGGTTGGCTTCCTTTAAATTAGTGCAGACTTAGGCTATCTTCCTTGATGCTCTTGATGTTGACAGACCAACTCTCTATTTCTCATTGACCCCTTTTCTAAGCAATGTGCTCAATTTTCCCAGCTCTCCTTAGTTCCTAATTTCTCTCAACAATTCACTTCCCTTGGTTCCCTTTTGGGACATGGTCTTGATTCACATCTTACTGAGCTCTCTGGGACACAGTGTAATAGGCTGTAGTCATAGACTCAGAAAAAGGGACAAGAAATCAGAAAATTGTATTCCTTTCATAGCACTGGGGAAGTCACTTACCTTCTTTGACTCTCCATTGTCTTCCATGGTAAACTACAAATAGTAGTATTTCCCCTCTCAGGACTGGTGTGTGATCCCATGAGATAATGAACATGGAAAACCTTTGCACAACATGAAGCAGTATGTGAGAGGTGTTATCAGCCCTCCTTCTCTGCACCTTCAGATATTGCTGTCTCTACCCACAAAGTGCTTCCTTTACCTTTCATCTCACCTGCTGTCTCCATCTGACTCTGGCTGCAGCAACTTCAGTCTTTCCCTCTTCGTGCATTCTTTCCTCTCTATTGACAATCCTTTCCCTGCCTTATGCACCATCCTCACTTTCCTAGCATGTAAACAACCTCTTACTTGATCCTTCTGTCTGTTCCACCTCCCACCAGCCACTGTCCTTTTCCCTTTCCTTTTGTAACCAGAGAGGACAACACGTAGTCCCTCCTGCTGGCTCATTACCTACTATTTCCATAGCTCCTGCATTTCTTCCCAATGACTCTCCCTAAGCCAGCAGATCTGTTTAAGTTCTCAGTTCTTATCCTCCTTAAACTCATTGTTTCGTCTTCTTTTCTGATTCAGTATCACCCCATCCTTTTACAGTGGGCTTTTCTCCAGGCCTAGTCTTCTTGCCATCTGCTCTACCCCCACACAGGGAACCATAATGCACTACATTCTCTTATTTTACTCCATTCAGATTGAATCATACTGGGAGTACTGTGTTTACTTCTAGCTTTCACCTTCAGTGAGAATTATTACCAACTCAGGGATATTCAATAAGGAGCACCAAGATGGTAAGGGCACTAGAATGATCTCCTCTTATGGAACACTTGATAGAATGGATGTATTTAACATACAGAAGAGAAAATCCAGAGAAAATGTACACTTTGCTGTCTTAACACATTTGAAAAGATGCAAAAAAGTTTCTGTTTACTGATTTGAATTCCTACAGAAAATGGAATTAGACAGAAATTACAGACAGGTAGATATGGAATCACTAGCAAGCAACACATGCCAGTCTTGTGAAGGCTCTGCCATCAGATGACATGGGTTCAAATCCCAGGTCGACCACTTCTGTATGACCTTGAGCAAGCTATATCATTTCTCTGTGCCTTCATTTTGTCATCTGCAAAACGAGGATAGATAATTATAGTGCCTATCTTATAGTGTTATTTTGAGGATTAAATAAGACAGTGCATGTACAGCCTAGAAGAATGTCCGGCAGAAGGAGACTGCTCAATACATGTTAGCTGTCCTCTTCTCCTGCTCCTCTTTGTATCATCATCATCATCATCATCATCATCATCATCATCATCATCATCATCGTCATCATCATCACCTGCATTTAGAGCTGTCCAGTAATGGAGCCAACTCTTCACAAAGCAGTAGACTTCATGTTTCTAGAAGAATGCTCAACCCAAATGGTACTGGGGACATAGCAGAAGTGTCTTCTTTGGCGAGGTAGGTAGGACTGGATGCCATCAAAGTTCCCTTTCTGTATTTTCTCTTCACCACCACTGTCCCTGAGCATCTCCCATTCTGGGTTCTCCGGGTCTATCAGTGGTGGTGCAATGCTCTCTGGCACTCAGGCCTAAATCATCCCTTTAGTTCCTTGGCTCCCTCTTACACGTTTCACCTGGCAGACAGAGAGGCTTCCTGAGGGCAGGCCCTTACAAAAGGAATCCATGTCCATAAGCCTCCATTTCCACATGGAGTCTCATGCCTCCTCACATCACTAATGCCAGTATCTTTGTCCCTGCCCTCCTAATATTTGGCAATCCTGTGGAATCAATTTGGCATCTAGCTTAAACCAAGTTTCTAAATTTGTTTCCATGGTAGAATTCGGGACCTTGGATCCACCCACTTTCTCCCCAAGCTGGCTCCAGGTTTGTACAAGCATCTCTCACCAAGATCATCAAACTAAAGGCTCAGCCAAAACATGCATCTTTTTAGTCCTCAATCGCAGGGTCTGTGATTATTTCATTGCTGAGTCTCCTGCATCCATCTGATCATTTCTATTTCCTTTGTTCCCACCTTTACCTAGGCCATAATCTTCTCTGTTCTATTTCATAATTCATTAAAAAGCCTTGGCCAGGTACAGTGGCTCATGCCTGTAATCCCAGCACTTCGGGGGGCAAAGGCGGGCAGATCGTGAGCTCAGGAGATCAAAACCATCGTGGCTAACATGGACAAACCCCATCTCTACTAAAAATACAAAAAATTAGCCGGGTGTAGTGGCAGGCGCCTGTGGTCCCAGCTACTCGGGTGGCTGAGGCAGGAGAATGGCGCAAACCCAGGAGGTGGAGCTTGCAGTGAGCTGAGATAGCGCCACTGCACTCCAGCTTGGGTGACAGAGTGAGATTCCTTCTCAAAAAAACCAAAAAAAAAACAAAAAAAAACAAAAAAACTCTTGTACCCAGTATCTTCTCTCCAACACCATCCATTTCTCCCTTCTTCAAACATTTTAGTGCTTCTATAGCCAATGATAGATTTCAAACATCTTAAGTTGCACCCAAAATCCTTCACATTCTGGCCAATTTTCTTCTATAGCTTTCTGGAAGTATAATTTTATGCAATAACATTCATCTATTTTAAATATACTGTTTGGTGAGTGTGAGAATATGAACACAGCTGTGCAAATTTCACCACAATCAGGATTAGTTCATTTCTATTACTTCCCTGTGTCCCCGGGAACAAATAATGTTCCCACTGTTTCAACCCACTTCCTGCCATCTGTTGTCCCATACAGCCACTAGTCTGCTTTCTGTCACTACAGTTTTTCATTTTCTAGAATTTCTTATAAATAGAATCTAACAGTATACAGTTTTTTATGTCTGGACTTTTTACTTAGCATGATGCCTTTGAGATTAATCTATGTTGTTGCATACGCCAGTAGTTCTTTCCTTTTTATCGCTGAGTAGTATTCAATTGCATTGATGTAGACATTTGAGTTATTTCCAGTTTTTGGCGATTATGAATAAGGCTCACATGAACATTCATGTACAAGTCTTTGTATGAACAAACAGATGATGACTCCACTTATCCCACAAGCAATACAGGACATGCCCACTTTACATTTCTTCCCATTCAAGTCATTGTAATAAAGATTTATTATTCCTTGTGCTAGACATCGTGTAGGAATACAGACACAGTTAAGCCCCATGGATATTACAATATAGTGAGAGAAATAGACGCACACATGGGTCGTTCACATGCAAAGCAGATCACCAAGATAGAGGAACCAACAACAAGGGGACAGGGAGAGAGCACACTGACTGAGGGGACGGGGGAAATCAGGAAGGATTGCTTAGAGGAGGCAGAAGCAGTGTGAATAAAGACCTGGAGGAAAGAAGGCAGGACTTGTTTGAGGGCTGACAAATACCCATGTTAAATTCTATCTCACTTGGCCAGCCATCCTTGTAAAGCCATTGTAAGTGCTTGTCCTCCTCAAAACTTCTGCAATGTACTCTTCATACTGCCAATCAGCTTTCCTTGTCAGGAGAGGGAATTTTTCAGCCTACTTTGCAAATAAAGCTATATCCCAACACGGTCTGAGCCCAAGAGCCAAACATTTGATCCAAGGGGTGGATGGTGGTATCCTCAAATGTGGCCCGAGGAGAGGCTGGGATACTGGAGAACAGGTCTACACTAATTGGAAAGCCAGCCAAAGGGAGGAGCAGGTCCAGAGCAGGCAGGAGCAGTCCTCATCCTGGGCAGCTGGTGCACGTGTACACAGGTGTCTCTTCAAATTCATTGTCTATGGCAAAGAGATGTCAACTCCTCATGGATGAATGAATGAATGAACATATGTCACCAGTAGGCTCTCATATGTGTTCCAGTATATTATACATTCAATCTGGATCAATCAGATGTGCAGACACTTGAACAACCTACAGTTCTCACTTGCTGCTTTCTGGTTAAGTGCTCAGCAGTCCACATGCGGAGTTGAATGTCTAAGAAAATAATTTCTTTGCGTTCTGATGCTGTAAAATATTGTTTGGATTAAAAGGGCAGGAACAAATTGATGGATCTGAAAGTTTTTTTTCTTTTGGCTTGGCGATGACAGGGCAATCCATCAGACAACTTCCTTGGCTCCCTGTGACATTTCAAGCTCAAATGTTATAGCTTTCTTATTTTTTCTTTTCTCTTTTTTTTTTCACCCCCAGCTCTCTATTGAACTGTGCCTCCAGGAAATGCATGCTGTTGATATGAGTTCCATGACACTTGTCATACAGGAGGCACTCGGTAGAGGCTTGTGGAATAATGGCTGGGAGTACTCAGGTTAGCTTAGCAGGTTGTGCCAAAGATGAGGTAACTCCTTAACCCACCTATGATGCTGCCTCCATCTGTGCCCTAGAGCATGCAGCAAAGAGTTCTTTCAAAATAGAGCAGGCTCCAGACAATGTTCAATGATGCAGCTGCCCACAGAATGTGATTTCAGCATCTGGATTATATGCAGAGAGAAAACATGAGAAGTCAGAATGCTTGGAATTTCACCTGGATCTGCCACCATGCATAATGTGAATTTGGAAATGCTACTTAACTTCTCCAAGACACAGCTTATGAATCTTTGAGCCAGAGAAAATAAGTAAGTGTAAGAATCAGATGAGGTAATGACTGTGGATATAGTATAAAAATACGGAAAGTAATTAGAAATGAAATACACCCTCTGTAGTAGTTATCTGTTGATGTATAACAAACAACCCCAAACTTGGGTGAATTGAAACAACAATCATTTATTAATTATCTCATAGTATAATGGGTCAGAAATCTGGGAGTGGTGTAACTGGGAGTCTGCTCACAGGCTCTCAAGACGTTGGCTGGAACCACATCATCTGAAGGTTTGACTGGGGCTGGAGAATCATCTCCCAAGATGGGTCACTCATGTGGCTGTTGGCAGGAAGTCTTAGTTCCTTGCTGACTGTTGTCAGGAGGCTGCAGTTACTCTCCATGGAAGCTTCTTCCTAAGACTGTTTGAGTGTCCTCACCACAGGGAAGCTGGCTTCCCACAGAGTGAGTGATCCAAGGCAGATGTCATTATGTGCTTTATGACACAGGTGCAGAAGTCAAACACTGTGATCACCTCAATACCCTATTGGTTCTCCAGGTCACCCCTATTCAGTCTGGGAGGAGACTACACAAGGATATGATTTCCAGGAGATGGGGATCACTGTGAGCCATGCTGGAGGCTAACCTCCACATCCTCTCTCAGTTTAAATGGTTCCACTGGGAAATAAGCGATATAGTTGATTACCGCTGAGGTCCTCCCCTTTTAACCACATCCCTGCTTGCTCCAATTAGCCCTCCCTCAAGCCCGCTATGTGTTGCTCTCCTTTCCCTTCTTGCTGAAAATTCCTGCTGTCATTGTCAGTCCCTTGTTTCATACTAAAATTCAGTTTTAGTCTCTAACGGGTCTCTGTGGAAATGTCTGTGTGTAGCATCTGAAGGAAGTCTCTGGTGCTCTTGTCTTATGGTGCCAGCCTCATTGGTTTGTCATTCTTTTGCTGGTGCAGCCCATTGCAATTTGCATGGTGCCATCACATGCTCATGTGAGACGGGGTCCCTCCTTTGAGAGTCAATAACGAGGTGACCAATGTTGGCAGTGAGTGAGCATGCTCTGGTCTCTGTCTTCCTCACATTTGTTATTTTCCAATGTGTGTTTCTGTCTGGGTTCTCACCTGACTCTGGCAGCCCAGGTAGACAGAGCAGGCATTGCTCCCTCCATTTTGTGGGTTGAAAAACTAAGGCTCAGAAAGTCCTAACCGAGGCATTTTCTGGAATTGGGAACACAGGAAGGAAACATATTGGGTGGTTAAAACACGGAGTTTGGCTTTAAACCTCTTGCACTTGAGGTGTCTGTGGCGTATTCGTGAAGTTAATGTGCAGCCTTGAATACAGCTTATAGATGATTAACTGGGCATGGAACGAGATCTCATATCCTGATTATTTTGCTTTATCTGTACATTTCTCCACTCCTTCCAGCTGTTGTAGTGTGTTCTGTCTTCTTGATCCCAGACGTCCTGGCTTGGTTTTTCTCAAGGCCATCCTCCTTAGCCTCACCAACCTCATTGGCCTGGTTGCACACAGCTTCGAGTGCCCACAGACCAACTGAAGGGGAGCTGCTGTCTGCTGGGGAGGGTTCTAGTGGAGGAGTCTGTGGGTCCCTGTGAAGAGAGTCTGGGAGAGGGTGCAACAGCATACGGGCTTCACCATCCATTAGCAAAAGCAGAGGCTTTTAAAACACAGTCCATCCATCCAAATGGACCTTCATGTCTATTTCCATAAGGTCCTGAGGCCCAGGCCCACCTTTACCACTAGTTAGCTGAGAAGTACTAGGGCTGAAGGTACTGATCCGGTGCTTGCTGGAGCCTGCCACACTGTCCCCACCCTACCTGTGTCAGCTTAGTCTGCAACCCCAGTCAACTCTGTTTTCTTCCACCTTGAAAACTCTTTGAAAGAACACAAGAAGTGGGGGTCCCTGAGGGCCGGGCACCCCTCATGTTCAGGCCCACAGGCCATTTAGGCAGCTGCTTCTCCAACCTTATCTTCCTTCTGCCTCCATGGAAACCTGAGAAAGACGGAAAGGGGGAAGCGGCTGTGCTTTCCCAACACAAATAACCCCACAGAGCTTTCTCAGCAGTGACCCTTAGCCTGTTGTGTCAGCCTCAGGCTGAGGGAGGAAGGAAATAGACCTTCTATTGAGTATTTTTCTTCCCCTGTCAAGAAGATCAGAGGAACTAAGAGGGAAAGAAAAGGAGTCAAAAGCACCTTGTGGCCTCCTCCTGCAGGATTTGTGTTGCTCTTCCCCTCCCCTCTTGAACTCTAAGTAAACAAACTCCCCAGCCAAGGAAGGCCCCAGGCCCAACTCCAAGCAGGCCATAAATAAGAGCCCTTCAGCCTTTCACTCTCTGGCAAGTCGGGAAGGCCCTTCTGAGTGGAACATTTGATAGCGGGGGAGTGCTGGGGGGAGAGTCCTTGTGTTAATTGAATCCCAATTTCCTTCTCCCAGGCCCACTCTTATCTTTTTAATTATACGAAGCCTTTAATCTTCCCAGGACCTGTCTCTGTCATTAATGCGTGATCCTATTAGAGATAGGGGTTTGCTCAGGGGTAATGGGAGCCGCAAGCAGAGGCCTTTGGCAACTTTTTTGCTTTCTAAAGCACCCAGAGTTACCTGGGGCTGAGGCAGGGAGACATTTTGGGCTCCCCTCAGCTCTCAGATGGAGTTCCTTGGGCCATCTGTGTTTAAACCGTGTCTGAGATTAGACTCTTATGGTCAGTATCTGTTGTGGCCCTGAAACTGCAGAGTAGCTCCGTCTAGCAGCTAAGGGGCAGATGAGTTCAGGCAACCTGCTTAGGAAAAAAATCAGACGAATTGTACTCGCAGGATGCTGGGTGCCCAGGTGGGATTCCAGAAGGAGTTGAGGCATTGTGCATTTCCTAAATGCTAGAGCATACCTTTGGTGCTGGTGAATAAAGCTTATGTTCTCACGGGCTTTCCCTAACGCTGCAGAGATGCATTACCTCCAGGTGACAATGGCTTGGGACACTCCAGGGTTACCTTTCTCTTCAACCCCAGCTGCCTTGTCAAAGGCCTAATGAGCTGTAAACCAATACTTAGGAATGCAAAGGCCACACCCTACTTGAAGGGGTTTGGCTCATATTAAGTGTTCAATAAGTGTTTGCTAAATAACTTTTAAAACAAGAATTCCAAGAGCCATTCACTTTAGAATATGAATTCGCAGGTATTTATTGCGATTACTGCTTCTCATTTACGGCTCAATTCTACTGGACTTTTTTTTTTCTGGGCTACAAGGTGGCCTGTAGGGTCCCTTCAGCAAGGTAGTCTGGTATTTCACACATCCCTAGGTGTACAGAAAGATGGGTAAAGCTGAGTCCCTGCAAGGGGCCTCATGCTCAGTTAGGAAGATAAATTTTGTTAGTTTTCAATACATAAATATATGTGTATATATGTATACGTGTATATAAGTCAATATATAGATATATATAGTATACAACTGTATATACAATTACATATGCATGTATATGTGTGTGTGTATATTTGTGAATTGTCTTCAGAGACTTCGGCTATGATTTCAACTACATATATATGTACACACATATATACTATACATATACACACATATATGTACATATATACATACATTTATATATACACACACACAAATATGTATAGTTGAAATCGCAGCTGGCTTCTCTGAAGATGGGAGTCCATACACAGAACACCGTCAGCAAACTGTATACCTGAATGAGTAAATATTCAGATTCTGCACTGAACATCGTGTCTTGTCATCTCCCTGACTCATTATGCACAACCACTTTAGGGTCTGTAGCAGAGATGCTGTCACTGACAAAGGTCACATATCTAGAAGGTGTGAGAGTCTGGATTCTAACCCAGGTCTGATCACAAAGCCCAGCCCTCAACCCCAGAGCTCCATAGTCAAAATGTTTCTCTTTGCTTGCAACCACAGTGTCTGCTCCTGAAAGTGTGTAGGTCTGGTCACAGGCTCTTGTGAAGACATAATGATCCTGGACATGGTCCAGAGAAGAGCAATTAAAACACTCAAGGGGAAGAAAAGGCTTCTGTTTGAGGACAGATTTTTAAAAAGCAGTAAAATCTGAAAAAAGGCAGAGTGAGCAGGGCATGATGGAAATCTCTAGGATGTGGAGAGAACCAAGAGGGAGACAGCCTGCCTGCCAAGGTGGCACTCACTGAAGCTTACAACCAGCAGTTTTAGGACAATGACAAGAAAGTTCTACTTACCACGTTCCATAAGTTTGCTGCCTGCTGTGTGATCCCAAGAGGTGGCACAGGCTGAAAATATAAATAGAATCCCATCCTATGAACATATTGCTGTGAGCTCCCTACAGAACGCCTGGCTTCCCATTGTCAAATTCAAGCTCTCAGTTTCTAATGGTTGAAACCAGGAGTGAGCAAACATTTTCTGTAAAAGATCAGAGTAAATATTTCTGGCTTTGTGGATCAACACTGCCCTAAATGCTCAACTCTGCCATTGTAGTACAAAAGTAGCCATAGACAGTACCTATGAATGAGCATGACTGGGTTCTATTAACATGCTATTTACACAATTAGCAAGGCCCAGATTTGACCAGCAAGCTGTAGTTTGCCAACACTTGGTCTACACCAATTCACAGTTGAGTTGAATCATACAATTTAAAACTGGGAGGCATCTTGATGATCACACCTTTATTTTATAGAGCAGGAGGGTGACATCCAGAGATGTCAGATGAATTTCCCAAGGTCCTATAGCTGGAGACCCACAGTGGGTTATTAGGGTTGTCCGGGGAAAATATTTAGATGCTCTGAAAATAGTTTCATGAAGGATGGGAGCCAAGTGTCCCATGCCGGGCATTTCTGACTCTCTTAAATATATGTTGGTGCTCAAAGACTGCCTTTTCTTAGAAAATATATCAGTTTAGGAAGGATTTGGAAATATAGCCCTTATTTTTAAAGCTATAATATAGCCCTTATTTAAAAAAAAACTGAGGGCTGTTTAAAAATCCCTGGAAATCAGAAAACAAGAAACATACTTCTCCCTCAAGTCCCTCACCCCTACCCCTAGTTCTCAGATGGGAGACAATTTTATTTCTTGACAGGTTCTGCAAGGGGCATTTGCCCTCAGAGCTGATGGCCCTGCGTCTGTCAATGCAGGTTGTACATCTCCCTCCCTTAGGTAGGAAGGTGCTCCTTAGGAGCTTGGTGTTGGGCCTGTCCACTGAGAACATTCATCTTCCACATTTGGGCAAGACTTTGCTGAAAACAATTGCTTTCCATACTCTGTTGGCTACAGCCAGGAACAGTTCAAATTTTTTGGTGCTCAGAGTCTTTAGCAGGAAGGTGAGTGTGTGTGTGTGTGTGTGTGTGTGTGTGTGTGTGTGCAGCTGGTGTGGGGAGGGAGGGAGAGGAGCAGCAGCTGACAGCTCAGGAATGCATCAGTGCTCAGAAGGTTCTAAGAATGATTATGTAGATAACTTGTTTTTTTTCTGGGACCCATTGAAGATCCCTCATGAAAATAAAAACTCATTGACTCAAGTAACCCTTTAGAAGTCAAAAATCTTAGTGGGAGACAGATGTATCACCGTTGCAGGTTTGGTGTCTGGAGCCCTCAATGGTATCCCCAATTCACTCTGTTCCTTGAGTCACTTCCTTGGTTGACTCAGTATTGTGGTCTGGGTCAGAGAGGTGAGCCATGTGCTCTTTGGCACTTTAGCAAAATGGCTAAGGTGGGGAAGACAGTAAAGGTGAGGGGACAGTATAGGCTATCTTAAACCCTGATGGCTTATTTTCCTCTGGAGGTAGCTTTGAGCTTCTGGAATAGAAGGGACTCCATCGTAAAGGCTTAAAAAGGAGTCGATCAGCTGGAGATTTGGTCCACATAACAAGTAAGGCCACTTGGCCTTTAAGAAGTGTGGTGATGAGGGAACACTGGACTCTGAGAATCCAGCTGTGGTCCAGTGACTCCCTGAGCAATTCCTGTCCAAGAGATGTCTCTACTTGAAGGCCACACAAATCTGTCAGTAGACAATTTTTTGTAACCAATTGCAAGATTTCCTACCTGTTGGTTGATTGCAAGAGGTGATCAGGCTGTTGGCCTTATAAACAGATGACTGATGCAGGCCTGGCTCCTGCAGGTGAAGAAGGCTGCTTCAAATTTGTGCTTCAGAGCCAGGAAGTCCTGGATTCAGGTCTCAGCTCCAACACTTACCAGCTTTAGTTCATTGCAGAAGTTATTTTGATTTTTAATCTCAGCTTTGGAACATAGAAACCAGTCTGTAGCAGATGCTCAGTAAAGGTCATTTTCCTTTTCATCCCAACCTTTCTCACACTTGGCCACTCTCTTGTTCAACTCCCCCACCCAGTGCAGACCTGGACACTCCCAGAGAGAAGGTCACACCTCATTGGGAAGCTGTTCTTGAGCAGTTCCAGCTTCAAGTCATCCCTGAATCTACCGCTCATTCAGCATATAACTGCTCTTCAAATATGCTAAGTACTTTTCTCTCATTATAAAGTTGACACATGCATTGCAGAAAATTTGAAAAATATAGAAAACATAATTTGGAAAGCATCCCCAATAAATATAACTTGCAGTGATGAGCACTGTTAGCATTTTGGTATGTTTCTTCCTATTTGTGCTTGTGTGGGCAGGCATAGGTTTTACAAAATTGGAATCACATTGACTGTAGATTTTGTATACAGCTTGTTCTTTTCACTGACATTCTGACATTTCTCATATCATTAAAGTCTTTGAAAACATATTAAATATTTTTAATGGTCACCAAATTTTCTGTGGCATGGATATATTGCAATGTGTGTAAGGTATTCTTAGTTTTGGATACCTAGACTGTTTCTAATTTTTCAATATTATAAACAACACTGCCATAAATATCACTGTAGGAAAATCTTTGCCACATTCTGATTACTTCTTTGAGATAAATTCCTAGCAGTAGAAGTCCTGGCCAAAGGATGTGGGAATTCTTAATGGCCTTAACATTGAGGGCCATGTGGTTCTCTAGAAAAGTTGTGTCAATTTCTATCTGTGGGGTATGTGTCAATTTCTGTGGGTTGTGCTTCTCAGAATCCTGTTGTAGTACTTAGATTGAAACAAGCAATCTCTCATATGATCCATCAATTATTGGAAGGTAGCTCTCAAATCTCCCCAGTTTATCTTCTTTCTGGGCTAAAAAGCCATTTCTTCAAAATACTCCAAAGCCTACATTCCAACCTCCTTGCCAAATTAATTTGTGGATTAGAGAATATTTTGGTTTGTAATTGTGGTTTAAAAAATGTGTTACCGCAACAGAGCACAGTGTATTAAATGTGGCCTGGGCCATTTCTAATTCCTTTATTTGGAACCCTATACTTCTATGAATGCAGTCTAAGTTTGCATTTGATTTTTGTTTTTGTTTTAGCAGAGAATTGGCTTATACAAGCTATGGTTTCCTGACACACTGAGGTTTTAATGCTCTGGTGAATTAGGGTATCTTTTATTTGGTATTTGTTCAACTGATTTTGGGGCGTTAAATCTAAGACTTCTATTTGTCTTCTTGGTAATAGTTCAGTGTTCCAGTCTGTTTCAATTCTGGTGATGCCCATGGAAAACAGGTCTTTGGTGCCTCAAATGTGTTTCCATGCCACATTGCCCAGTGGCTGAACCTGGGGCTTTTGCCCAACCTGGCCCTATGCAGAGGTCAGGAGAAGGTCATGGGTTTGTTGAGGCTGGGCTGCCTGGCGCCACCCTGGCCGACCATCCACTTACAGGTGTTCTCAAGAGTAGCTGGGATCTTGGCCTGAAACAACTTTGGTGAAGAGCATGGCTGACCCCTCTGAGAAGGGCTCTTGTGTGACGCTGGACAACTCCACCAGCACAGTGGGGCCTCTGGGCTCTGCAGGCCATGCAACTGTCTGCCTGGGCTTTTCCAGCCAGACCTGGCACAGGCCTGAAGACTGCCAGGATGCTGGCTTGCTCTGTGTCTCCTTAGCCTCTTTCCCTATACAAATAGAATGCAATTCCTCTGGAAAATTGGCACTTAACTGAGTTTTATAGGCAGGTCTGAGTGCTGGCAGGACCCATGCAAGAGTGCAAATGAATGCCTGAGCCCTCCCTTGACCCCATTCCCAGTTCTTGTCTGAATCCTGAGGGGCTTGTGCACAGATGGGTGGACATCTTGACCCTTCAAAGGCCTCCCCCAAAATATCCACCCTTTGACCACCCCCTGACTACCCCCAGGTTAGCCGTGTGTACTGGAGCATGGGCTATGTGAGGAGGGGCTGCAGGTGGGCTTATCCCCTTGGTCCCCCAGGTGCTTCTCCTCATTGGAAGAGTCATGGCTGAGGAGGCCAGAGCAGAGCCCGTGGAGGCACAGGGCCTGGGGCAGGGATCCCGGAGGTCCCATGTAAGGTGATATTGTTCATGAGCAAACTGCTTAGTTTGCTTTTTGGTTGGTCCCTGCAGATCTATATGCTTCTGTGTGTTGGGATAAGAGGCAGGTGTAGGTGTCTAGAAGGAGCAGCTGAACCTGCATAGAAAGAAAACCCCAAATAAAAAGGGGTCAGATCCAAGTCTAAGGGAGCTCTGCTGTACTTGCAGGTGAGAAACCTCAAGACCATGAAAGACACTGAGACAGTGGAAATGACACTGACCAGGGGTCAGGGAGCTTGAACTCTCATTCTGGGCCCTGGGCACTGAATGAATGTTCTGACCACAGATCTCAAGGCATTTTGGCCCACAAGAGTTCAAGGCCCAAGGTATGAAAGAACTCGCCTGCAAGTGGCTCCCAGATCCTCTGAAAATGAACACCATGTCCACGGCCCTTGCACGCCTGTGCCCTGTGGCACCTCGGCCTGTCACCTCCCCAGTTCTAGAGGAAAACATGTCTCCTCCCCAGTTCTAGGGGAGAGCATGTCTCCTCCCCAGTTCTAGGGGAAAGCATGTCTCCTTCATTTCTGGGGCCACCCAGGCTTCCCTGCACATCTATTCAGTATTTGGTTCCTATGCATGGGGATAATGAGACTCTTATTTAATTCAAGTAATTTCAGTTCCATCCCATTCAACTCTCTCCCAGCAACTACAACTCTGTCTTTTATTGCAACTATCATTTGCTTTTTTGATGGAGGTAAAACAGAAAATATAAACAGACGTTCAAAATAACCCCCCTGCCTTTTCCTTCATATTTTCAAAGTGCTTTCCCATAAAGTATTTCATTACAGACTCCAGCAGCTGCTGTGAAATATGGTCTCAGATGTAGAAGCCAATGAAAACCAAATGAAAAGAAATCCTAAGAGCAGAAAAAAGGAGAGAGTAGTCCTGCTAGGCCCACAGCCCCATTTCTGCCAGGACTGGGCAATGCCCAGGTACCTGCTTGTTGCTTGAGGGGACTGTTCAGAAATTTCTCCTCTTCTCCTCCTACTTCTCCTGCTCCTCCTGCTCCTCCTCCTTCTTCTTTTAGGGACAGGGTCTCACTGTGTTGCCCAGGCTGGAGTGCAGTGTTGTGATCATAGCTCTCTGTAACCTAGAACTCCTAGGCTCAAGAGATTCTCCCACCTCAGCCTTGAGTAGCTAAGACTACAAGTGCATGCCACAACACCTGGCAATTTCTTAAAAAGTTTTATTGTAGAGATGAAATCTCGCCATGTTGCCCAGGCTGGTGTCAAACTCCTGGCATCAAACCATCCTCCCACCTGACCTCCCAAAGTGCTGGGATTACAGGTGTGAGCCACTGCACCAGGCCTCATGTGTCTTCTAAAATCCTCCTTTATTTCTTAATTTCTTCTTCCTGTATTACACTGCTTCTTCGAAACAAAATTCTAAAATCTCACAGCTGGAAGTAGCTGTAGTCATTATTTAGGCCAGTGGTTCTCAAAGTGTGGTCCCTGGGTCAGAAGCATGAGCCCCATTTGGGAATTTGTTAGAATCGGTCTCAGGCCCCACTTCCGACCTGCTGAGTGTGAAATTCTGGTGGTGGCGGAGTGGGGGCAGCTGTGTTTTACCAAGCCCTCCAGATGGTCCTGATGCACATCCAAGTTTGAGAACCACTGATCTGGGCCAAGATCCTAATTTCAAACGGAGGCCCTTGGGCAGAAGGGTGATGTTCTTTGTCATACAGTGTGACACGGTCAGCTGCAGGGCCCAAATGAGAAGCCAATCTCCCAGCTCCTGTCATGATCCACTCCCTCTGCTGACCTGTCTACAGAGCAGTTTCTCTGGCCTGCATCCCACTCCATGCAGAGGCGCAGAGGACAAACCAGACGGGCAGCTCGTGTCCCCAAGATGGCGGGTGCCATTGCTGCTGGCCGCCCGAATGGTAAGGGCTTTGGAAGGTGCATCCTCTGAGGACACATGATTTCTGAAAAGCAGAATACACCCTCCCACCTGCTCCCTGCACTTCGTTTGGTCTTTTTTCTTCAGACAAATCTGCGACTGAACATGTTCAATGTCTCCCCTGCACCAAGCAGATGAATGAGCCTCCCGACAGACTGTGTGCTCTCTCTAGCATGTTATCTTGGGTTATGGAAATTGGGTAGGTCTCCCCTTCTTCAGTTCCTCCCCACACTTGGAGTCCATAAAAGGCAGGGATATGGGCAGCTTGATCCTGGACACCAGCATTCTTGGGATGGTGTTGAACACAGTAAAACATGCTTATTAAATGTCAACACTGGGCACGCATACGTGGATATTTACTGAGTGGCTACCACATGCCAGATGCGCTATCAGGCCTCGCTTCCTCCCTCAAGGCTTAGTGGTCAGTGAGTCCCCAGGGCCACACTCCAGCCCATTTCCACTGCCAGGATGCCATGCCTCCATCCCATGTCACCCCTCCCATTTCTCTTCCCTTCCCTTGATGTCCCCATGTGCCTTGTGGTCCTGATGGGATGCAGAGAAGCACTCACCCCAGGGGGCCTGACTCCCCAGAACAAGAAGGCAAAGTCACTCACTGAAGAGGGAGGCAAGGGTGCAACCAGGTGCTCCAGAGGCCTGGAGAAGGTTCTGGGCTCCAGGACAGGGAATGTGCTTAAAATGAATATGAGATGGTTAAGATTCTGCTCAGCGGGAGAGAGAGACAGCAAAGGCTGGATGGGGACCTTCAGCCTGACCTGAGGTTTTGCCACAGACTTGGTGGAACTTTGAGAAGCAGGGGCTGCAGTAGGTTAGAGAGGATGGTGGAGGGGCCTGACTTCTGCATCCAGGCTGGATGAGACTCATGCCCAGTGGACTGGGCGAGGGGAAGCCCAGAGAGATTGGGGACCCTGGGGAGACCAGAGAGGCAGGGGTGTTTTTCAGGGATCTGGGGAGGTGAAAACCATAGTGGTGGGAGTGAGGCAGCTCCCAGTGTGAGGATGCTAGACAGACATCATCCCAGGGATTAAAGCTGGTCAGAAACAGTAAGTGTAGTAGCAATGTTTACTGAGCCCAGGCCCCAGGATAACTGCTTAGCATGCATTTTCATATTTATCCCCGACAACAGTTTTTCCAGGACCTGTAATGTGTCAGGTACCATCGAGGTCATGTCACATTCCTGTTTCCTTTAGTTGGCCTCTCCACACCCCAGATCAGGAATCTGAGGAATAGAAATGCTTCTTGACTTGCCAGGGATCCTCGGCTAGCAGGGAGCCGAGCTGGTCCTAGATCCTAGGTCTTCCGACTTGAAACTCACAATTCTTTTGCAAATGTCTCAGTTGGTTCTTTCTAGTCAGAGAAGCTAGTGAGAGTGACATCCAGAACAACCTAAGGTAAAATCCCACCAGGGGCTCAAATATCTGGTGCCCCCTGAAGCCTGTGCTGGAGAGAGGGAAGAAAGAAGCAGGGAGCTGTGACAGGTACTCAGAATCTACCAAGCAGCACTCTGGCACCTCAACATGTGGCATCATGGAAAGCTCATAAGATTTGTGCTCAGAAACTCTGTGCTGCTCTTATTACTGAGATGCCTCCAGAAGAGACTTGTGTGTACTGGTGGCTAAGAATGCATGCTGAGGTTAACTCTCAGAGCTGCCAGGAAAACCAAAGGAGAGAGTGGCTGTGAGAGTGTGCCACAAAGCTCACTTGGAGTGATAGGACTTCTATTTATTTATTTGACAGGTGTCTATGAGCACCTGTCATGTCACATACAGATACTTGGGGCCTCAGCCATGACAAGTGTCTAGCTCCCAGCAACATTACAGTCATAACCAAAGAGTGGTGAGTGCCACATCTCATAACTCCCCCAGGTCATTTGTAACTTTTGAGGCCACTCTCTTCTTTTAGTCCTAATAGAAGCTGCAGTTCCTGACCTTTGGCCCTTAAGTAAGTTGGTCAATAAATGCTGTCTTAATGCTTTTATTGAGTAGATTTCACCTGGGGGTAGAACAATAGCTCACAGGACAGGTCCTAGACAGGTGGGCTTTTTCTGCAGCCCAGACCCTCTTGAAGTAGCTTGGGTTCAAGATTGAAGCCTCCTTGCCTTTGCTGCTCAAACCCATAGACTTAGGGCTCCTTCTAGGGGAAACTTCACCTCTGTTCCTGGTTGTAAGGCCTCCCTTGAAGCACTATATCTGAGTATAGAAGTACTACATCTGACGTAGACGAATACTGGGGAGGAGAATGGTGAAATCTTGCACAAGTTGGCAATTTCAGGGAAGTAGAAGAGAGTGACTTTCTCAGTAGGCATGCTCTTAACTAGTTCTAAGTAATGATTTGGAATGTTTTCATGTTTTACCTAGCTCAGTTTGGTCTTTGGTTTGGATCTTTCTTGTCCTCTGATTTTCAGAAAAGAATGTCCATTCTGGTCTCAGCTCCTCCTCCTTAGGGCATTTGGATCACTCACTGAGCTCCCAGGCAGAAACAGAGTGGAACTTGAGTTGGACCTGCCATGTACTGTGTGACCTTGAGCAAGACCGTTGACTGCTTGAACCTGAGTTTATTGAACCTGTGAAATGGGAATAAAATTATTCACCCAGTTTAGATCAGGATCAAACTACCATCACCACCACCACCACCACCACCATCACCACCATCACCACCACCACTACTAACCCTCTTAACCGAGTGAGCATTTATTGTGTCCAGTGTTGTGCTACGAACTTTACATGAATTATCCCATTTAATCCCTACAATGATTCTATGATATAGATGTTAGCAGCACTCTGAGTTTGCAGGTAAGGAAATAGAAAATGCCAATATAATTTGCCCAAAGCCATGCAGTTAGGAAGTGATGGGACAGAAATTTGAACACAGGCAGACTGACTCCAGGGTCTGAACTATTCAGCCTCTGCTGCAACTTAGGAAGCAGGTCTTGCCTGGTTCCTCATCACTATTGAAACTTCTCTTTATCTTTTCTCGCTGTCTTCCTTCCACTTGGATAACTGGATTCACCTTTCATTAACCTGGATTCAAAGAAGCAAGAAGGCATCTCTTCCATGCACTGACTAACTTCGTTGCAAGCGTGCTGCTTTCATCTTTTGTGTACCTAAAGATGCCTGCAGAACCACATCCAACATGGCTGATACCTGGACCTTTGTGTATCAAATAGCTTGGGAGGGTCATGACTGGGCCTGAGAAGAGGAGACAGTGGCTTGTGGAATGAACTCAATTTGTGCACTTTCCCAGGGCATGGGGGAGGAAATGACAGTGACTTGTTGCTTGGGAAATGCTGATGGGTGGCCTGGTATCTTGGGAATGTGCTCAGGCAACCAGGGGATGTTGTTCCAACCTCTCCTTCTCCTCCTCATTCCTGGGATGGTACTTTGGACTCCTCTTCACTATTCCCAGGCACAAAAGAGAAATATGACTCTGTCGTTTGTCGATACTCTTAGTGCTAATTTAATCACAACAAAACTCTACGTATCGGTATATGCCTGCTTCAATGCTAGTATTTGATGCTATCTAATTTACTCCTGGCAGTCCTGTGAGGGTGCTATCATTACCCTCATTTTATAAACAAACAAACTGAAATTAAGAGATGAAGAAACTTACCCAGGATTGCACAGACAGAAAGGATGAAACTGAGATTCAGATACAGAGCCTGGATTCTTAATCACTGTGTTATATACTGTGACCCATGGAGTCACCCCAGGCACTTCCCCAGTGCAGTGTCCCACTCTGAGTGGGTCCACCCTTGCTTCCTTTGTAGTGAGCTAGGCTGTACACATGGATCCATCACCTGGGTGTCTGGCCCAGGCCAAGTTGCTTGGCTTCTGTTTGTTCATGTGCAGCACCATGGTCATCACAGTGATGTGCTCGCCCCACAGAATCATTGCAAGAACATACCAAGGTAAAGCGATAAAACATACTTTCAACTCACCAGGCATTTGTTCAGCTCCAACTATTAACTAATGCTAAATATTGGAGGAGGAGGTGACACCCAGGGGTTGCAGGCTCAGGGAGCTAGAGATGTGAACTTAGTAGCCCAAATCTGAGGGTGGGTATCTTAAATGCAAATAATATACTTAGGAGAGGCTGAGGAGAAGATAATTCCAACATTGAGAAATATTTGGAACAGGTGGTCTGAGCCAAGGTTTGAAAGACTTCAAAAGGTAGGCGGTAGGATGAACAGGTACTTCCAGGCTATGAGAACAACTTGACTGACTACGAGAAAAGAGGACATAAAGCATGTGAATGGGTGATGTATGTGCAGGAGCCAAGAATCTGTCTTTCTGCCTGTGGGCTCCATAGGATAAGGCAGTGGCCAGTTGTCTTAGCATGTTTAGGCTGCTACATAACGCTGCTATAACAAAACACCATAGATTGGGTGGTTTATAAACAACGGAAATGTATTTCTTATAGTTCTGGGGGCTGGGAAGTCCAAGATCAAGGCAGATTGGATATCTGGTGAGGGCCCGTGTTCTGACTTATAGAAAGCACCTTATTGCAGGGTCCTCACATGGCAGAAGGGGTGAGGGGCCTCTCTGCAGCCTCTTTTATGAGGACATTAATTTCATTCCCATAGGCTCCACCCTTATGATCTAATCATCTCCCAAAGGCCCCACATCCTAACACCTTCACCTTGTGAATTTCTGAGGGACACAAACATGCAGATAATAGCACCATTCTGAAGCCTTTCAAGCCATGCAGAAGACTTCCACATATATTCTCATATTTTCCATGGGAAGCTTCGCCTGGGTTTTACAGAGGAGTGTCATGATGCCATCTATTTTAAAAAGATCCCTTTGGGGCAACACTAGAGAGACTGGGTGAACCCAGAGGCTGGAAGGTGGGTGAGGGGGGTCTTGCAATAATACAGGCAAGAGGTGATGAGGGCCTGAGTTCAGGCAGTCAAAGAAGGGATGGAGAGGAAATGAGGGCTGCTAGAGACATTTGGAAAGGAGAACAGACAAGTATTGGACAGGAAGGAGAAGGAAAGGACTTCTTCCTCCCATAGGGCAGTTCCCCTGCACCCCTGCAATACACACCCAGCTTCCCCACACACTTGGAGGTGGCCTGGCAGAAGAGAGATTGACATTTCTCTTTATCTGCTGGCCTTTTAACTCTGTTCATAGCCATGAAGTCACCTTCTTTTTTTTTTTTTTTTTTTTTTTTGCCTTACTACATTTGGATGATTTTCCTTATAATGATTGTCATAGTCATAACTATAATAATTATAGTGGCAATAATAAGATTCTGAATGGCTCCAGAGCCTTTCTTCCTAGGATGTTAATGTGTGAGGTGGGGGTAGGAGGGTTCCTGGCAGGAATATTATTAGATCCAATTTGCTGAAAAGTCACTCTCTGCCATTTGGAAAGAATCTGGCCAAGAGGGAAGCATTTCTGGCCTTTGGAGCATGGACTTGTTCCCAGATGAGAACCCATGTTCTCCATGAAGACTGGCAAGGGGGTTCCTGCTGCCTGGTGGGGTATGCTAAATGCCGATTGGCTGCTCGTGATGGAGAAAGGTGGAGAGGTATGCTCCAGAGCTTTGCCCCTCTCCCGTCTCTAAGAAGCCTTCCCACAGGTCTCTGGTGGACAATGACTCCTCCGTGCCTGCCTCAGGCTCTCCTATTGTTGGGCTGTATGATTAGCATTTAATCATAATATACAATATATTGTAGCATTTTATGAGTTACAAAACCTGTTTGGCTTCATTATTTCATTTAAACCTCCTAGCCACAGAGGTTAATATTATTATCATTCCCTCTCTACAAATGGATTCATTTGTTCAATGAACTTGCATGGAGCAGATAGTGTTAAATACTATGAAAATGAAGCATATGTGGTTCTGGGGGCTTCACCCCCAAATCAGGTACTCAGAGGTAAAGTGACTAAGACCCCAAGCAGAAGACTCTGATTTTCTTTCTCCAAGTTGCTTGCTCTCTTCTTTATTCAGCATACTTCAACAGCATACTTCATTCAGCATACTTCAACAGCATACTACAGTTACCCTAACTTTTAATTGTTCAAACTACCAAATTTGAGCACTTTACTGCTTCATGTTTCAAATGTTCATTTTGTCTTCCCAGACACATGGGAAAAATCTATATAAAAAAAGGACTTTACCAATTTACTTTTATTTTTATTTTGAGATGGAGTCTTGCTCTGTTGCCCAGGCTGGAGCGCAGTGGCATGATCTCGGCTCACTGCAACCTCTGCCTCCTGGGTTCAGGCAATTCTCTGTCTCAGCCTCCCGAGTAGCTGGGATTACAGGCGCCCACCACCATGCCTGGCTAATTTTTTGTATTTTACAAAAAATACAAAAGACCTGGCCAGGCTGGTCTTGAACTCCTCACCTTGTGACCCACCCTCCTCGGCCTCCCAGAGTGCTGGGATTATAGGCGTGAACCACTGTGCCCAACCAACTTCACTAGTTTGTTATTATTAAAGCCCATTTGTGGTAAGGAGTGTCAAAGTTTGTTTATACTTAGTAGTTACTGATCAACTATTACACAACATGTTTGGGCATACAGTAATTGATCAATAAATATCAGTAAGCCAGAGGGTTCCAACTCTCCAGCCTTAGCTAACTTCCTCTTAAAACACGGGTTTTATCCTCATCGTCAAAAGTATTTCAAGCACTTTATTTCTGGAACATGTGGAATCTTTCCTTTTAAAGTATTTTGTAGCCAGTTGCAAAATGATGCTGATATTTTGGAAGAATATTAATGTGCCCATCATAAAGGGAGAATAGTTGAGGCTAGGTAGGGGAAATTTGAAGTCCCAGCTTCCTTGTCTGGCTTGATGGCTGGTCTTCTTAGCATGTGAGTTAATTAGACAGATATGGAAGGATGGAAAGCCAGAGGCGCCTCACGTTGACGATTTCTCTCCGAGTGCTCTCAGTGCGCAGCACAGAGGATCTCTCGATTGACTGGACGCATGCTCCCACCTTGTGGTGAGATTTGATATCCTCTGGTCTTTTTTCGTCTGTACATCCTGCTGGGGAAAATGCAACCATTTAGTCAGTGAATGTTTGCTGAGCTCCAGGTGTACTCCCAGGCAGTAGGTACTGGGATACAGACATGAAAGAACAGACAGAATTGTCCTCTTGAGGCTTACTTTACTGGATATGTGTGTGTGTGTTGGAGGGGAGGGGGATGTAAGATGGGCAATAAAAAATTTATACAGATAAAAAACAAAGTAATTTCAGATAGTGCGAAATACTATGACAATGAAGCAAAATGATGCAATGGAGTGACTGGGGAGGAGACCTGTTTCAGTTGGGGTAGCCTGGGATGTTTAAGCCCAGGCTGACTGATGCACAGAAGTCAGGCTTGCGATGGAAGTCACCAGGATAAGGGAGCAGAATGAAGGCCGGGGGGATGCCTCATGGTCTGCAATAGGAGAGTGCTTCCAGATGTGGAAGGAGAGGCAGACAGGGGCCAAGTCACAGACACTGCCTTCTAGGCCACTCCAGGTGCCATGGAAACCACTGAGAGGATTGAAGAAAAGGGACACTAGTTTGAAGTGCCTCGTGAAGCTCTTTGCATTTGTGTGTGGACTTTTCCTTAAACGCAACAAGCATGTGCAAAGGGCCATGCTTGGAGCTTCCCCAGAAATTGTGAGCAGAGACTCACACTGTATCACTGCACCTTAGAATCATCTGGGGAATTTTACAAAATCCTGTTGCCTGGGCCCTACTCATGAGCAGTTAAATCAGAAGAGCTGCAAATGAGGCCCAGGCCTCAGTGTTTTTTGTTTGTTTGTTTTTGTTTTTGTTTTTGAGACGGAGTCTCGCTCTGTCGCCCAGGCTGGAGTGCAGGGGCGTGATCTCAGTTCACTGCAAGCTCCACCTCCCGGGTTCACGCCATTCTCCTGCCTCAGCCTCCCGAGTAGCTGGAACTACAGGCTCCCGCCACCACAGCCGGCTAATTTTTTGTATTTTCAGTAGAGACTGGGTTTCACCGTGTTAGCCAGGATGATCTCGATCTCCTGACCTCGTAATCCAACCACCTCGGCCTCCCAAAGTGCTGGGATTACAGGCGTGAGCCACCGCGCCCAGCCGGGCCTCAGTGTTTTGTCCAATCTTTTCAAGTGATTCTAGGGCACCACCAGAGCAGAGAACTGCTATGTGTCAGGGAACCTCAGCCTCAGCTGAGGGTGGTCAGTGAGAAGCTGACTGTTAAGGCAAGGGCCCCCAGAGGGTCTGGGGTGAGGTTCTGAGACAGTGGACTTTGGTGTGTGGGGCAGATCATCACAATTATGGGCTACAAAGGGAGAAGGAGAAGAAAGCAGATTGCAGAGCCCTGGGTATGGATGAGAAAGAGCTGGCTGAGTCTGGACTCACTTGGCTGCATGATTGTATTTATGACAATGGAGGGAAGACAGCTGCAGAAAGGGCACAGATTGGAAGGGCGTCAGAGAGAGGCCCGCAGAGGCAGACTGGTGGCTCTGGGGCAGGTTTGGAGGCTCCTGATGGCACCTACCCTGTCTTAACGCTTCCCACCCTAGCCTGTCTCCTAGAGGCCTCTTCTCTCCTCAGAAGTCTCCAGTCAACACAGTTGCATAGAAACTCAAGGCTGGATGCTAGGCTCGCGTCTTCTTGGCAGCTGGCCTTATACGGGCACACTGTCACAGGCACCAGGCTCTGTGTGGATAAATCTTCAATGCTGTTACGGTTGCACGCGACAGCAAACCCAACCCAAAACTGCTTAAGCAAAGAGGACATGTACAAGCTCAAGTGACAGAAGAGTTTAGGGCGTGGATTTAGGTGTGGCTTGATCTGGAACCAACCACTATGGCCAGGGGAATGCAAGGCTCTGATTGGTCCAGCCTGAGTCACATTCGGCCAATGGGAGCGGGGAATGGAGTCAGCACCACCGTCCAAAGAAAAGGTCTGAGAGTCAGGACAGCAGAAGAAAATCATCGGTGCTCTTACGTCAAAACTGGGGCAAAGGCATGCTTGTATGACCCGAACCAGGCAATGTTTCCTGTGGTAGTCCCATAACATGGAGGAAGAGTGTGGAGCTTATGATCTTCCTTGTCTGATTAATCAGTTTTGGTAACTGGAGGCTGGGCTTGGTGATTTTGAGGTGCAAAGGCTGTGGCCTCAAGTTTGTTGAGGGATGATGTATTAGTCCATTTGCTGCTGATAAAGACATACCCAAGACTGGGCAATTTACAAAAGAAAGAGGTTTAATTGGACTTACAGTTCCACGTGACCGGGGAAGGTCTCACAATCATGGTAAAGGGTGAAAGGCACTTCTTACAGGTCAGTGGGCAAGACAGAATGAGGAAGAAGCAAAAGTAGAAACCCCTGATAAACCCATCAGATCTCGTGATACTTATTCACTATCATGAGAATATTATGAAAAAGACCGGCCCCGTGATTCAATTACCTCCCACTGGGTCCCTTCCACAACACGCGGGAATTCTGAGAGATACAGTTCAAGTTGATATTTGGGTGGGGACACAGCCAAATCATATCATTCTGCCCCAGGCCCCTCCCAAATTTCATGTCCTCACATTTCAAAACCAATCATTGCCTTCCCAACAGTCCCCCAAAGTCTCAACTCATTTCAGCATTAACCCAAAAGTCTACAGTCCAAAGTCTCATCTGAGACAAAGCAAGTCCCTTCCGCCTATGAGCCTGTAAAGTCAAAAGCAAGTCAATTGCTTCCTAGATACAATGGGGGTACAGGCATCGGGTAAATACAACCATTCCAAATGGGAGAAATTGGCCAAAACAAAGGGGCTACAGGGCCCATGAAAATCTGAAATCCAGCAGGGCAGTCAAATCTTAAAGTTCCAGAATGATCTCCTTTGACTCCATGTCTCACATCTGGGCCATACTGATGCAAGAGGTGGGTTCCCATGGTCTTGGGCAGCTCCACCCCTGTGGCTTTACAGGGTGCAGCCTTCCTCCTGGCTACTTTCATGGGCTGGCATGCAGTGTCTGAAGCTTTTCCAGGCACACGGTGCAAGCTGTCTGTGGATCTACCATACTGGGGTCTGGAGGATGGTGGCCCTCTTCTCACAGCTCCACTAAGGAGTGCCCCAGTAGGGACTCTGTGTGGGGGCTCTGACCCCACATTTCCCTTCTGCACTGCCCTAGCAGAGGTTCCCCATGAGGTCCCCACCCCTGCAGCAAACTTTTGCCTGGGCATCCAGGCATTTCCATACATCTTCTGAAATCTAGGAGGAGGTTCCCAAACCTCAGTTCTTGATTTCTGTGCACCCACAGGCTAAACACCACTAGGAAGCTGCCAAGGCTTGAGGCTTGCACCCTCTAAAACCATGGCCCCGAGTGCTACATTGGCCCCTTTCAGCCATGGCTGGAGTGGCTGGGACACAGGGCACCAAGTTCCTAAGATGCACACAGCATGGGGACCCTCGGCCTGGCCCCAGGAAACCACTATTTCCTTCTGGGCCTCCTGGCCTGTGATGGGAGGGGTTGTTGTGAAAGTCTCTAACATGGCCTGGAGACATTTTCCCCATGGTTTTGGGGATTAACATTAAGTTCCTTGCTACTTATGCAAGTTTCTGCAGCCAGCTTGAATTTCTCCCCAGAAAACAGGTTTTTCTTTTTTATCGCATCATCAGGCTGCAAATTTTCCAAACTCTTATGCTCTGCTTCCCTTATAAAACTGAATGTTTTTGATGGCACCAAATCACCTCTTCAATGCTTTGCTGCTTAGAAATTTCTTCTGCCAAATATCCTAAATCATCTCTTTCAAGTTCAAAGTTCCACAGATCTCTAGGGCAGTGGCAAAATGCTGCCAGTCTCTTTGCTAAAGAGTCACCTTTACTCCAGTTCCCAACAAGTTCCTCGTCTCCATCTGAGACCACCTCAGCCTGGATTTTATTATCCATGTCGCTATCAGCATTTTGGACAAAGCCATTCAACAAATCCCTAGGGAGTTCCAAACTTTCCCATATTTTCCTCTCTTCTGAGCTCTCCAAACTATTCCAACCTCTGCCTGTTACCCAGTTCCAAAGTTGCTTCCACATTTTCAAGTATCTTTTCAGCAATGCCCCACTCTACTGGCACCAATTTACTGTGCTAGTCAGTTTTCACGCTGCTGATAAAGACATACCTGAGACTGGGCAATTTACAAAAGAAAGAGGTTTAACTGGACTTACAGTTCCACGTGGCTGGGGAAGGTCTTACAGTCATGGGGGAGGGCAAAAGGCACTTCTTACATGGTGGTGGAGAGAGAGAATGAGGAAGAAGCAAAAGTGGAAACCCCTGATAAACCATCAGATCTCATGTGACTTATTCACTATCACGAGAATAGTACGGGAAAGACTGGCCCCCATGATTCACTTACTTCCCACTGGGTCCCTCCCACAACACGTGGGAGTTCTGGGAGATACAATTCAAGTTGAGATTTGGGTGGGGACACAGCCAAACCATATCAGATGGGAAGAGTTACTTGTCATAAGTAGCATACTGGACAATGACAGGCTGTCTTGCTTGCTTTCCCACACTGCCTCCTTCCCCAAATAGAGTAATTCCCTTTGGGAAAGAAATGTCTGTCCACAGTGACAAAGAGTGGAAAGAGGAAAAGATTACCCCCTGTCCCCACCTCCATTCCATGGTTGGGGTGATATGTAGAGACATTTTCTTTTAAAATAGACTTTATTTTTTAGAGCAGTTTTAGATTCTCAGCACAATTGAGCAGAAGAGACAGAGGTTTCCCTGCTTCCACCCCACAACTTCCCCATTATCAACACTGCACACCAGAGTGGTACGTTTGTAACAATCCATGCACCTGCACTAACACATCATTATCACCCAAACTCTGCAGTTTCCATTAGCGTTTACTCTTAATGTACATCCTATGAGTTTGGATGTACACGTATTTACCTTACTGTTTCCTTAGTTTTGCCTTTTCCAGAATATGGTATAGTTGAAATCATATACTATGTGCTCTTTTAAGACTGGTTTATTTCATTTAATTATAGGCACTTAATTTTGCTTCACATCTTTTCATGGTTTGATAGCTCATTTCTTTTCAATGCTGAAAAACATTCTGTTTCCTGGATAGACTGGTTTATTTATCCATTCACTCATTGGAGGACCTCTTGGTTGCTTCCAAGTTTTGGCAATTATGAATACAGCTGCTATAAACATTCACGTGCAGGTTTTGGTGTGGTCATAAGTTTCAATCCCTTTAGAGATTGTGCCAGGTAGTACAACTGCAGGATCATATGATAAGAGCATGTTTAGTTTTGTATGAAAATGCCATACTGGCTTCCAAAGTTGGCTGTATCATTTTGCATTCCCACCAACAAGCAATAAGAAGAGCTCCTGTTGCTCTACATATTCACAAATATTTGGTATTGTTTGTGTTCTGGATTTTGGCCATTTTAATAAATGTGTAGTGGTATCTCAATTGTTGTTTTAATTTGAAATTCCCTAATGACATATGAGGTGAAGCATTTTTTCATATGCTTATTTGCCATCCATATATCTTTGGAGAGGTTAAGATCTTTAGCCTATTTTTAAAAAGGATTTTTTTATTTTCTTAATATTGAGTATATTTTGGATAAGAGTTCTTTATCAGAAATGTATTTTGCAAATATTTTGTCCTGGTCTGTGGCTTGTCTTCTCATTATCCTGGTGTAGACAGTTTTTACGTAAGTGGAGCTAGTTCCTTTATATCAGTCATAAACAGTATATGTCTGTTGCCAGGGCCAGAGTAATGGGGATATAATGCACACACAGACTGGATTGGGTGACAGTAAGGTGTTATGCAGAACTTATGAGAATAGGAAGCAAGTCTCAGTTCAGTATGTTAAAAGAAAACCTTTAAACAAATTAAATTTAACAGCATTTCACTGAGCAAAGAATGAGAGAATCAGCAGTTGCAAAAAAAGAATAGGTTAGGAGTGACTCCAGGGCTGCCACATGGCCGGCTAATATTTGTGGGCAGAACAAGGAAAGTGATGGATAGAAAATGGAAGTAAGATACAGAAACAGCTGGATTGGTTTCAGCTCAGCATTTGCCTTATTTGAACATGATTTGAACAGTTGGCCACCTGTGATTGGCTGAAACTGTGTGATTGATACAAGAGTAAGTTACAATTTGCCCACACATCCAGTTAGGTTATACTTCACAATATTTGAAGAAACCTTTAGGCTGAACTTAAATTATGTAAGGAAGTAGCTTTAACTTAATTTAACAATTTCCCCTTTAGGAAGTTGACCAAAACTCTAGGCATTGACGTCAACAGTTAGGGCCAAGGGGAGTTCCCTATTATGCTGGAATCTCCTATTTTTAAGAGAACAGAAACTGGTCTGTTTGGAGATCTATCTGCTTTCTTAAAGTTTCAGTTTGATTACATGGCACTTAGCATGCATGACTCTATTTTAGTTTGATCTGGTCTGTTGGGGCCTAGTGCAGTAGCTCAGCCCAGAACAATGCCTTTCATAATTTTGTTTAACTAGTACCAGCAACTAGAATCATCAGATTGGAAGGCGGTGAGCAGCAGTACCTGTTGGAGGTAGCTGCATGGTGGCTGTGGGCTGAGTAGAGTCTAAATGAATGCAAGGTCACATAAGGGTTATCACATAGTAAGGGCTCAAGCTGTCATTATTGATGAGTTCCTTTTTGTTGGAATCCCTAAGAAATCTTTTGGGCTTCGCCAAATTAGAAATTAAATATCTAGATTCTTCCTGCTAATATCTGTGAATCCAGAACTGTGGTCAGAAGTCCAGAAAACAAATGAACATTGACAGATTTCAAAAGAGTGAAAGAGGGAAAGAAAGAGGGGACGAAGAAAGGAAGGAAGGGAGAAATGAAAAATATAAAGAAAAGAAAAGAAAGAAATGAGAGGAGAAAATCAAGCCAGCAGGGAAGCAAGAAATGAAAGGTTTTCTAGCAGGTTTTTCAGATGCAGAAGTGTGTGGTTTAAAATCACAGGTGAGCACAGCAGACCCTTGTCCCCACACCTCCCCTTCTCCCCGACTCCCTTGGCTTAGGGTCAGCTCCCCACCCACTCTGTTGCCTGGGAAAGGAAAAAAGGCTGGAGGAGAGGGGACTTTGTCCAAGACCCCATAGCTAGCTCAGGGCACTTGTGCCCCTTCTACTTAAAAGCTCTAAAGAATTAATTTCTTGGATGTAAGACAGTTAGAACCTCAGATACAAACTGGAAGTCATTAACACTTGAGTAAAGGTAACAGGGAACAGATTTGCAGAATTAAGGAAAGAGACCAAGCAGAAAGCAGATAACTTAATTTCCATAATTTAGACAGTCGTGCAATTTAACAACCAGATTGACAACCTTGAAAGTTTGTCAAGGAGAAATAACTCCCAAGTCATAAGAACTCATAAAGCAAAGAAGAATGGAAAGTACAACAAACTAATTTTCTTTTTGGAAGTAAACAATACCTTTTTCAAAATAATCAGATTCATAAAATTATTGTCCTTGCCAGTTTGTCACATGCAGGAGGAGAAGTCCAATAAAGCATAGGTACAGCACCTGGACTGATGGACATTAGCACTTGGCTTCCTATTCTCCCTGCTGGTACTCTGCGGTGTCTTTTCTTTTCTTTTTTTTTTTGAGAAAGGGTCTCGCTCTGTTGCCCAGGCTGGAGTGCAGTAGCACGATCTCGGCTTACTGCAACCTCCGCCTCCTGGGTTCAAGTGATTCTCCTGCCTCAGCCTCCTGAGTAGCTGGGATTACAGGTGCCAGCCACCATGCCTGGCTAATTTTTGTATTTTTAGTAGAGATGGGGTTTTGCCATGTTGGTCAGGCTGGTCTAGAACTCCTGACCTCAGGTAGTCTGCCTGCCTCGGCCTCCCAATGTGCTGGGATTGCAGGCGTGAGCTACTGCGCTCGGCCATCTTTTCCAGTGGTTTATTCTGCCCCTGGCCCATGGTCTCAAGTGCTGGAAAGGATTTTCCCCACATTTATAGCTCTGAAGTTGAGCTTTTTATCACCTCGCTTTTTGGCTCCCAAGTCTTGCTGCTGGGTAGAATTACCTGGAAAGCTGGCTGCACCTCCCAGATATTTGATTCTTGTGGTGGCATCCAGCTTCTGATCTTTTAAAAAGTCTACAAGGTGATTCTTATGTACATTGAGAACTCTTCCAGCCCCCAGTGGAGCCCTAGTCTTTATAATTCACAGTTGCCAAAGTTCAGGGACATTTGTGGAGCTTTCTGAGGGCTTCCTTAGAAAATGCGTGAAGAGGCATTTTCTTGTATTCCCCCTAAAAGAAGTCTCACAGTCTCTCCCACCTCCTATCAAGAGATCCTACTGAGAATTCCTGTAGGCAGAAGCTGGGGCACCTGTTTTTGTTGGTTTGTTTCAAATAGGCTTATAGTGTAATATCAATTTCTAGAACAAAAAATGAACATATTAACAAGGAAAATGCATACTCAATAACTTCATCATCACAAATTTTAAAAACAAGGCACTAAACTATCTAGAGAAGATAAATATACCAGAGATAAAAACCAATAACCATGTAGGATGTGGGAAAAGCGGTGGCAAGTATAAAATACGTGGCATTAATCCAGACTTTAAAAAAAAAAATAAAATTCTACATGGAACACCTAACCAAGTAATTAAAACAGTTAGAAAATCAACAAATCAGTCAGCCCTTGCAAAAAACTAATTGTAACTGAAAAAAATCATAAAAATATTGCAACAAAGTAGTATTAACTGAAGAATGGAAACTAGGATTTGATTCTTTATTTTAAAGTATAGTCATACTGGACCAGCCAACATGAAAAAGACCAGCCAACATGAAAAAGAAGGAGTATTGCGAGAATATTACTTGTTTTTAAAGGGCAATTATCATCATTTAAAAAGGCAATTATCGTCAGAGAAAAACCTTATTTTCCCCAATGTTATATACCAGTTAATGTAACAGTAACTATTATGAAATACCGTGCAAATTAAATTAAACCACAAACTGCCAGAAAGTCCAGCTTTTGATTAAGGAAGACACACACCATTCAAATGTGGAGGTTCTAGGAATAAGAGAGCCTGGTGCTTAGGGGAGCCAGGACTGCTGGTGCTGCCAACTCCTCTCTCCCTGACAGAAGGTGCTGTCGATCATTCTCCTTTCCTGTCTGGTGGTTGCTGGGGCAGGTCCCCACACTCAGCAGTGGGGTTCTATGGAGGAGGGTGTGTCACTGGTGACTCCATTCCCACAGTGCTCCTTTCTATCTGTGCTTCTCCCTGGGTTCTAAGGCCTGAGCTCAGACCCCCACTGCTTCCCATATCCCAAATGCTGTGGCCAGATTGACCCTTCGTCTAACCGCTTAGGAACCTCAGTCATTGTCCCCGTTCTCTCTCTCAAATACCCCAACGACTAGAAGCCGCTGTCCCTTTCCACACATACACCACTCCCAACCACAGCCTTCCTTCAAAATCCTTCTCTGAGTAGCTTCTTAGTCTTCACCCACCTGCCATTTAGTTCCTCTGACCCTTCTGTACAACATTTATTACCGCAAACCTTCAAGACACAGGTGACTTGTGTACTGACCTTCTGTTTACTGATCCTTTGGTGAATATTGATTACTCCTTCCAAGAGTAGACAGGATGACTCTATATTTTCTTGTTTGATCAGAGGTAAGGACCAAAAAGAAACATTATATAAAGTCCATTGTCCTATGCATTATGGGAACTGTGATTATAGAATATATTGTCCCTGATTTCTGGAAGTTCAGAGTCTTGAATAAGATGTAACACATGTATACAAAACAACTACTACAGAAATGCAACTCAGATGTGTTGGTAAGATCACAAGTTCTTTGAGAGTTCAGGAGAAGATAGTGGCTGGGAAGTGAAAGAAGACCCCATGGAAAGGTAGCGACTAAGCTGGGTCTAAATAATTTTTAGATTGCTCTGTAATCCCAGCACTTTGAGAGGCCGAGGCGGGCGGGTCATGAAGTCAGGAGATCGAGACCAACCTGGCTAAGACGGTGAAACCCCGTCTCTACCAAAAATACAAAAAAAAAAAAATTAGTCAGGCATGGTGGCGGGCGCTACCCGGGAGGGTGAGGTGGGAGAATGGCGCGAACCCGGGAGGCAGAGCTTGCAGTGAGCCGAGATCGCGCCACTGCTCTCCAGCCTGGGCGACAGAGTGAGACTCTGTCTCAAATAATAATAATAATAATAATAATAATAATAATAATAATAATAATAATATTTAGATTGTTTAGAAATTTTCGTAGTATTTAAATATGCCAGAGATAAAAACCAATAACCGTATAGGAAAGAAAAATATAACTGGTTGGGATCCCAGACAGATGTTGATATAGTTTGAGTACGTGTCCCCACCAAATGTCATGTTGAATTCTAATCCCTAGTGTTGGAGGTAGGGCCTGGGGGGAGGTGTTTGGGTCCTGGAGGTGGATCCCTCATGGCTTGGTCCTGTTCTAGGGGTAGTGAGTGAGTTCTCGTGAGATCCCATTGATTAGGTTTGTGGCTCCTCCCCCACACTCCCTTTCTTGCACCTGCCTGCACCATGTGACACACAAGCTCCCACTTCACCTTCTACCATGTGTAGAAATTTCCTGAAGCCTCCCCAGAAGCTGATGCTGGGTCTGTGCTTCCTGTACAGCCTGCAGAACCGTGAGCCAATTAAACCTCTTTTCTTATAAATTATGCAATCTCAGGTATTTCTTTTTTTTTTTTTTTTTTTTTTTTTTTTTTTTTTTTTTTTGAGACAGAGTCTCGCTCTGTCGCCCCCAGGCTGGAGTGCAATGGCATGATCTTGGCTCACTGCAACCTCTGCCTCCCAGGTTCAAGCAATTCTCCTGCCTCAGTCTCCTGAGTAGCTGGGATTACAGGCGTGTGTCATTATGTCTGGCTAATTTTTGTATTTTTAGTAGAGATGGGGTTTCACCATGTTGGGCAGGCTGGTCTCGAACTCCTGACCTCATGATCCGCCTGCCTTGGCCTCCCAAAGTGCTGGGATTACAGGCATGAGCCACTGCGCCCAGCCAATCTCAGGTATTTCTTTATAGCAACACAAGAACAGCCTAATAAGGATGTAGAGACAGGAAACAGTTGCGATAGCACGAGTGTAGAAACTCTGTAATTATGCTCTCTAAAGGGGATATTTTTCCAACATTTAGAAAAATAATATGCTGAGATGAGAGTTTTACATTCTATAATGAAAGACATTAGAGGAGATAGTATAAAACAAATATTGTCTGACCTGTGGATAATTCAGTCCCAGGATAGTACATGTCTAGACTCTCATTCCATTACCAGTGAGTGGTGCAGACTGTGCCTCCTGACATTGACTGTCCCACATCACTTTTCTCATATTAAATCTTAAAGCCAGATAAGGGAAAAGTATGAGCAAACACCTGGAAACTGAAAAAAAAAAAGGGGTGTATCTAGGGGACAGTGAATGAGTAAACCATTTTATCTTGAGAAAACACCTCCATGAGGGAATAGTAGAGAAGGCAGGGGTGTTTTGTGGCCATCATTTTGATTTCACTCTTTGATATCATTACCTTTTGGTTGGTGCATTTTTCTAGTCTGTTTTGATGCCAAGGCAATAAATTTTTCTTTTGGATGTTGTGTTTTTTAGCTGTAGAATTTTCATTTAATTTTTAATTTTAATTTTTATAATTACTATTTTTCTTGATTTTTCCCCATGTGTTGTTCACTTATAGTCACTCTTTCCTTTAAATTTCTGAACATGCACACTTATGATGCTATTTTAAAATCCTTGTTTGCTAATTCCAATATCATGTCTGTGTCTGTTTCTACTGACTCTATTTACTCTTGGTTATGGGCTAGATTTGCCTGCTTCTTCAAATATCTAATAATTTTATATTGTGTCCTGGCCACTGTGGAGGCTATGTTTCTGAGAGTCTGGACTTTATTGTTTTCTTTTAAGGAGTCATGGATTTTGCTGATTTATTGGTGGATAAGCTTGATCTTATTGAGTGTTTGTTTTAGACTTTATTAAGGTCAGTCTGGAGTTTCCCTTATTCTATGGCGAGAGAAATCCTATTCTTAAGTCATGGCCTTTATTGGAATCTAAATTGAATGCTCAGGGTGTTCAGCAACATCTCTTCACTCTACATGGTCAGAACTCCAGATTCTTTCAGTACATGTGATCTCTGGAATCTGTTCAGCTCCATACCCCAGCCTCCCCATGGCTGTTCTCTGCTAGGCTTTAGTATTTGGCCAAAGATTTAAGATAACCCATGTCCAGGGGATCACAAGCCTGCATTGTCTATTATCCAATATCTGAAAAACAGTTACTTTACATATTTTGTTTAGTTTTGATAGTTTACCACAGTAAGAGGGTACTCTTACTCTTACTCTTTCACAGTAAAAGTGTACTTTTACTCTCTCATGCCTGGAACCAGAGGTGTCTCACTTCTAAAACTCTTTTGTGAAGCTGGTACTGCATAGCCAGGTACCATGGTGCTAGCCAAATTCCCAAGAATAACAGTGCCTCCTTCTTTGAGATTCCCAGCAGGATCTGTTTTCTTGCATTAATTTAGATAAACCAATTATTACCCTTGGTTTACACCAATACGAACAAGTAATGTGAGAGTTCTGCCCTACTGTCTGTCAGTCTGACAATAACTAGGACACTATTCCACTCTGGGCACCACACTTTTAGTGAGACATAGGCCACCCAGAGCTCAACCAGAGGAGAATGGCTAGAATGTTGCAGGTAATCTATTTTGTTGTGGATCAGTAAATAGAACTGGGGATACTTAGACTAATTTCTTTAACCTTAGTCTTTGTTTTACGAATCATTGTGATTGCTACCAGATTTTATTCTGTCAGCAAAATATTTTTAGGGATGACTATTCTCTTCCTTGCCATTTCTAATTTATGAATTATTTAATGATATATATTTAACTATGTGGCTTCTCAATTTTTGTCTGGAAAATTACAAATTCCTTTTCAGTTTTTTTCCATTTTATTTTATCCTCTTTGAGCTCTTTGTTTTCTGAGTTAAATTCTTACTAATTTACTCTATAGCGTAAAATAATTGTGAAGAATTTCTTCCAATTCTTTGTGGCATTATCACCAAGGCTGACTCATCCATTGAACACAGTAGGCCCAGTGTCTAAGACCCACAGTACTTTCAGAGGCCCAGGAAAGTGTTTTAAATTTTATTTCTTTTAAAGGCAAAAAATAAAGATAATAATATTAATATATAATATTAAGTTCATATTGGATTATATTAAATAACGAAAATGAGGTCATAAAATATTGTTTTTATGGAAGAGGAAGCTCACATAGACAAAAGTTCCTAGAAGCCACAGAAGTCATAGCATGACCCTGATTATCATCCGTAACAAAATTAACATGAATTCCTTAGTATCATTTATTACCTTTCTCATAATTGAATTTTCCCAACTATATGAACATTATTGTTTTATAGTTGGCTTGTGAGCCCAGGATCCAAATAAAGGGTAACACATGAAATCTGATTGTCATGACCCTTGAGTCTCTCATCTAAACTGGCCCCTCTGCCCTCTTAGCCTGACGCCACTAACCTGTTGCAGATATTAGGCTAATTGTCCTAACCAGATTGGTTTTCCTACCACTTAGATTTGTGTATTTGCTTCTTTGTGGTGTCATTTACTCTCTTTCTTTATTTCCTATATTTCTTGTAATGGAAGCTAGTACTACAGGCTTAATGAATCCATGTGTAACTTCTGTGGAAAGGACGTTTTACAGAAAATGAGGTGTGCTTCATGCCGGTTCATAACGGAGACTTCCAATGTCTGTTAACTCCAATTTTATTGGTGCTAAGGTTTATTGCATTCAGGTAGTCATAGATTATTTAATACATGAATATTGCTGCCTGAACATTTTTTATTAGGCTGTGAAATTGGTGAGTTTTTAACTTCATTCTTGTCATAGCGGTTTTCCTCATCATCTAGAAGTATTTTGTTCTTTACAATTCATACATAAAAGTTTGGATAAATGCTTATTTTTTCCCTTAAAATGCCAATTTTTATATTAAGTAGTTGGTATACTTGTTGCTTTTATTGGTATTCAATGGATTATTACCTTTTCCTGCTGTAAAGCTCACAAGTAACCACAATGTGATGGCAATGAGTTGCCCATAACTGGCGTGTGGTCCTCTTAATCCTGGTCTCCAATGAAAGGAAACAGGGTTCCTTAAAGGATAAGGAATCAAGTTTCCTTGAGAGAATGGCTGATTCTGGGTCTAGGGCAGGAAATATACAAGATGATCCTGGAATATTTTCCATGCCAGAAAGCTAGGAAGTTATCAAAGTGTAATGGCTTGAGTCAAAAGGACATAGGGGCTCTTACTAGTCAAAAATAGATCAACAAGAACATAAAAAATAAAAACGATTAAAATAAATTGACTCAGGCTAGGCACAGTGGCTCATGCCTGTAATCCCAGCACTTTGGGAGGCCAAGGCAGGCAAATCACCTGATGTCAGGAGTTCGAGACCTGCCTGGCCAATATGGGGAAACCCCATCTGCACTAAAAATACAAAAATTAGCTGGGCGTGGTGGCAGGAGCCTGTAATCCCAGCTACTTGGGAGGCTGAGGCAGGAGAATCACTCAAACCCGGGAGACGGAGGTTGTAGTGAGCCACGATAATGCCATTGCACTCTAGCCTGGGTGACAGAGCGAGACTCTGTCTCCAAAAAACAAACAAACAAAAACAACAAAAACCCTCATAACCAGACCAAAAAAAAAAAAAAAAAAACAAAGAAACAAACAAAAAGAAACAAACAAAAACAAATTAACTCTATGGGATCTCTGAGCTCACTGCTCACTGTAGAGAAGGAAGGAGGGAAGAAGAAAGACAGAGAGAGATAGAGACACACAAATAGAGACAGAAAAAGAGAAACACAAAGAGAGAGAGAGAAAAATATATACATGCATATGCAGTTATGCATGTTTTCAGACGATACCAAATTTCCCTTCCATAAGAGTTGCACCATTTTGTATTCCTTCCGGCAATTTATAAGAATTCCCGTTGTCAAACAGGCTCACCATCTGAATAAATTATTGAATTTTAATAGCTGAGAAGTGGCATCTTGGTATAGTTTTAATTTGTACTTATCTTCTTATGAGCCATGTTGTGTAACTTTTCACATGTTTAAGATCAACTTCCAATTATTTTCCTATGAAATCTCTATGCATATCTTTTTAATTTTTTCAATATATTGTTGGTCTATTTCCCCTAAATTTGTAAGAACTATTTGTATATTAGAGATAGTACCCCTTTGTCTATGATATAAGTTGCAAACCTATTTTCCCACTCTTTCATTTGTTTTTCAACTATGGTGGTAGTCTTTTCTTGCCATGAGAAAAATTTTGTTTTTGCTTGTCTTTGATGTAGTTGAATTGACCAGTCTTTTAAAATTGTGTCATTATTAGATGAGCGACTTTCTTTCCAGCTCACCTGAGAATGTGTTTTCCTGTTGAGCTATGGAATGGGCGTTGGGTATTTTGTGTTCCTCTGAGAAAGAGAAGAGGTGTGTCTGGCAGCCAGGAGTTGACCTGGTCCTATCTGCTGGGTGTTGGCGATGCTGTGAGCTGCCTGGCACCCACAGATGGATGTTGATGTTCTCTTGTGAGCATCAGCAATTTCATAGAACATCTCCTTCAGACCATATCATTTTGTGCCAATACTTAAGACAAAAACAAGACCTCTTCATAATCATGTCTGAGCATGAGCAAAGCATGAGCATTGTTCAGATCACACAAATGACCAATGTCTCTCTATTCTAGCTAAGATGAATAACTACTGTTTCTTCACCAACTACAGCTTTAACGTTCTTTACCAATTATAGCCTTAACCCATTAAGGCTTTAATACAGGTTTACATCTTTCTACATAAGATTTATTAAGATACCCTATTACGCTAGAATTACCCCCAATTCCTGACAACACCCAGTTCAGATCAAAGCCCCATTTCCTGAAACCCTTCTCCCAGATTATTGCCTAACACTACCCCAAATCCTCTAAGTCCTTTCTGACATCCTCTTAGTGAGACACCCCACCGTTCCCTGTAGTTTGTATTCTCCCTCACTTAACCAGTAATAACCTCACTTCTTCAACTACAGGTGTGTTCCTGGTGGCCTTTGATTGGAGCCCATTAACATCTCCACTTTTCCTGGTAGCCCAAGGGAATGGGGAGACAGTAGAGGGAAAGGGCAGCTGAGGGCTCTGAGCATTGGTTAGAATGCTTGGGCAACAGATCGCTCTTCCGGTTTCAGTACCATGAGGACTCCCCTGGGCATTGGTTTGCTTTCCTCATTCCATGTGTAGCCTTGACTTCTCTTAGAGGAAGTGCACCCTGATGTCCCTCCACCTTGTTTCTCCTGTTTCTCCCCAGCATCTGTTTCCACCAGTCACCAGCAAGCGGAGGATCGTATAAGGACACCCTTCAGTGTCAGTGTGCTTCATTATGCTTTTGGATGTGTTAGTAAAAATTCTCCGGATTTGGAGGTGGGTGTGGAGGGTGGGGCTGGAGGACGGAAGAGGAACTTAGGAGCTAAATGCTGACCCTCTCTATTTTGCTCCAGAATGTTCTTTTCCTTTCTCTCTTTGAGTCACCAGTTTCTTTACTGTATTAGGCTATGCCCCTTTCCTTGTTTTATTGCTATCAGTCATTGCTTATTGGCCTTTATAATTTTTTTAGTACCAGGATGGAAAACTCTACAATATTGTTTTTTTCCAATACCGAAGGCGTCTCCTCTCCTCATCCCTGCTCTTTCCCTCCAGTTAAAAAAGATAAATAAACACTCTCTGTTGACAAATGTCTTTTCTCTTTTCTGTAGACTCTGTGAGTTCTCCTTTCAGTTTATGCTTTTGGAAACAAAAGTCCTTGTCTGTCCTTCAGGTGCGAGTCAGAGCCAGATTCCTGACTAAATGGAGGGATGCAATGAGAAATTCATAATAAGAAATTATTTTGTTGTCATCTATCATGTAAGTTTTGTCTTTAGTGGTGGTAACATGTGCTCATTCATCGTAGTTCGTTGCTCGTGCCACGTGGTCATTGTCTCATGCTTATGGGCACCTCTCTTTAGTGACACCCACCTATTGGGGGGAATCCCATTTGTAAATAATTTTGTTGATGTGCTGAATACAAATTGATTTCCTAGAGTCTTGTCTGTTTTGGGCTGCTATAAGAGAATACCATAGACTGAGTAATTTATAAGGAACAGAAATTTGTTTTTTTCACAGTTCTGGAGGCTGGGAAGTCCAAAATCCAGGGGCCATTAGGTTCATTGTCAGGTAAGTGTCTGGTCTCTGTTTCCAAGATGTCGCCTTGAAGGCTGCTTCTTCCAGAGAGGAGGAGTGCTGTGTCCTCACAAGGCAGGAGACCGAAGGGCAAAAGGATTCTAACTTCCTCCGTCATGCCTTTTTCTAAGCAAATCTAATCCTATTCATGACAGCAGAGCCCTCATAGCCTAATCACCTCCAAAAGGCCCCACCTCTTAATACTATCATATTTGTAATATTTGATTCCTGGAGGGGATGCATTCAAACCATAGCAGATGCTCATGAAACTGGAAACAGTGGCTAATGCCGAGAAAGAAGCTGAGGATCTGGGAAGTCTTACTTGTGGATTTTACGTTATATGTTCCATTCCCACATGTAAATAAATGAGTTAATTGAAATGGAAGAAAATAAAGAAAGATGGAGAATTGCGACATGGAACAATGGACAGCAGTCATAACATAATGGGTGAAAACAAAGCTCAAGTACATGAGGATGATTATATCTTTAATGGTATCTTGAAGCTCTCAGAGATCATCAAGTCTTGACTTCTATGTTAAAAAAGAAAGAAAACTGATGACCCATATTTCAACTGAGGCATGTGACATTTCTGCTCTACTCAGCACTCCTCACTTATCTAACAAAAATTCATTACGGCTTCTTATGTTCCAGGCACCGGGCTAGGTGTTTAAGGAAAACAGAGGGAGGAAATAAAAATGTTTATAAAACGGCTTTTGTCCTCAACAGCTCACAGGGCAGACAGACCCTGACAGAATAGAGACCTCATGAAGAGTGGAGATGGGAAGGGCATTCTCTCCACACGCATCCCTGTCCCACCTCGGAGATTTCCTCCTCAGAACGCTCCCTCTTACTGCTTTCCTGTCTCACTCTTTCAAGCTCTCGGTTTAGAAGGTGTTTCCTTAGAGCACCCTTGCTGACCTCTCAAGTCTGGTGAAAGGCCCTTCTCACTGGTGCCTGGATGCCCTGTGTACTCCTGTCATGCACACAACATAGCATAGTAAAATGCCTGGCGTGTGTGTTTGTCTTTTCAATACTCTGAGCTCTGCTCATTGGCAAATCTCAGGACATAGCACAAGCTGTGGCCCCTAAATGTTAACTGAATGAACGAACGGAATCACTGGTGTCTCTTTAGCTTGAAGAATAGAAAGCCCTTGTAGGACAAAGAAGATTGGGAGAAATGTGAAGTCTGGTGTGGACTCTGTCAGAAGGCAGAACTGAACCAATGGATGGACTTAGAGAGACTTCGGTTTCACATCAGGAATGATATCATAGTCAGAACTCACGACACACATAATAGGTTAGATGAGGGAGGAGGGAGTCCTTCATTGCAGGAGTTTTTAAGGTGAATACAAGAAATGGGAGGCATTCGGCCTGGCGCAGTGGCTCACGCCTGTTAATCCCAGCACTTTGGGAGGCCAAGGCGGGTGGATCACAAGGTCAGGAGTCGAGACCAGCCTGGTCAAGATGGTGAAACCCCATCTCCACTAAAATACAAAAATTAGCCGGGTGCGGTGACGGGCACCTGTAATCCCAGCTACTTGGGAGGCTGAGGCAGAAGAATCACTTGAACCCGGGAGGCAGAGGTTGCAGCAAGCCAAGTTTGAGCTACTGCACTCTAGCCTGGGTGACAGAGCAAGACTCCATCTAAAAAAAAAAAAAGAAATGGGAGGCACTGAGTTTCTGGCTCAGTTTGCTGATGCCAGAAACACAGAGATGACTGGTAAGTAAAATCCACTAGAAAGTGCATGACAGGTTTCTTTTTCCTTATATTTTTCTTTTTTAAATACAAAAGTAATACCAGTCCACTGAAAATTTGAAAAGTATATGGCATTAAAAAGAGAAAAATAACATCTGATAATCCAACAAGATAAACTCTCTAAAATTTCTTTTCTCTTTTTAAATGAATATGTTAAGCTTGAAATATAATTTTAAATTTATCTTGATGTTTTACTCAACAATGTAGAAGCATCTTTTATGTCATTATTTTAAGTCACAACCACTTTTAGTGATGATGATTAAAAGAACCATTTGCTTTTTCCTTACTGTCCCGTTTTTAGATTTTTGGCTAGTGTCTAATTTTTCCCTGTTATAAATAATGCTGAGATGAACAGAACATGTAGAGTTCTAATAATTTGCAAGTGAATAGCATATGAAAAACATGAGCAAAAATTTTGCAGTCATAATGACTCAACACAAGTTTTAAATAAATTACTTTCGTTTTGAGCATTCATTCTTAAATATGTTATAGGAAGTAAGTAAGAAGCATTCCTTACTCCTTATTTTGTTTATAAATTAGTGATGAATTGGAAAGGGTAGCTTGCCCCTGGAATTCTCTGATAAGCACAGGTGATGAGGAAAATGGAGAAATCCAAGAATTCCTTTGTCTTTCCTTAAAAGTAGTCAGCTTTAAGTGCAGGGCAGGCGTGCCCTCTAGCGGCCAAATAAAAAATAAAGAAATACAGGAAACCTTCAGCCACGTAACAATCGCACGTCCCCATCTAGTGGCTAACCTGTGTAAATGCAGTTTTTCTAATCACAATAGCGAATGTTACTTGATTTACATTTGTCTCATGAGGTGAAGAACTGGGAGGAATCTTTGAGATCACGTATTTCAACTTCCTCATTTGCAAAGGAAATAAAACAAGGTTTAGAATAGGAAAGTGACTTGCTCAAGTCCACAAAGACGTTACAAACTGAGCTTAGAATAGAACTCTGGTTTCCTGATGCCCTGATTAATGTTTCCTGCTGGCTCAGCCCTAATCCAGACGCTGCAACTATGTCTCTATTTTCCCCTCATCACACTCTTTGGACCTAGCGAGTGTGCATGTGTGTGTTTGTATGGAACTAGGAGGGTGGGCATTACAAGTCCTTCCTTGCGGCCAGGCGCTGTGGCCCAAGTCTATAATCCCAGCACTTTGGGAGGCCAAGGCGGGCGGATCACGAGGTCATGAGAGCGAGATCATCCAGGCCAACATGGTGAAACCCCGTCTCTACTAAAAATACAAAAATTAGCTGGGTGTGGTAGCACGCACCCGTAGTCCCAGCTACTCGGGAGGCTGAGGCAGGAGAATCGCTTGAACCCGGGAGGCGAGGTTGCAGTGAGCTGAGATCACTGCCACTGCACTCCAGCTTGGGCGACAGAGTGAGACTCCATCTCAAAAAAAAAAAAAAAAGTCCTTCCTTGCTAACAATATGAGCCTCATAGAAATAATTTGCTACCCTCAAATGTGCACCACGCAATTTCCCTAGCTACACCCTGTCTCCAACGTGCCCTTGTTCTGGGGCTGCCACACTCATAACCTGTTGCTGCAGACTTGCACAGTCTTTCCCATGGAGAATGAGCCCAGCATCACCTCAGCAGGGCTGCTGCTACTTTGTTTTTACTGGGACTGCAGAAGTGCTTCTCAGAGTCAGGATTTCTCAAAATTAGGTATGCATTTATTTCTCATACCTCTAGATACTGAAAATTTCATCGTGTAACTTCTTTTTTTAAAATTTATTATTATTATACTTTAAGTTTTAGGGTACTTGTGCACAATGTGCAGGTTAGTTACATATGTATACATGTGCCATGCTGGCGCGCTGCACCCACTAACTCGTCATCTAGCATTAGGTATATCTCCCAATGCTATCCCTCCCCCCTCCCCCCACCCCACAACAGTCCCCAGAGTGTGATGTTCCCCTTCCTGTGTCCATGTGTTCTCATTGTTCAATTCCCACCTATGAGTGAGAATATGCGGTGTTTGGTTTTTTGTCCTTGCGATAGTTTACTGAGAATGATGGTTTCCAGCTTCATCCATGTCCCTACAAAGGACATGAACTCATCATTTTTTATGGCTGCATAGTATTCCATGGTGTATATGTGCCACATTTTCTTAATCCAGTCTATCATTGTTGGACATTTGGGTTGGTTCCAAGTCTTTGCTATTGTGAATAATGCCGCAATAAACATACGTGTGCATGTGTCTTTATAGCAGCATGATTTATAGTCCTTTGGGTATATACCCAGTAATGGGATGGCTGGGTCAAATGGTATTTCTAGTTCTAGATCCCTGAGGAATCACCACACTGACTTCCACAATGGTTGAACTAGTTTACAGTCCCACCAACAGTGTAAAACTGTTCCTATTTCTCCACATCCTCTCCAGCACCTGTTGTTTCCTGACTTTTTGATGATTGCCATTCTAACTGGTGTGAGATGGTATCTCATTGTGGTTTTGATTTGCATTTCTCTGATGGCCAGTGATGGTGAGCATTTTTCATGTGTTTTTTTGACTGCATAAATGTCTTCTTTTGAGAAGTGTCTGTTCATGTCCTTCGCCCACTTTTTGATGGGGTTGTTTGTTTTTTTCTTGTAAATTTGTTTGAGTTCATCGTAGATTCTGGATATTAGCCCTTTGTCAGATGAGTAGGTTGTGAAAATTTTCTCCCGTTTTGTAGGTTGCCTGTTCAATCTGATGGTAGTTTCTTTTGCTGTGCAGAAGCTCTTTAGTTTAATTAGATCCCATTTGTCAATTTTGGCTTTTGTTGCCATTGCTTTTGGTGTTTTAGACATGAAGTCCTTGCCCATGCCTATGTCCTGAATGGTAATGCCTAGGTTTTCTTCTAGGGTTTTTATGGTTTTAGGTCTAACGTTTAAGTCTTTAATCCATCTTGAATTAATTTTTGTATAAGATGTAAGGAAGGGATCCAGTTTCAGCTTTCTACATATGGCTAGCCAGTTTTCCCAGCACCATTTGTTAAATAGGGAATCCTTTCCCCATTGCTTGTTTTTCTCAGGTTTGTCAAAGATCAGATAGTTGTAGATAGGTGGCGTTATTTCTGAGGGCTCTGTTCTGTTCCATTTATCTATATCTCTGTTTTGGTACCAGTACCATGCTGTTTTGGTTACTGTAGCCTTGTAGTATAGTTTGAAGTCAGGTAGTGTGATGCCTCCAGCTTTGTTCTTTTGGCTTAGGATTGACTTGATGATGTGGGCTCTGTTTTGGTTCCATATGAACTTTAAAGGAGTTTTTTCCAATTCTGTGAAGAAAGTCATTGGTAGCTTGATGGGGATGACACTGAATCTGTAAATTACCTTGGGCAGTATGGCCATTTTCACGATATTGATTCTTCCTACCCATGAGCATGGAACGTTCTTCCATTTGTTTGTATCCTCTTTTATTTCCTTGAGCAGTGGTTTGTAGTTCTCCTTGAAGAGGTCCTTCACCTCCCTTGTAAGTTGGATTCCTAGGTATTTTATTCTCTTTGAAGCAATTGTGAATGGGAGTTCACTCATGATTTGGCTCTCTGTTTGTCTGCTATTGGAGAGGTTTGTTATCAGTCCACACCCCTAATGCCCTGACACCCATGAGTCCGTTTTAGTGGAATCCAGATCTCTAAGAAACAGATATAAAATATTTGTTCCTATCCAACTTTGATTACTATATTTCCAACTATGTTGCTGTCTGTAAGTAGAGTCTGCATACATGTTTCTGGTTCATATATGCCTAGGGTTCCAGAGCATTACATTTCCATCAAAATGTAGATCCCAAGAATGCCAGAGAGGGTCAGGCAGAGGATAGAACAGAGTGATTTTCAGATACTGCAGTAGGAAGGTGGATCCACCTCTTGGCTGGTACTTGTAACCATGAAGTGTGGGAAAGTAACGACCAGATTGAGTAAATGACCAGAAATTCAAAACTAAGCCATAACAAATTTGTCTATTTCTGCTTTTGCTGACTGCTATCAGGGTTACATCAAAAACAGTATTGCTGGCCACCGCGCCGGCGAGCGCCGCCAGGGAGGCAGCGGCTGGAGGAGCGGACGGGCCCCGCAGGGCCCGAGGGCAAGGAGCAGCCGCCTGCCTTGGCCTCCCAAAGTGCCGAGATTGCAGCCTCTGCCCGGCTGCCACCCCGTCTGGGAAGTGAGGAGTGTCTCTGCCTGGCCGCCCATCGTCTGGGATGTGAGGATCCCCTCTGCCTGGCTGCCCAGTCTGGAAAGTGAGGAGCGTCTCCGCCCGGCCGCCATCCCATCTAGGAAGTGAGGAGCGCCTCTTCCCAGCCGCCATCACATCTAGGAAGTGAGGAGCGTCTCTGCCCGGCCGCCCATCGTCTGAGATGTGGGGAGCGCCTCTGCCCCGCCGCCCCATCTGGGATGTGAGGAGCGCCTCTGCCCGGCCGAGACCCCGTCTGGGAGGTGAGGAGCGTCTCTGCCCGGCCGCCCCGTCTGAGAAGTGAGGAGACCCTCTGCCTGGCAACCACCCCGTCTGAGAAGTGAGGAGCCTCTCCGCCCGGCAGCCACCCCATCTGGGAAGTGAGGAGCGTCTCCGCCAGGCAGCCACCCCGTCCGGGAGGGAGGTGGGGGGGGTCAGCCCCCCGCCCGGCCAGCCGCCCCATCCGGGAGGGAGGTGGGGGGTCAGCCCCCCCGCCCGGCCAGCCGTGCCATCCGGGAGGGAGGTGGGGGGGTCAGCCCCCCGCCTGGCCAGCCGTGCCGTCCGGGAGGGTGGTGGGGGGGTCAGCCCCCCACCCGGCCAGCCGCCCCGTCCGGGAGGTGAGGGGCGCCTCTGCCCGGCCGCCCCTACTGGGAAGTGAGGAGCCCCTCAGCCCGGCCAGCCACCCCGTCCGGGAGGGAGATGGGGGGGTCAGCCCCCCCACCCGGCCAGCCGCCCCGTCCGGGAGGGAGGTAGGGGGGTCAGCCCCCCGCCTGGCCAGCCGCCCCGTCCGGGAGGGAGGTGGGGGGGTCAGCCCTCCGCCCGGCCAGCCGCCCCGTCTGGGAGGTGAGGGGCGCCTCTGCCCAGCCGCCCCTACTGGGAAGTGAGGAGCCCCTCTGCCCGGCCAGCCGCCCCATCCGGGAGGGAGGTGGGGGGTCAGCCCCCCGCCCGGCCAGCCGCCCTGTCCGGGAGGGAGGTGGGGGGGGTCAGCCCTCCGCCCGGCCAGCCGCCCCGTCTGGGAGGTGAGGGGCGCCTCTGCCCGGCCGCCCCTACTGGGAAGTGAGGAGCCCCTCTGCCCGGCCAGCCGCCCCGTCCGGGAGGGAGGTGGGGGGGTCGGCCCCCCGCCCGGCCAGCCGCCCCGTCCGGGAGGTGAGGGGCGCCTCTGCCCGGCCGCCCCTACTGGGAAGTGAGGAGCCCCTCTGCCCGGCCAGCCGCCCCGTCTGGGAGGGAGGTGGGGGGGTCAGCCCCCCGCCCGGCCAGCCGCCCCGTCTGGGAGGGAGGTGGGGGGGTCGGCCCCCCGCCCGGCCAGCCGCCCCGTCCGGGAGGGAGGTGGGGGGGGTCAGCCCCCCCGCCCAGCCAGCCGCCCTGTCCGGGAGGTGAGGGGCGCCTCTGCCCGGCCGCCCCTACTGGGAAGTGAGGAGCCCCTCTGCCCGGCCAGCCGCCCCGTCCGGGAGGGAGGTGGGGGGGTCGGCCCCCCGCCCGGCCAGCCGCCCCGTCCGGGAGGTGAGGGGCGCCTCTGCCCGGCCGCCCCTACTGGGAAGTGAGGAGCCCCTCTGCCCGGCCACCACCCCGTCTGGGAGGTGTGCCCAACAGCTCATTGAGAACGGGCCAGGATGACAATGGCGGCTTTGTGGAATAGAAAGGCGGGAAAGGTGGGGAAAAGATTGAGAAATCGGATGGTTGCCGTGTCTGTGTAGAAAGAAGTAGACATGGGAGACTTTTCATTTTGTTCTGCACTAAGAAAAATTCCTCTGCCTTGGGATCCTGTTGATCTGTGACCTTACCCCCAACCCTGTGCTCTCTGAAACATGTGCTGTGTCCACTCAGGGTTAAATGGATTAAGGGCGGTGCAAGATGTGCTTTGTTAAACAGATGCTTGAAGGCAACATGCTGGTTAAGAGTCATCACCACTCCCTAATCTCAAGTACCCAGGGACACAAACACTGCGGAAGGCCGCAGGGTCCTCTGCCTAGGAAAACCAGAGACCTTTGTTCACTTGTTTATCTGCTGACCTTCCCTCCACTATTGTCCCATGACCCTGCCAAATCCCCCTCTGTGAGAAACACCCAAGAATTATCAATAAAAAAATAAATTAAAAAAAAAAAAACAAAAAAAAAAACAGTATTGCTGAGACCAGTGTTGTGGAGCTTTAACCCTTATGTTTTCTTCTAGTAATTTTACAGTTCAGGCCTTCTATTTAAATCTTCATTTGGAGTTGGTATTAGTATGTGGTGTAAGTTAGGGGACTAACTTTATTTTTCCTGTGGATATTCAGTTTTCTCAACACCATTTGTAGAACAGACTATCCTTTAACCATTGTATGTCCTTGGCACCTTTGTCAAAAATAAGTTGACTGTGTGTGGGTTTATTTCTGGGTTTTCCATTTTGTTTAGCCAATTTGTCCATTTATATGCCACTACCATGCTATTTGGATTACAATTGTTTTACAATATGTAATAAAATTAGGTAGCATGCTGTCTCTAGCTTTGTTCTTTTTGCTCAAGATTATTTTATCTATTTTAGGTCTGTTCAATACAAATGTCAAGATTTTTTTTTCCATTTCTGTAAAAGAATGGCATTGGAATTTTGATAGTGATTGCATCAAATATGTTGCTTTTGGTATTTTGTTCATTTTCACAATATTAATTTATCCCATCCACAAACATGAATTTTTTTTTTCATTTACTTGTGTGTTTTTAAATTTCTGTTCATTGGCGTTTTATAGTTTTTCATATACAGGACTTTTAATTTTTTGCTTAAATTTACACCTAAGTATTTAATTTGTGTTGCTATCGTACTTGGGATCTTTAAAAAATTTCTTCAGATAGTTTGTTATTTGTATGCAGAAACACTTCTGATCTTTGTTGGCTTATTTTGTATCCTGAAGCCTTATTGAATTCATGCATCAGTTCTAACAGTTTTTGGTGGAATATTTAGGGTTTTCTGTATACAGGATCATGTTGTCTGCAATTAGAGATAATTTCACTTATTTTTTTTCTGAGTAGGATGCTTTTCTTTTCTTTTCTTGTCTAATTGTTCTGCCTAGGAATTCCACTGTTATGATGAAAAGAAGTGGTGAGCGTGGTCATCATTGTCTTGTCCCTGAACATGGAAGAAAAGCTTTCAGCTTTTCACGGTTGAGAATAATGTTAGCTAAGAGCTTGTCATACATGGTTCTTTTTTGTGTCGAGATACATTTTCTCTACACTTAATTTGTTGAGAGCTTGCATCATGAAAAGGTTTTAAATTTTTTCATGTACTTTTTCTGCATGTATTGAGAGAATCATATGATTTTTGTCTTTGACCTTGTTCATGCATTTTATCACATGTATTCATATGCATATGTTGAAACCAGCTTGCATTCAAAGGATAAATCCCACTTGATCATGGTTAATGATTCCATTCATATATTCTTAAATTTGGTTTCTAATATTTTGTTGAAGATTTTTGCATCAGGGTTCATTACTGACATTGACCTAGTATTTTTGTCTCTTGTAGTGTCCTTGTCTGTCTTTGGTATCAGAATGATGATAGCCTAATAAAATGAGTTTGGAAGTATTTCCTCTATTTCACTTTTTTGGAAGAGTTTGAGAGTAATTAGTATTAGTTCTTTAAAGGTTTGTCAGAATTTAGCAGTGAAGCCTTCTGGTCCTGTGCTTTTCTTTCGTGGGAGGCTTTTAATTTCTGCTTCAGGCTGGGCATGGTGGCTTACGCCTGTAATCCTAGCATTTTAGGAGGCTGAGGCAGGTGGATTGCCTGAGGTCTGGAGTTTGAGACCAGCCTGGCCAACATAGTGAAACCCTGTCTCTACTAAAAATACAAAAAATCAGCTGGGCGTGGTGGTGGGCGCCTGTAATCCCAGCTACTTGGGAGGCTGAGGTAGGAGAATTGCTTGAACCTGGGAGGCGGAGGCTGCAGTTAGCCGAGATTGTGCCATTGCACTCCACCCTGGGCAACAAAAGCGAAACTCTGCTTCAAAAAAAAAAAAAATTCTGCTTCAATTTCCTTATTATTTATTAGTCCATTCAGATTTTCTGTTTCTTCTTCATTCAGTCTTAGTAAGTTGTATATTTGTGGAAATGTTTTTATTTCGTCTATGTTATCCAAGTTGTTGGCATACAAATGTTCATTATATGAACAATTGTAATCCTTTGTATTTTAGAGTTAAAAGTTGTAATTTCTCCTATTTCTTTTCTGATCTTATTTGTTGGAATAGTCTTTTTTCTAGTTAGTCTAGATACGGATTGGTTGCTTTTGTTTATTGCCTTAAAAAAAGTTCAGTATTAATTCTTTCCATCGGGTTTCTCAGATCTATTTTATTTATTTCCACTTTAATCTTTGCTATTTTCTTATTTCTGCTAATTCTTGGCTTTGTTTCTCATCTAGTTCATTGAGGTATAATGATTGATTTAACTACATTCTATAAGTTTTGGTCTGTTGTGTTTTCATTTTTGTGTGTCTTAACTTTTTTTTTATTTTTTCTGTAACTCATGTGCCATTTATGAATATTTTAAATTTTGCCATTTTATGTATTTCTCAAGATTTCTTCTGTTACTGATTTCTAGCTTTATGCCCTTGGGATGCAAAAATTTTCTTTCTATAATTCAATTCTCTAATATTTGTTAAGATCTGTTTTGTGGCCTAACATATGATATATACTGGAGAATGCTCCACCCACATTTCAGAAGAACATGTACACTTCTGCTGTTGGATAGGATGTTCTGGGTATATCTGTTAGATCCAGTTGCTCCAAAGTGTGATTCAAATCTAATGTTTCTTAATTTATTATCTTTCTAAATGATCTTTCCATTATTGAAATTGGGGTATTGAGGTCTCCTGCTATTATAGTATTGCAGTATATTTTTCTCATCAGATTATTTAATAATTGCTTTATGAATTTAGGTCTTCTGACCTTGAGTGCATATATATTTACAAGTATTATGTCTTCATGATGAATTAACTCCTTTATCATTATGCAGTGAACCCTATCTCTTTTATAGGTTTTGACTTAGTTTATTTCTTTTAATAATAAGTATAGCTCCCCCTACTCTATTTTAGTTTCCATTTGCATGGAATATCTTTTTTCATCTTTTCAATTTCAGCCTATATATGTCTTGACTAGTAAAGTGAGTCTCTTGTAGGGCAGCACATGATTGAATCTTGTTTTTTATTTTATCCATTGAGATGCTCTATGTCCTTTTATTTGACAATGTAATGCACTTACCATCAAGGTAATTATTTATAGGGAAGGACTTGCTACTGCCACTTTGTAATTTTTTTTCTGATTGTTTTATAAGTTCTTTGTTTCCTTTTTCTCTCTTGCTGAACTCTTTTATAGCTTGATGGCTTTCTGTGGTGGTATGCTTTAAAATTTTGGATAAATTGCAAAATAAACTTTTTTATTTTGTGCAGTTACTATAGGTTTTGTGGTTATCATGAAACTTACATAAAATATCATATTCTTATAACAAGCTACTCTAACAACTTCTGATAACAACTTCTCTTTAATTGCATCCAAAAGTCTACATTTTCATTCTCTCTCCCACACAATTGTACAATTTTATGTCAAAATTTACACTTTTATTTCATATTTATATACCTTAACAATTTATTGTAGCTACAGTTATTTTCAGTACCTTTGTCTGCTAACCCTACTAGTAGGGATAAAATTGCTTTACAAACCACCCTTAGAATATTAGAGCATTTTGAGCATGACTGTGTATTACTGATAGCATTGAAGCTTTTTACTTTTATGTTTTTTTCTTACTAGTTAGGCTTTTATTTCAATGTAAGGCTCTTCCTTTAGTAATTCTGATTAATCGGGGATATTGATTATAAACTTTTTTAGTTTTTTTTTTTTTTGTATAGAAAGGTTTTTATATCTCCCTCTCCCTCATTTCTACAGGACAGCTTTGCTAGGCACAGCATTTTTGTTTTCAATATGGAGTCTTGCTCTGCCACCCAGGTTGGAGTGCAGTGGTGCGATCTCGCCTCCCACGTTCAAGCTTGCACACTGCAATCTCCGCCTGCCAGGTTCAAGCAATTCTCCTGCCTCAGCCTCCCGAGCAGTTGGGATTACAGGCCCATGCCACCATGCCCAGCTAATTTTTGTATTTTTAGTAGAGATGGGGCTTCATCATGTTGGCCAGGCTGGTCTTGAACTCCTGACCTCCTGATCCACCTGCCTCGGCCTCCCAAAGTGCTGGGAGTACAGGTATGAGCCACTTCACCCAGCCGGGCATAGTATTGTTGATTGGCATTTTTGTTTGTTTGCTTGCTTGTTTGCTTTAGCATTTTGAATACATCATTCCTCTCTCTTGTGGACTGTAGGGTTTTCTGCAGAGAAATCCACTGAAAGCCATATTGAAGCTCCCTTGAATGTGATGTATTTCTTGTTTATTTGCTGCTTTCAGTATCCTTTGTTTTTCATTTTTAATAACTTCATTGTGATGTGTGTTGATAAACTCCTCTTGGATTGAAATGGATTCATGACCTCTGCAGTTTTCATACCTCGATGTTGTCATCATTCTTCATGTTTGGGAAATTTTTAGTCATTATTTCATTAAATATGCTTTCTAGGCCTTTTTCTTTTTCTTCTCCTTCAGAAACTGATATTATATGAAAGTTGGGTTGTTTGGTTGAGTCCCATAATTGCCATAGGCATTTGTTATTCTTTTTTGTTGTTGTTGTTTTTCCCCTGATGGAATCATTTCAAATGTTTTTTCTTTAAGCTCACTGATTCTTTTTTTCTGCTAATAAAATCAGCTGCTGAAGCATTGTATTAAATTTTTAGTTTGTTGTATTCTCTATATCTAGAATTTCTATTTATTTTTTGTTATCATATCTATTTCTACTTCAGAACTATCATTCTGTTAATGAATTGTTTCCCAAATTTATTTTAGTATGTTATCCATATTTTCTTGTACAGGTATACTTCAGGGATATTGCAGGTGTGGTTCCAGGCAACCACAATATAACAAGAACTTGAATTTTTGGTTTTACACTGCATATAAAAGTTTTTTATACTATACCATAGTCTATAAAGTGTGCAATAGCCTTATGTCTACAATTACATACTTTAAAAACTACTTTGTTGCTAAAAGTGAAAATGATCATCTGAGCCTTCAGTGAATTTTAATTTTTGCTGATAAAGAGTCTTTCCTCTGTGTTGATGGCTGCTGAATGATTAAGGTGGTGGTTGCTGCAGATTGAGGTGGCTGTGGCAATTTCTTAAAATAAGACAACAGTAAAGTTTGCTGCATCAATTGATTCCTTTGATGAAAGATTTATCTGTAGTGTGCCATGCTGTTGGATAGCATTTTACGAGTACCATGCTGTTTTGGTTACTGTAGCCTTGTAGTATAGCTTGAAGTCAGGTAGCGTGATGCCTCCAGCTTTGTTCTTTTGGCTTAGGATTGACTTGGCAATGTGGGATCCTTTTTGGTCCCATATGAACTTTAAAGTAGTTTTTTCCAATTGTGTGAGGAAAGTCATTGGTAGCTTGATGGGGATGGCATTGAATCTGTAAATTACCTTGGGCAGTATGGCCATTTTCACGATATTGATTCTTCCTACCCATGAGCATGGAACGTTCTTCCATTTGTTTGTATCCTCTTTTATTTCATTGAGCAGTGGTTTGTAGTCCTCCTCAAAGAGGTCCTTTACGTCCCTTGTGAGTTGGATTCCTAGGTATTTTATTCTCTTTGAAGCAATTGTGAATGGGAGTTCACTCATGATTTGGCTCTCTGTTTGTCTGTTATTGGTGTATAAGAATGCTTGTGATTTTTGCACATTGATTTTGTATCCTGAGACTTCGCTGAAGTTGCTGATCAGCTTAAGGAGATTTTGGGCTGAGACGATGGGGTTTTCTAGGTATACAATCATATCATCTGCAAACAGGGACAATTTGACATCCACTTTTCCTAATTGAATACCCTTTATTTCTTTCTTCTGCCTGATTGCCCTGGCCAGAACTTCCAACACTACATTGAATAGGAGTGGTGAGAGAGGGCATCCCTGTCTTGTGCCAGTTTTCAAAGGGAATGCTTCTAGTTTTTGCCCATTCAGTATGATATTGGCTGTAGGTTTGTCATAAATAGCTCTTATTATTTTGAGATATGTCCCATCAGAGATATAGACCAATGGAACAGAACAGAGCCCTCAGAAATAATACCACACATCTACAACCATCTGATCTTTGACAAACCTGACAAAAACAAGCAATGGGGAAAGGATTCCGTATTTAATAAATGGTGCTGGGAAAACTGGCTAGCCGTATGTAGAAAGCTGAAACTGGATCCCTTCCTGACACCTTATACAAAAATTAATTCAAGATGGATTAAAGACTTAAATGTTAGACCTAAAACGATAAAAACCCTAGAAGAAAACTTAGGCAATACCATTCAGGACATAGGCATGGGCAAGCTTTGTGTCTAAAATACCAAAAGCAATGGCAACAAAAGCCAAAATTGACAAATGGGATCTAATTAAACTAAAGAGCTTCTGCACAGCAAAAGAAACTACTATCAGAGTGAACAGGCAACCTACAGAATGGGAGAAAATTTTTGCAACCTACTCATCTGACAAAGGGCTAATATCCAGAATCTACAAATAACTCAAACAAATTTACAAGAAAAAAACAAACAACCCCATCAAAAAGTGGGCAAAGGATATGAACAGACACTTCTCAAAAGAAGACATTTATGCAGTCAACAGACAAGTGAAAAAATGCTCATCATCACTGGCCATCAGAGAAATGCAAATCAAAACCATAATGAGATACCATCTCACACCAGTTAGAATGGTGATCATTAAAAAGTCAGGAACCAACAGGTGTTGGAGAGGATGTGGAGAAATAGGAACACTTTTACACTGTTGGTGGGACTGTAAACTTGTTCAACCATTGTGGAAGACAGTGTGGTGATTCCTCAAGGATCTAGAACTAGAAATACCATTTGACCCAGCGATCCCATTACTGGTTATATACCCAAAGGATTATAAATCATGCTGCTATAAAGACACATGCACACGTATGTTTATTGCGGCACTATTCACAATAGCAAAGACTTGGAACCAACCCAAATGTCCATCAATGATAGATTGGATTAAGAAAATGTGGCACATATACACCATGGAATACTATGCAGCCATAAAAAAGGATGAGTTCATGTCCTTTTTAGGGACATGGATGAAGCTGGAAACCATCATTCTCAGCAAACTATCACAAGGAAAAAAAACAAACACCGCATATTCTCACTCATAGGTGGGAATTGAACAATGAGAACACTTGGACACAGGAAGGGGAACATCACACACTGGGTCCTGTTGTGCGGTGGGGGTATGGGGGGGGATAGCATTAGGAGATATACCTAATGTAAATGACGAGTTAATGGGTGCAGCAAACCAACATGGCACATGTATACATACGTAACAAACCTGCACGTTGTGCACATGTACCCTAGAACTTAAAGTATAATAAAAATATATATATATTTAAAAAATAACAAAAAATAAAGTGCTAATTGTAAAAAACAACAAAAATATTTCCAATTTAGTTTGAACCTTCAATGTATACCTTAAGCAAGTGACTTGAAGGAAATTTGAATGCTGCGTTCCTTCTCCCAGCTCTGCCTCACTGAGGATGGGAATCCAGTGGCACCTGAGACTCCTGGATGTAGTGCCTGGGTGACATTCCTGTGGAGAAAAGCACTTTAGGGCCAGTCTCTAGATGTCTTCTCATGGGTCTTCTGCTTTCACATGAAGCTTTTGAGAAGATGAGGAAAATTATTTAATTAGTCACAGACTATCAAAATCTATGTTCAAGATAGCGGCTTATAGTGGCTTATATCTACTCATAAGGGCAGAGCCCTCATGATTAAACACTTCCCATTAGGCTCTGTCTCTCAATTCTGTTGCCTTGGGGATTAAGGTAACAGCAGATAGATTTGAGGGGACACAGTGATGAGGGAAGGCTCATTCCAAGCCCTGTGGTCTGCCATGCGTGCAGGCAGGGCTGCCTTTCTCAGAGAGAGCAGTGAGGGGCAGAGATGGGAATGGGGAACCAGCAGAAGCACAGTGAAAGAAAAAGGCCTGGATGCAGACATGGACAGATGCATCCATCCAGAAAAAAGCACCTGTACTTTCCCCCTGGAGTTGCATCCCTCTGGAATGGTGTTTCCTGGCAAGTCAGTTGCAAGAGAAGGGATCTGGGAAATAACATCTCAGGATATGCTGCATTTGTGTGGTGCTTATTTCAAACTGAAAGCATTTAGAAAACATCAATTGGACAAAGGCTCTTTTCCTACATCAGTTACTCCAGAAGGAAGCCAACTGTCATGAAAACCCTCCCTGGGAATGGCCGGGCGCGGTGGCTCACGCCTGTAATCCCAGCACTTTGGGAGGCCGAGGCTGGAAGATCACGAGGTCGGGAGATCGAGACCATCCTGGCTAACACAGTGAAACCCCATATTTACTAAAAATACAAAAAATTAGCCGGGCGAGGTAGCGGGAGCCTGTAGTCCCAGCTACTCAGGAGGCTGAGGCAGGAGAATGGCGTGAACCCGGGAGACGGAGCCTGCAGTGAGCCGAGATCGCACCCCTGCACTCCAGCCTGGGGGACAGCGAGACCCCGTCTCAAAAAAAAAAAAAAAAAAAAAGAAAACCCTCCCTGGGAATGTTGATCTATCAGGGAATATTAACATGCACTAGGAGTTAAATTCAAAAGAGATTGGAAGTTGATTTCATCCAGTCAGGCTATTAACTATTCTTTTGAGGATCCATTTATTTTATTTTACATCATTTACTCTCCCTAGGTTGGTTACAGTCCCCACCTCCCTCTCCCCGATAAAGGATGTATAAGCACCTGGACCTCACTGGGTTATCTGGGTAATCTCTCTCCTCTGATATTTTCCTCTGCATGTTAAATACATTTGTTTGCCTTTTTCTCCTATTATGTGTCTTTTGTCCATTCATTTTAAGCAAACTTTAGAGGGCAAAATCAAACTTTGACATTTCACCCTACGCAAGCAAGTTTCCTTAAAATTCAGGCCCCTGAATGGGCAGCAGGAGGGTGTGTGCAGATGCTACACCAGAGTGATTTGGCCACTTCTACTCAGGAATCAGTAATACTCCCCAGAACCCCAGGCTGCAGGCCACTGATGCTGATGTAGGTGGATCCACTTCCTCTGTTGCTGAACCAGGCTGAGATGATGTGAGATATAATGAGTCCGAATCTGCGTCCAGTTTTATCCAAATCCAAGTGATTTCTCCATATATGTGGGCATTTGCTTGATAGGAGATGGAGACTCTCTTTCCTGGATGTCAGACAGGAGGCTGGCATCTTGGTCAGAATGTCCCCTCTTACTGCTAAACAGTGAAAGAGGAAAGTGGCATTGATAGTGCAAGGCAGGGACATGCACTGAGCAGCAGCTGCCCTCACTAGGAGAGAGGGTTCACTGTCCTGATCTTTCCCAAGTTCTCTCCTTTATGTGTTCTCCAGAAATCCAGACTCCAGAGCACCCAGGGACAGGCTGGTGGGCAGTGCAACTCAGAACATTACTCAGTGGATATGGTATTGGTCTTCTTACTTTAGAGACAATTGATCCTTAGGTAATTTCAAGTTTATCTTAATCCATGCTCCTATAATTGGAGGAAGAAACAAGTAACTTTTTTTTGAAGTAATCAGATCCGGCATCACTAGTCAGCGCTTCCTGCTGATAAACCCTGGGGAACATACCCAATGACAGAAAAGGAGGTATAATATAGAGATCCCCAAAGCAAAAATAAGATGCAGCTCATATAATCTCTGGGCATTATTGAGGTCTATAGGTTTGCATAAATGTGCAACTGTAAGTGGTACACACATTAAGGACTTATAGCACCATCTTTGTGCACCTGCAGTGAATTGCTTGACCTTACACTGATAATAAGAATGGTTTAAGGTTATTATAGAATACTTACAAATATATTTAGCATTATCTTGATATTTTTCCTTTTTTTTTAAGAAGGAACAATTACACACTCACAGAAATGTAACTATACCACAAAGTACCCCCCTCCCTTTCAGAGTATTTTTAAGACCTGCTGATTCCACACTCTAAAAACTTTACTTTGAGTTTCCTACAGAGAACAATTTCTCCCAAATAATCCCCATACGCCAATGGAATACATTACTCCCTCAAGTACTCAGCAGTATTTCAAATTTCGACAATTATCAAAAAATATTCTTTGTTTCAAATTGACCCCCAGCAAGAAACAGATTAAAGACAAATCTGTGTTGCCCTGGTCCGACCTGAGATCCTGAGGACACTGTCCTTGTGCTGAGTTACTGAGATGAGCCAGCCCTGCAGCTGTGCCCAGTGGGCCCCATCCCCTGCTGATTTGCATGTTCCCAGAGCCCAGCCCCCTCCCTGCCCTGAAGACTTTTTTATAGGCTGGTCACACCCTGTGCAGGAGTCAGTCCCAGCCAGGACACAGCATGGAAATGAGGGTCCCCGCTCAGCTCCTGGGGCTCCTGCTGCTCTGGCTCCGAGGTAAGGAAGGAGAACACTAGGAATTTACTCAGCCAGTGTATTCGGTACTGGCTGGATTTTCAGGGAGGGCTTCTCATAACGTGATTGATTGTGTGGATGTTTGTTTTTATGCTTCCAACCTCAGGTGCCAGATGTGACATCCAGGTGACCCAGTCTCCATCTTCCCTGTCTGCGTCTGTAGGAGACAGAGTCACCATCACCTGCCGGGCAAGTCAGGGCATTAGCAATGGGTTATCCTGGTATCAGCAGAAACCAGGGCAAGCCCCTACGCTCCTGATCTATGCTGCATCCAGTTTGCAGTCGGGGGTCCCATCTCGGTTCAGTGGCAGTGGATCTGGGACAGATTTCACTCTCACCATCAGCAGCCTGCAGCCTGAAGATGTTGCAACTTATTACTGTCTACAGGATTATACTACCCCATTCACAGTGTTACAAGCCATAACAAAAACCCCCCAGAGAAGCAGATGTGTGAGTCTGCACTGTCCTAGCTACTCCTCCTGGTGCCTCCATCTGCTGAGAACATTTCCCAAATTGCATCCACACTTTGAAGTTTCTGTAGAAAGTGACATGAAGCCTCCTCTATACCTTAACTATCTTTCCTTCACGGCATCCCCAGCGGCACAGACAGGGCAAACCCTCTCCTGATTGCATTAAGAACAGAGATGATTACACCTACGAAGTCTGAGTTATGGTGTGAGTTGGAATTAATATCATAAAGGAGACACCACTCTTGGAATTCCAAGTAGAATTTTTCTTCTAAAAACAGGAATGAGAGTCTAAACTACAGTCTTTAAAAGTCTTGATGGCATGAGAATGAAGATGCAAATGCAAAAAAGAGGGATTCTCTGGATCTCGCCATGAATCCAGAATGTATCTGCCACTTCAGAAGGTATAATTGCCAATCATGTGGTCCTCAGACATGTCTGGGAAGCCCAGGTTTGGGGCTGCTGATGCTCTCTGCCTGGAGAACCTGCCTGATTTTCTAAGGCACCTGCTTAACTGTTGACCAGCAAGGGTCCTGTTCCAAAGAGACCTAGCCAAAGAGAATGATCAGAGTAAAAGGCCAATTCCTTCCAATGCCTTCCTGGCCCCATTTTCCCTGAATCCTCCCTGTTAATTATAAAAACTCTTTCATGGCTCTTACCTCAGACTCACCGGGCTCCCAACTCTCGGGTTTCCTAGTTCTGCCCTAAACAAGCCTCACACTGTCCTGCCCTTGGAGCTTTACTCTCACTGCTCCCTCAGGGGTGAGGCTTTTCCCCAGACCCTTGGGTTCCTTCCCTCACTCCCAAAGCCAACCCTGTGCTTCCCATCTTAATGATCCCTCTGTATGTGTTCATAGGACACCCTACTCCATGCTTTTGTCAGAAGCACTTTTCGCCTTCTGACTTATGATATAATTTATTTACTTATGATTTTACACTTGATAGGCTGACTCCCTCTAGTGGAATTTGAGCTTCATGGGATCAGGGGCCATTGTCTATTATTTGCATTGCTGCATCCCAGTGTAATGGGAGTACCTGGCAAGCAGTAGGTGCTCAGAGTGGGGCACTCTTCCCAGGAGTCTGCATGTCTAGAAGTCTGGGAGGATTGTAAAGAGTGGATTAAACTGCTTGTTATATGGACAATGTTCCCTTTTCCTTTTTTTTATTCATTTTACTTACCCAGTCTTTAGGAAATAAGGAAAATTACAATTCTCAGAACTTATATACTTTGTCTCAAGTGGTATTTTAGGTTGTATTTCCTGAAAACATACAATAATAATACAACATTATCATACTTAATTGATTATATTATACTAATATGTAATGACATGTAATATGTACTATGTAAGTTATAACAATAGTAGATTTATTGACTTTCCATTTAAAAGACAAAACTTACCAGATTATATCAGGAGTCAGATAATTGATATTTCAGGTTTGTTGGCAAAGAAAGAAAACTGAATACATTACTTAGATACATACATAAGAAAGAAAACACATTTTCACTATTGTTATTAATAATTTTAAATGGAATGTGATTTAAAGAGCTTCTCAGCCTGTTCAGGGGAACCTCACTCACCACTACATGTTCACAACTCTGAGGAAAACAAGAAAACCCCAGATAAGATTCTTGTTTCCATCAGTGGTGTGAACAGAGGTTTTCAAAACTGTTAAAAGGAAAAGAGTCTGAGTCTGTGTGAAAGGCTGTGTTGTGCAGAGTGGAGTGCTCTATAGAAGAGAAGATACCACCCCCATTTTTCCTGGCCAGGTGGATGCACCATCATCTGTCTGCAGGGAGTGGAATCACACAATGATGAGTCTGAGCCTGGAGTCTGCTTATCTTTGCAGCTGTGGTCACTCATGCACCCACAGTGCTTGGCCTAACAAAGTGATGTCCTTTACTAGTTCTTCCAAAGAATGGAACGTTTTCAGGGCTCATAGAAAAGATGTCTAAGCTGCGAAGGAAAAGTGTGTATAGAAGATGAATTTCTGATCAATGACTTCAGCCAGGTGCAATCATGCAGCAAGGAAGATGAATGGGCATGTTGCAGGAAGAAAGAGAAAAAGAAACCATAGGTTTTTATTTTTTCTTTCAAGAGATTTGTACTAAACACCATCTGTCTGAGCCTAGGTTATTGGTGAGGTAGGAGGACAGGGATTAAATTGTGAGTCCAGAGAGGAGAAGGTCTACCCCCATGCTAAGTCAATAGCCTTTCTGACTTGACCACCTGGGCAGGGGCTTCTCAATGAAAAGAAGAGGAGGCAGGTGGTCTCTGTAGCTGGAAGCTCCGCACCTTCCCATGCTTCTTTGCATGTTCCTCCCAGCCACGCTGGTGTCCGGAGCCCATATCAATGCCTAGGTCAGACCTCAGGGGAAGAGCTACTCAATTAGGACCCAGAAAGATTCATGGAAGCCCCAGCTCAGCTTCTCTGTCTCCTGTTACTCTAGCTCCCAGGTGAGAGGAAGAGGAGATGGCCCTGCACTGAAACTCTCTCAACCTTCTTGGTTCCTCTGACCTGGCATCAATACCTTCTTTCCACATCCTCCCAAGCAGCAGCCACTGTTGTGCGGCCTGGGAAGGGGTTGCCTCCCAGCCCCAACTCTGCATCATCACAGATCCAGGCTCCAGGACCTCATCCTGTGTTGGCAACTCAGACCCTGAGCCATTTCCATGTGGACCAGCCCCACCCCAGGCCCAGAGCTGCTGTCACTACAAGTGCACCCACACTCCAGAGCCTGGCCCTGAGGCTGCTCTGGAAATTGCCTAAGACATAACATAAATGGAGAATGTACAGCAACACAGTAGAGTGAAATGCAGAGAATAACCACACAGAAAGCATCTCTGGGAGATGGCACACCTGAGAGACCTGAGAAATATTGAAAATGTGTCAAGAGTAATGAAACACATTAGTCTATAAGATCAAAAAAATGGAACTTATCCAGGATAAACATCAAGACATGCATCACTATACAGATTATAGTTCAAATGCTAAATCACATACAAAGAGAAAATCTCAAGTGTATTAAAAAAAACTGGTTCATTATACCAGGGAAACAGTAATAAAACCTCGATTAACTGTTTATGGGACCAATAGAGGCAAGAAGACAGTGAGATTACATACTTACATGCTGGGTGGAGGGCACTCAACCAAGGATTCATTATCCAGTGAAAATATGCTTCAAAAATAAAGGTAAAGTAAAAACACTTATTTATGAACAAAATGAAGAGAAATGATTTCTTGTAGATATGCTCTATATATATTCAAGAGGCAATTTTTCAGAATCACAGGAAATGAGAGCAGATAGTAAGTTGAATGCACAGAAATAAATGAAGATTTCATAAATAGTAAAGAAAAGAGCAAGATGCAAGAAAAACAAAAGAAAAACAGCATCTGTGATACTAATCTTTTAGAAAATTATTACACTGCTAATAAAATGTGAAGTGTGGATTCATGCCACTGAGCTTAGGTTATTGCCTCCACTATTTTTGAAATGCTAGTGCCCATGATGTCCTGATGCAGGAACTCATCTCTTAACAAAACAATACAGCCATATACAGAAAAAATAAGGTCCTTTTTCACCCATTCTGGTGTAGGGTAGCTCAATCAATTAAAAGAAATTGCAAAGGCTATATGCTATGGTTTGGGTGTTTGTCCTCTCCAAACCTCATGTTGAAATATGATTCCCAGTATTGAAGGTGGGGCCTAATGGGAGGTGTTTGGATCATGAGGACAGATCCCTCTTGAATAAATTAATTCTGTCTCTTGGAGGTGAGTCCTTACTCAGTTCCCATGAGAGCTGGTTGTCACAAAGAGCTGGTATCTCCCCATCTTCTTGCTTCCTCTCTCTCCATGTGATCTCTGCACATACCAGCTCTCCTTCACCTTCTACCATGAGTGGACACAGCCTGAGGGCCTCACCAGAAGCTGAATAGATGCTGGCACCAGGCTTCCCGTATAGCCCGCAGAACCATGAGCTAAATAGACCTCTTTTCTTAATAAATTACCCAGCCTCAGGTATTCCTTTATAGCCACACAAAAGGACTAAGACACCCTATCACTGGAGTCCACTCAGACTACCAGGTGAGATAAATCCAGGAGCTTCCAGGTTCTTTGTTCTTGATTCTGGCAATGGGTCCAAATAAAAGACAATGAAAGGATATGCTATTGGCTACTTTGTCATTTCGTCTTCCTGCTTCCTACCTAATGACCTGAATGCACATGTGCTCCCGCTGTCAGTCTCCCCACTGTGAACAACTCTCCTTTCTCTTTACGAACCTCCTCTGCCCTGGGCAGGCTGGTGACCACACTGCTCTGGGCCAGATACTGTGCCCAGTACAGAGAGGAGGTGCACGAGGAAATGATAAGGCACATCTCTGCTTTGGAGAATCTCATTGCCCAAGAAGACATATAGACAAGTAAACCAGTTACAGAAATAATGGTTAAGGTACACTGGTGGGACGAAGAAGGGACGAATCAGTTTTGCCTAAGATTGGAGGATGCTGGGCAAAAAAGGCTTCAGAGAAGAGGAGGTATTTGGAGAGTGCATTGAAGGTTGAATAGAAGGTTTAGAGAATCAGAATTTGCCTAGTGTACAGAAAGAAAAATTGAAAGGCAGTGGACGGCCATCAGTAGAAGGGTGTGAGGCACAAGTTATTGAGGTACATGAAGAGACTGACAGTCATGATCCTTATGAAGCATTAGTTGAAGGGTCACAGAGGTACGCATAAGTATACCAATGGTAATGCTGCTGGAAGAGTAGCCAGGGGACTGGAGAAAAGAAGGCACCATGTTATGTGCTGGGACCTCATTCATTCTTCATGTCATAAGGAGCCAATTCTTCTCTGGACTTTTCCACATTCCATGCAAAGTCTGTCTGGCTTCCTGTCCATTTACTTTCTGGTCATTCAAGGCCTACCACTGTCCGGTGTCCAGTTGCTCCTCACATGCAGATGGAAAACCTGGGCCAGGTCAAAGTCTGAAGACCTAGAGAACTGGGCAGAGCTCTGGGCAGTGTGGGATCTGCCCACACCTCTCAGAGAGAGGAACTGAGGTGGTTGTTCTGAGAGGCAGTGAGCAGGGAGACCCCGAAGCCAAAGGCTGGCAGGATCCAGCAGGGCAGAGGCCAGCAGGGGAATTCAGGGAAGAGCCTCAGGGCTGACAATGGGGACACCTGACTACAGTCAAGGGGATTCAAAGCACAGCCTGGAACCTGGAGGAATCCCCTGGAACATGGACACAGAAATGCGGACAGCTGAAGCCATGACCTTGACCACAGGTAGGGAGCTTGCAGTTAGGGACAGGAGCCAACTTTACTTAGACATAACTCAAATTCATTTCATTTCTGAAGGAAATGAAATTTCCTTCATTTTCACCTGGTTGGAATTTATTGCTCTCTCCTTAATGGTGCATAGCACCTTGTTTATTTATGCTTTGAGTAATTGTAATATGCCTTGTTTTATAGTATTTTTATACATTTCTACTTCAACTCTTGATTATAAATTTGTTAAGGCAGGGAATATCTATCTATCTGTCTATCTTATCTATCTATCATCTACACACACTAATGGTATTTTAGCTATAGCATACATAAATACATAGGTACATTTTGTTGAATTGAAATTAAGTGAATTAATCCCATCCTCTTTCAGAATAGAAATTATGTTTTCTGGGAGCTAGAAACTATTGTGAGAGATGTTAGTATTGTTGAAATTTAAAAGGGGCTGTCCAGTTCAGTTGTGGCCTGGTGTGTACTGAATGACATCCAAATTCTAAGTAAGTGGAATTGCTATCAGATCTGAAATAAATTAGCCATGCTCGTGAGAAGATGTAGAGTGAGGAATTCCTTCCACAAATGCTCTGTTTATCTGATTATTGGTTAGCCAGTGATTTCCTGTCATCCACAAAAAAAGAGGAAATAGTAAGAGAAAAGTAAATACTAGGTGAAGTGCTTTGAGCCAAAGGGAGTCCATATAAGAAGTGATGGATGGCTCTGTTGGGATCCCGGCAGTAGTGCATGATGATGTTGTTGTATAAATACGTCAGCTCCTTTAACCCTCGGGGGACCCTGAAGCATGTGTTTTTCATGGGCCCCTAGCGTGCTCATGCGGGATTAAGTTTCAGTTGCCTACTGTGGTAATTGGCTTGAGAAGCCTATCTTTATTAATTTTCTCCTCTTCCTTGTCTTATTTCTCTTCTCCCCTACCTGTGTTCTCTTCATTCCCTTCCTCCCTACAAAATAAACTATGTGAGTTTGAATTCTTGTTTCAGGATTCAAGTTTGCTCCTGGGGAACCAAATTAAGACTAAAGAATATGTATTCTCTTTCTTCTCATTTGGCGTTGAGACATTTTAAAGCCTCAACAATTTTCCCTATATAAGCAGTTCCAATTATTTGTGCCTGACTTATAAAAAGTAGGTAATGAGAAAATTAAGGCTTGCAGACAAATCTTACACAATTGCAGCAGAATATCTCAGAAATGTGCCCAATTCTGAGACAGAAAGAAAAGAAAAAAAATCCCACATCTTTATTATGGTTTCCCAATGCCTCTTCAAAGCGCATTAAGTAGGTGTAATCCTCGCCCCTCCCATACGATAGTGGGCAGACCCCATGACTTTTACTAGCCAAGATAATAATCAAAACTCCACCTTATCTTTAATGGCAAACCTTCCTCCAGTTGGAGTGTGCTTTGGGCTGTCCACCGGTGGTGGGAAAGAGAGGAAAGGAGGTATGGTCGGTGTCTTCTCTCCACTTTGTGCCATTTCTCTTTTCTTCTCCCATCTCAGCTGGCCCACCATTTCTGACCTCTTGCTGTTGGAGGAATGCTAAGGAACAAGAAAGCTCTTACAGAATGGACACTGATGTAATCTGGTTTTGCACATTCTATGCCTGGTGGTTGTTCAAAACTGACGCTTTTCCTGGGGCTTGCTTGGGTCCTTTGGAAGACTGTTCCCAGAAGACTTCTCTCCTACAGGTCATCGTACCTGGTTCATGCATCTCTAGTTGCATGCGTTCTTGGTGTTTACTTGTGACACATTTGTAGCCCCCGTCTAGCTTCCTGCTGGTAGGGCCCTCCGCTCTCTAAGTGATTGTACTGGACAGAACCCCAAATGACCCTTGGCTGGATCTCTCCCACATGGCACACATCTGCTCTACTGAAAATGCTCATGACTTTCCTGGCCCGAGAAGCCTTGCTGATTCCAATACCACCTTACCCTGGTGCCCCAGGCTACTTTAGCATCGTTGGGCCAGAGTCAGGCAGCATCCTCTGGGTCTCCCAGCTCCATTTAAGTTCATGAAAATGGTCATTTAAGCTTTCTGAAAGGTGTCTTAAGAAGCCTTGTTAGAAGTAGCAGCCCTTCCTCATTTTTCTTCCCTATAAGCAGAAGTGGGAATTCTCCTTGATAAAATCCTCCCCCCAAAAATATCTTCAAAAATCTTGTGGAATCCAATAGTCATGGAAATGGTTCTCAGAATTTTCATGATAAGGTCTGCATATGGTGATCTGGTTTTGGAATACCCCTTTTGTTGTATTCGATTATCCCAGGGAAACTTTTTTTTCCAACATCCTGTTACTATAGTTTCAGATATCCTGCCATTAGGCCATATTTGGGGTGATAATTCAGGGCACTTTCGCCTGTATGGGGGGCCTCTTGGAGAGAGGAGCATATTATTGAAAACAGTAAGCAGTTAACGCTTTATTTTGCTATATTATTTTATTGGTAAAATTTATTTCAATGCAAAACATATACAGAGACAAGTACACGGTGGTAAATGTATAGCTCAATAAAGCTAATGAAATAAACACACCAATGTAACAGATCAAGAAAGAGGACATTACTAGCTTCCAGATGCCCTATCATGTGGCTTCCCAGTTTAGTTCCCTCAAGGATAATGAATATTCTGACTATTAATGTCATAGATCAGTTTTATCTTCTTTTGAAGTTTATGTAAGTGGAATCTTTTCTGTCTGGTCAATATCATGTTTCTGAGATTCATCTATATTGTTGCCTTTAGTTGGAGACTGTTCATTCTCATTACTGGATGGCCATCCTATGAATATACTTGGGCAGTTAATATTTGGTCAATTAATTTCTTCCCTCAAGGGTAGCTCAAAAGTTGACCATGGCCTCCCTACACCGTCCCTGATTTCAATCTGAATCCACAGGAAGAGTCTCACCTTACTCTAATGACTTGCATTGAATATCAGAACACAGAAGTTGGATTTTTTCCAATTTTTAAACAATGTGCAGAGGTAGGCTTTTTCAGGGTAGCAGTTTATTATTTATTTCCATACTTTGTGTTTTATCCCATCAATCTGCTCTTTCAATTTGGCTTAGAGTTATAGAATGTTCGAGCTGGAGAAACCACATTTTCTGAGAAACATTTTATATAAATTCTGATAACAGTTGTATGAACTTCTATTTCTTCAAGAATCATGATAAGTTTTATCACATAGGTCCCAAGAAAAATCTAGGTACAGTAACAACTGGAGATCAGGAATATTTTTCTAAATATTTCTTGCATTGTACTTTTATAATGAGTCTTTTTTCAATTAAAGTGAAAAGCATCAAAGCATGATAGATTTTTTACCTGAGAATAAAATGGTCTTTTCATTTATATTTGAATAAAAATTCAAATTTTAAACTTCACCATAAAATTCAGTAATGTTGACAACTTGTCAGCACTTACTTCATAGATTGATACCCACACTATAATTTAGAATGTGAAAGTTAAAATAGTATCTACACCCTGAATAATAAATAATATGCACTAAAGACTTTTCTTTTATGGAACTCTATTTGGCAAATGCTAAAATATCATTGGAACATTACTTTAGATTAGAAAATATTTTATTAATAATTCAGACAGAGTGTGTTATAGTTTGGCTGTGTCCCCCCCAAATCTGATCTTGAATTGCAGTTCCCATAATCCCCACATGTTACCCAGTGGGAGGTAATTGAATCATGGGGGCGGTTAGCCCATGCTGCTATTCTCATGATAGTGAGTGAGTTCTCATGAGATCTGATGGTTTTATCCAGGACTTTTCCCCCTTTTGCTCAGCACCTCTCCTTGCTGCTGCCATGTGAAGAAGGATGTGTTTGCTTCCCGTTCCGCCATGATTGTAAGTTTCCTGAGGCCTCCCAGAACTATGAGTCAATTAAATATCTTTCGTTTATAAATAGCCGAGCACTGTGAGAATGGACTAATAAATACGAGTGTCTTAATCCATTTTGCATTGTTATAAAGGAATATCTGAGGCTAGGTAATTTAATAAAATAAGACATTTATTTGACTCACGGTTCTTCAGGCTCTGCAAGAAGCATGGCACCAGCATCTGCTTCTGGTGAGGACCTCATGAAGTTTCCAACCATGGGGGGAGGCCAAGAGAGAGCAGGCATGTCACATGGCAAGGGAGGGAGCAAGAGAGAGGGGAGGAGTGCCATGCTCTTTTAGGCAGCCAGATCCCACAGGAACTAAGAGTGAGAATTCACTCAATCCTAACATAATGACACCAAGCAACTCATGAGGGATCTGCCCCCCTGACCCAAACACCTCCAACTAGGCCCCACCTCCCACATTAGGGATGAAATTTCAACATGATATTTGGAGGGAACTAATATCCAAACTATGTCATAGAGGTATGTGTGTAACCTCATTCATTTATGCATTCATTCAACAAAATATGTAGTGAGCACCTGCTATGTGCCAGGCACTGTGCTAGGCTGTAGATATGACTCATAAATAAGATGAATATTGCCACAGTCCTTAGGAGCCTAGTGTAGTTGGGGAGTAAATAAGCAAACAGATAATTTCTATACCTGGTAATTACTACTTTGATAGGGCAAAGAGGATTCTGTTTGTGCTGTAAAAGCACATGAAAAGTACAAAGTCAATCCTTGGGAGGTCATGGAATCTTTCCTAGGAAATGATATATAAGGTGGATAAAAAGGTAACCAGATACAGATGAGAAGAGAAGGTGGGCCAGAAATTTTGAAATACTGAACCAACTGGATGTCATTCACTGACATAGGGTAAATAGTATAGATGACTGGATTGGAAAAGGAAAAAGGAACTAAAAGTAATTAAATGAGCTGCAGACATGAAAATGAACACTTGGGAAGTCCTGGCAGGAAGTCATCAATAAGACAACATAACGAAGTGGAAAGTGGTTGGGAGTAAGGCTGACTTGGATTCAAACCCTGGTTTCACCACTTAATAGACGTGTTAAGTTGAACAAACCCTTTAACTTTTCAGAGCCTCAATTTTCCTCTTTGTAAAATACAGATAATAACATGGACACTATAAGGGTTTTGTTGTTGTTGTTGTTGTTTTGAGACGGAGTCTTGCTCTGTTGCCCAGGCTGGAGTGCAGTGCCTCGATCTTGGCTCACTGCAACCTCTGCCTCCTGGGTTCAAGCGATTCTCCTGCCTCAGCTTCCAGAGTAGCTGGGACTACAGGCGCGCGCCACCATGCCTGGCTAATTTTTGCATTTTTTGTAGAGACGGGGTTTCACCATATTGGCCAGGCTGGTCTCGAACTCCTGATCTCAGATGATCCGCCTGCCTTGGCCTCCCAAAGTGCTGGGATTACAGGCGTGAGCCACCGCACCTGGCCCAGACACTGTAAGTTTTGGGGAGGATTAAATGGGATCATCCATGTAAATGCGCCTATCCCAGTCTCTAGCACACACTGAACACTCAAAAATGGGAGGTTTTCGTATTTCAGAAGAAAATCACGTGTCGGGGAGTGTTAGTAGTAACCTTGAACTATATGCAAAGACTAAAGCTAGGAACATAGGAAGAATTTTACAAGATCCTTTTGGCTATATAGTTAACGTTATTAGCAGTTAGAGTTTCCCTTACAGTTGACAAGTGAACCATAAAAGTGAATGACTTGTGGTTCCTCAGATAAAAGCACGAGTCAGAGTTGTAATTTCTGTTTTGTGGACGTAATTGTTGACCAAGTGCACTGAATGTAGGGATGGCCAGTAGCAAAATTATAAAGCAGGCCTGTTTGTCTTCAAACACTCCTGAGTAAACTTGTCATTTCCTTGTAAAAATGCAAAATAGACTACTGAGTAGAGGTGATCAATTATAGAAATGCACTTACTTTGGCTTTCTTCTGAAACCTAATAAAATGACAGTAAAGGGATTATTTTTTTAAGGCAGAAGCCCACAATGATGATGAAATTAGAAAGGAAGACAAGAACAACAAGGTTGTGGAATTCAGAAGCCATATAGACAAGAGGTAACACACCTGAGAAAGATGATCCCTAAATTTGTCTTGGAGAAAACTCGGAAGTACCTGACTACATCATAGACCTCCCAAACAGCTTCCAAATGTCAGATACCACTGAAAATGGGGATAAAGGTAGGGTCAAAAATAGGAGGATTGGGTTATAAGTCTGTATAAGAAGTTGTTAGATCCCTACATCCTCTCTTCAAACCTGTATAGCCAGATAATGGTCCCTCTCCCAGCCTGGCAGAGGCTGGATAAGGTAAATAGAGAAAGTTACCTCCTGGAGAACATTTGGCACATTTGGGGATGGAGTTCAGTAATATAAATGAAGGGGTAGTGAAAATTTATGGGAACATTTATAACCTAACAGAACCCCATGTCTTTTACCCCATTCTAATTCCAGACCACTAGAGATTAGAAAATTGTTCTCTGGGGTATCTGACCACTTCCAGAGGAAAGACATAAAGATGCTGATGTCAAGAATGACCCAACTAAACGGCCCAGCCAGATGACCCAGTTGAAGCTGGTGGACAAGAAGTTTCATTCATGGAATCAGAACTTCCAATAAGGTCTTTTAGTACCTCACTCCTAAATTTGAATAGACTACCAAATATTATCAGACATCTAAGGAGAACTACGAGCATGAAAGGTAGAGACCAAAGCAAACAAACAAACAAAGAAAATAATTTGGAACTAACCAAGACTATGCTGGGAGAAGAAAACTATTATTAATATCCACAGAGCATAGTACAGCCACTATAGAGAACAGTATGGAGGTTCCTCTAAAGACTAAAAATAGAACCATCATAATTCAACAATCCCACTGCTAGATATATACCCCAAAGAAAGGAAATCAGTATATTGAAAAGATATCTGCACTCTCATGTTTACTGTAGCACTATTCATAATAGCCAAGATTTGGAAGCAACTTAAGTGTCCATCAACAGATGAATAGATTTTTTTAAAATGTGGTACATATACACAATGGAGTACTATTCAGCCATAAAAAAGAATGAGAAATGTCATTTGCAACAACATGGTTGGAACTGGAGGACCTTATGTTAAGTGAAATAAGCCAGGCCCAAAAAAGCAAATTTCACATGTTCTCACTCATTTGTGGGACCTAAAAATGAAAACAGTTGAACTCAGGGAGATAGAGTAGGATGATGGTTACCAGAGGCTGGAAGGGTAGTTGTGGTGGGAGGTGGGTGGTTAATGAGTACAAAAATATAGTTAGATAGAATGAATAAATCTAATAGTTGCTAGCACAACAGGGTGACTACAGTCAACAATAATTTACCATACATTTAAAATAACTAAAAGAGTATAATTGGCATGTTAGTTACACAAAAAAAGGATAAATGCTTGAGGCAACGGATATACCATTTACCTGGATTTGGTTATCACACATTGTATACTTGCATTAAAATACCTGCTGGGCACGTGGCTCATGCCTGTAATCCCAGCACTTTGGGAGGCTGAGGCGGGCAGATCACCTGAGGTCGGGAGTTTGAGACCAGCCTGACTAACATGGAGAAACCCGTCTCTACTAAAAATACAAAGTTAGCTGGGCATGGTGGCTCATGCCTGTAATCCAAGCTACTCGGGAGGCTGAGGCAGGAGAATCACTTGAACCTGGGAGGCGGAGGTTGCAGTGAGCCGAGACCGCACCATTGCACTCCAGCCTGGGCAACAAGAGTAAAACTCCGTCTCAAAAAAAAAAAAAAAAAAATCTTATGTTCCCCATAAATATAAATACCTATTATGTACCAATAAAAGTAAAAAGTAAAAAGTTTCAATTGATTCACAACTTTAAAAAATATCCACAGAGGCGTAAGAGGAGATATTGTATTGCACCCACGAACCAGTCTTATGCTGTTTAAGAAAGGGACATTCAAGAAACAAAAAGGGAGCTCTGGGAAATTTGAACACTAAATAATAGTAGAATAAAAAATTCAGAGAAAGTTTGGATGATAAATTTGAGCCAATCTCCCAGTAAGCAGAGCAAAAATATAGAAAATGAGAGTTAGAAAAGAAAAAGAAAAAAATTAAAGGACTAAAATAAGAAGTCCAACATCTAAATAAGAGGAGATCCACAAAGAGCAACAGAGATAAGAGAAGAAAGGAAATAATCAATAAAATAATTCCAGAAAATCCAAGGACATGAGTTCTCAGATTGTAACAGACTACTCGAGTGAAAAAAAAAAAAAAAGAATGGAGTTAGACCCATCCCAAGGCACATTATTTGTGCGATTTTAAAATACCGATATATTAGTTTGCTAGAGCTGCAGTAACAAAACACCACAGACTGGGTGGCTTGAACAGCAGAAATTTGTTTTCTCATGGTTCTGGATGCTAGAAGTCTAAGATCGAGGTGACAGCAGTTTCGTTTTTTCCTGACGCTTCTCTCCTTAGCTCACAGATGGCTGCCTTCTAGTTGTGTCCTCATACTGTCTTCCCTTGGTCAGTGTTGTCTGTGTCCTCGTCTCCTCTTCTTAAAAGGACACCAGTCATATTAGGTTAAGAATTGCCCATTAGACCTCATTTTACCTTAATTACCTCTTTAAAGGCCCCACGTCTAAATACAGTCATATTCTAAACTACTGGGGGTTAGGGCTTCACTGAGTGAATTTTGGTGGAAAGTGGGGCAGGGGACACAATTCAGCCTACAAAAACTGGAAACAAAGTGAAAATCCTATGTGTTTCTGTGCTCAGAAGACAGGAAGTAGTCATACACAAGAGTCAATAATTAAACTGGTTTCTCACCAGCAATTTGGGAGACTGGAAGTTGGAAGACACAGAGCAGTGCCTACCACATTCAAAAGAGAAAAGAGGCCGGGCATGGTGGCTCACGCCTGTAATCCCAGCACTTTAGGAGGCGAGGAGGATGGATCACCAGGTCAGGTGTTCAAGACCAGCCTGACCAACATGGTGAAACGCTGTCTCTACTAAAAATACAAAAATTAGCTGGGCATGGTGGAACACGCCTGTAATCCTAGCACTTTGGGAGGCCACAGAGGGCAGATCACCAGGTCAGGAGTTTGAGACCAGCCTGACCAACAAGGTGAAACCCCATCTCTACTAAAAATACAAAAATTAGCCAGGCGTGGTGGCGCATGCCTGTAATCCCAGCTACTCAGAAGGCTGAGACAGAAGAATCACTTGAACCCAGGAGGTGGAGGTTGCAGTGAGCCGAGATCGTGCCACTGCACTCCATCCTGGGTGACAGAATGAGACTCCGTCTCAAAAAAAAAAAAAAAAGAGAGAGAAAAGAATTCCAACCCAGAATTCTCAACTTCACTGTGTCAGAGGATATGAAGTAAACAAATATTCATCTCTACATTTGCCAGTCCCTGTGGACTTAGGCCAGATAGTATAAATAATAGTCACAAAAGGAGTATGAATGGGATAAGAAGCCACTTCTAGTCTGAGACAATTAAGAGTAGTAGTGCCTTCTCTGCACTCTCACCCCTCATTCTGACAGCTGAAGTGAAGGACTCCCAACTTCTGGAACTGCCCAATGAAAGTAGCCTTGTGTGAGTGTTAGCTGGCCTGCTTTGGTCTGGGATGCAAGTAGAAATAAACTCCTGTCATATTAAGCCACTAAGACTTTAGGGATATGTTGCTGTAGCATAGCCTAATGTAGCCTGATTACTGAACGAGCCACCCCATCAACTGAATCTATGTATATACTAAAAACATTTTAAGATATGCAAGGTCTCAAAAGAGTTCACTCGATGCACACTTTTTCTCAGGAAGCTACTAGAGGATGTGCTCCACAAAAAATAAAGGTATAAATTATGAAAGAGGAAAACATAGGATTTAGGAATCAAGGGAATTCAGCACAAGACAGAAGAAAAGGGAATCTGCAGCAAGATCCCTGAGCTGTGCATGTAACATAAGGGGCAACAATTTCCAACACAGAGCAGATCACAAGACCCTAGGATAGATTTCTTGAAGAAAATGAAATTAAAAGAATACTGGATTCATCTGAACATACGAAAAGGAGATTTAAGCAACTTTTTAAGAGCTTGGGAATGAATTAATGATAAATATATGGTATTATGCAACCAAAACTACAATAAAAACTCATTAAAAATTATAACTCATAAAATTATTAATTTCAGGGAAAATAAAAAGTTGAGTAGGAATGAAAAAAGAATCAGAGGATACTATAAAGCTCATCTGTGGATATTGTTTACATAGTCATAATAATGAAAAAGAAATAATCTAACCAAAATTAAATGTTGGAAGTGTGGGGAGATAGAAATGGTAGAGTGTATTCGGTATTTATGTGTTGGGGAGGATACCTGTAAGTTTAACATTAGTGAGCTTTACTTTACTAAGGCTAAATAAACAAACTCAAGTGTCCAGAAAGGCTAGAGAAGGAGCTTACAAGAATGAAGCTATTGTGGTGTGATTCAATGGGGAATAGGTGGGGCATTGGAAACATCAATTTGTAGTATCCCTGCCAATTGATACTACAACATCAATTTGTAGTATCCCTGCCAAAATTTAACTATGGAAAATAGTTAAATTTTAATATGCACACATCTGTGGTTGTGGTTATACAGATATATATAATAAAAATTTATATATAAATAAATACATAAACAAACTCAAGTGTCCAACAGGGCTAGATAAGGAGCTTACAAGAATGAAGCAGTTGTGATGTGATTCAATAGGGAATAGGTGGGGCCTTGGCAAACCAAAGAACATATTCTGTCTAAAGTGGATGGCCACAACTTGCTCCAGCTGTGGAAACTTGGGCCATGTACTGCTAGATCTAAGGATTTTCTTTTGAGAGATGCTAGATATATACGTTTTTTAAAAATAAAATTATCCTGATTTTAACAACATTGCCTTATTATATAAAACATACCTTGGAGGGTGTGGGTAAGACACAATGTCCTTGAAATTATATTTCACTGGGTTAATGAAATTGGCTCCAGAAGAAAATAATTTTAAACAGCAAACCAAAAAGTGAAGGCCTTCAAAACTAACAAACCAAAGGAAAACAAAACAAAATGACAACAAGAAAAAAACAAAGAAACAAAACCCCTGGACCTTACCATTTTTCTAAGGCATGTTGACATGATAAAATCAAAATTGCTTTGTGCTTATAAGGATCAAAGGTTATGCTTTTGACTTTATAAATTCAGAGAAAATTTAATTGGAATTATTTTTATGAATTAACTGAAGATCTAAGGCAACTGGATAATTTAGGTTCTGCTAATATCTAGAATGTTCAAAGTTTATGTTTAGTCTGACACTGAAGAATCCATTATTTCTCTTGACTTCCAGGCTGGTCGGTGTCTTTCCTGTGTCATATACCAAACAATGTGTTAGAAATTGTCTTCTCACTCATAAACTAATATTTGTTCAGAGTAAAAAGTCAAGCAAGTAAATAATGAGAAAAAATTCAGTGTATTGTATAAACAAAGACAGAAGGCAGACCAATGGTTACCTGGGGCCTAAGCTGAAGAGATTAATTGTACGCAGACACAAAGGAATTTTTTGGGATGGTGAAAGTGTTCTAAGACTGGATTGGGATGATTGTGGCACAACTGTATAAATGTTATTAAAACTCCTTGAGTTGTACACTTAAATGAGTGGCTAAGTTGTGCCTTAATAAAGCTGTAATTTTGAAAAAGAATAATGGGTGATCAACTGTGAGCTAGAGTATGATGAAAACACAAGACATTTACATAGTTTCGAAGTATCTCCCCATCAGGTACTTATTAACTGCATCAGGGAAACAGTAATTTTATTGTGGCAGAACCCTGCTGACAAAGTTAACATTCTAGTAAAAGCACAGGTGGATGTCATGTGCCTCCTGAAGTGATGCACAGAGAAGGATGCAACATCAACTTGTAGTATCCCTGCCAAAAATATCTAACCTGAATTTAACCATGCTGAAACATAAGACAAATCCAAGTGAAGGAACATTCTACAAAACAACTGACCAGTACTCCTCAAGAGTGTCAAGGTCCTGGAAGACAAAGACTGAGCAATGCTTCTGATTAAAGTAGACTGAGAGGTGACAACTGAATGCAACGTGGGATCCTGGATTAGATCTTGGCCCAGAAACAGGTCTTCGGTGGGACAACTGGCAAAATGTGAATAAGGTCTCTGGTTTTGTGAATGGTAGCGTATCGACGCTCATTACCTGCTTTTGATCATGGTAGTGATAGTAAGATATTAACATTCAGGAAAACACAGTGAAGGGTATATGGGAATCTCTACTATTTTTGTAACTTTTGTAAGTTGAAATTGTTTCAAAATGAGTTAGAAAATTAAAAGGAAGTTTTCTCTTTCAGCTGGGAAAACGGCAATGGATTAATAACAAGAAATTAATGGTGAAGTGGTGACGAAAATTCTACATTGCTTAGAAAGCAAGTAAGAAAATCAGTGGTTGTAGAGAAGTTCTTACATGAAGTAATAAAAATAAAAATTGTGATGTTAAGCGTTTTCTATTTTCTTTTCCTCCCCTCCAAATGAAACAGCATACTATTCTGCATGTTTTTCTACCTAACAATGTATCTTTTTAACGACTCTTGTGTTTTAAACCTAAAATTTTGATTAAGCTTCACTTAATATTAAAAAAGATAGTATAGGTCACGATGTTATTTGATGCAAACGTTGGAAAGACAGAATCTTCTTGATCCAAGAGCTTTTAGAATTCAAAGTCTGATTCTGGTTATTTCTCTGCTCATTTAAGATAGTGAAATGAACATTTACATTCTGGCAACCTCAGAAGTACAACGAACAGAGGACACCAGCCAGGTAGGGCAAAGGCCTGTGCGCCCCCTTTTGCTGTTACATGTTTATCAGATGCGTGCTCTGTTTCTGTTGTATTACATTACTTTTCTCTTCAATGTCTACTGAGGAAGAACAAGTAGCTCCTCAGGCAAGTCAACTGTTAACTCTGCAGTTTTTATTTAATCTCCCAGGAATGTAACCCTTAACTTTAAAGAATGTAGTGACCATAAAACTTATAAGGCATGTTTCTTAAGGAAATTGTACCTGTTTATTTAATCTATCAGATATGAATGTTATAGAAAATTAAATTTGTCCACTTAAGCTGTAGATGAACTTTTCACCTTTCTGATCAGAAATTCACCATTTTATAGTATAGGTTCTGTTATTAATCAGAATATTTCATTTAGACTCTTTCTATCCAACTTTTTCTTAGAGGCTATTCAAAATAAAGGTGCTTCTAACAGTTTCATATCGAAATACGATGCAAAGCCTTGCTCTTCCATGGTATCCTTTGAGTGAGCCAAACTTATTTAGCCATTCCCCTATAGTTAAATAGCTAGGATGTTTCCAACATCTCACCTTTAAAACAATAGTGCTATGAATGTCATAAATGTTTGTATATGTAAATATGTAGGATAAATCCCTATCAGTAGAATTTCAAAAGGTATACGCAATCAGTATTTTCATACATATTTAAAATTTTCCATCCATACAAAGGTTGCTAACATATTTATTTAAAATTTTAAAAATAATTTTATATGCCTCTTGTAACCAGTAATAGGATGCAAAGTTTTTGTTTTAAGGTAACATTGCTCCTCTTCCCCCATTGTCTCTGTCATCTATAGTACTCCCTAAGGTAGTTCATGTTATTGCAAGGGTGTGTATCATCCCAAACATATTGCTTCCACATACATATATCAGCATACATATATATATATGTATAGCATATATATATATGAGCACATATTAATATATGCCCATGCACATACAAGCATGTTTTTGTTAATTTTTACTGAAATGGAATCATGCTACATACTTATGAACAAATTGCTTCTTTCACCTTATATCACTTATAATTGTTATTCTACAAATCAGTACATATAAAAAATACATATTTACATATGTAATACTCTATCTGTTATAATTTTCTGCATGCACATGTATGCATATACATATATTCATAAACATAAAAATCTAAACGGGATTTTTTTGGGGGGGGTGATATGGTTTGGCTGTGTCCCCACCCAAATCTCATCTTGAATTCCTATGTGTTGTGGGGGGACCCGGTGGGAGGTAATTGAATTATGGGGGTAGGTCTTTCCTGTGCTGTTCTCGGGATAGTGAAAAAGTCTCACGAGATCTGATGGTTTTAAAAAGATGAGTTTCCCTGCATAAGCTCTCTTCTCCTGTCTGGTTCCATGTGAGATGTGCCTTTTGCCTTCCGCCATGATTGTGAGGCCTCCCCAGCCATGTGGAACTGTAAGTCCAATAAACCCCTTGCTTTTGCAAATTGCCCAGTCTCAGGTATGTCTTTATCAGCAGCATAAAAATGAAACAATACAGTAAATTGGTACAAGTAGAGTGGGGCGCTGCTGAAATGATACCTGAAAATGTGGAAGAAACTTTGGAACTGGGCAACAAGCAGTGGTTGGAACAGTTTTGAGGGCTCAGAAGACAGGAATATGTGGGAAAGTTTGGAGCTTCCTAGAGACCTGTTGAATGACTTTGCCCAAAATGCTGACAGTGATATAGACAATAAAGTCCAGGCTGAGGTGGTCTTAGATGGAAACAAGAAACTTGTTGGGAACTGGAGCAATGGTGACTCTTCTTATGTTTTAGTAAAGATACTAGGGGCATTTTGCCCCTGCCATAGATATATGTGGAACTTTTAACTTGAGAGAGATGATTTAGGGTACCTGGCAGAAGAAATTTCTAAGCAGCAAAGCATTCAAGAGGTGACTTGGGTGCTGTTAAAGGTATTCAGTTTTATAAGGGAAGCAGAGCACAAAAGTTTGGAAAATTTGCAGCCTGACAATGTGCTAGAAAAGAAAATCCCATTTTCTGAGGAGAAATTCAAGCTGGCTGCAGAAATTTGCATAAGTAACAAGGAGCTGAATGTTAATCCCCAAGACAATGGGGAAAGTGTCTCCAGGGCATGTCAGAGTTCTTCATGGCAACCCTCCCATCACAGGCCCAGAGGTTTAGGAGGAAAAAGTGGTTTCGTGGGCTGGGCCCAGGGTCCCTCTGCTGTATGCAGTCTAGGGACTTCATACCCTGCATCCCAGCCATGAATGAAAGGGGCCAAAGTACAGCTCTGTCTGTTGCTTCAGAGGGTGCAAGCCCCAAGACTTGGCAGCTTCCACATGGCTTTGAGCCTGTGGGTGCACAGAAGTCAAGAATTGAGGTTTGGGAAACTCCGCCTAGATATCAGAAGATGTAGAAGTTTGCTGTAGGGGTGGGTCCCTCATGGAGAACCTCTGCTAGGGCAGTGTGAAAGGGAAATGTGAGATTGGAGCCCCCAAACAGAGTCCCTACTGGGGCACCATCTAGTGGAGCAGTGAGAAGAGGGCCACCGTTCTTTAGACCCCAGAATGGTAGATCCATGGACGGCTTGCACTGTGCACCTAGAAAAGCCACAGACACTCAATGCCAGCCTGTGAAAGCAACCTGGAGAGAGGCTGTACCCTGCAAAACCTCAGGGGCAGAGCTGCCCAAGACCATAGGAACCAACCCCTTGCATCAGCATGACCTGGATGTGAGACATGGAGGCAAAGGAGATCATTTTGGAGCTTTAAGATTTGACTGTCCCACTGGATTTCAGACTTTCATGGGGCCTGTATCCCCTTTGTTTTGGCCAGTTTCTCCCATTTGGGATGGCTGTATTTACCAAATGCTGTACCCCCATTATATCTAGGAAGTAACTAACTCGCTTTTGATTTTACAGGCCCGTAGGTGGAAGGGACTTGCCTTGTCTCGGATGAGACTTTGGACTTTGGACTGTGGACTTTTGAGTTAACACTGAAATGAATTAATACTGAAATGAATTAAGACTTTGGGAGACGGTTGGGAAGCCATGACTCATTTTAAAATGTGAGAACATGAGATTTGGGAGGGGCTGGGGTGGAATGGTATGGTTTGGTTGTGTCCCCACCCAAATCTCATCTTGGATTCCCATGTATTGTGGGAGGGACCCGGTGGGAGGTAATTGAATCATGGGGGCAGGCCTTTCTCATGCTATTTTTGTGATAGTGAATAAGTCTCATGAGATCTGATGGTTTTGAAAAGGGGAGTTTCCCTGCACAAGCTCTCTTCTCTTGTCTGCTTCCAGGTAAGACATGACTTTCACCTTCCGCCATGATTGTGAGGCCTCTCCAGCCATGTGGAACTGTAAGTCCAATAAACCTCTTTCTTTTGCAAATTGCCCAGCAATGTGAAAACAGACTAATACAGTGGGAGATTACTTCTCCATACCCTCTTTGTCTGCCAACCATATCACCTCTGCTGTTTCCTCTCCCCAAAAGGTAACCCATGTTAACCTCTGATTATGATCAAATAATTATATGTATTTATTTATATAAATACCATTTCTTTATATATTTTGAACATATTAATGCATACACAAGTGTGCTAAAGTTTATATTTCTACTGCTCTCACCATCTGTAGCTTGTATGATTTACAGAATTTCATGAACAAAAATACATGAAGTAAAAGGAACCATTATGATGTAAAAGCATATAGATTAATAATATTCTGCTTACTAACAGTTTCTTTTTTCTTTTTTTTTCCTTTGGAGATGGATTTTCTCTGTTATCGCCCAGGCTGGAATGCAATGGCATGATCTTGGCTCACTGCAACCTCCATCTCCTAGGTTCAAGCGATTCTCCTGCCTCAGCCTCCCGAGTAGCTGGGATTACAGGAGTGTGCTATCACACTCGGCAGATTTTTGTATTATTAGTAGGGACACGGTTTCACCATGTTGGTCAGGCTGTTCTCAAACTCCTGACCTCAGGTGATCCACCTGTCTTGGTCTCCCAAAGTGCTGGGATTACAGATGTGAGCCACTGTACCCAGCCTACCAGTGGTATTACCCAGGGATATGAATAGCTAAGCTATACTTTAGGCACAAACCAGCACTATTATCAAGATGCAATATGTGAACTCATCTTTCTTCTAGCATCAGTTCAGAATTAATTTTAATCTGTGTATTGTATACTGCTGCCAAAAACTCATTAACCACAATTAAATTATGAAAGTACATGTGTAAATTTATGGATAGCAATACACAATCCAAAATATGAGTTTGCTATAAAAATAAAGTATATGGGTAGAATCATATTAATTATAAGTAACCAGAACTGTTAATAAGAAATTAATATTAAAATATATTGAATTTGATATTTCCATAACTGAAGTAAACTAATTTAATAAGCGAACCTAACAAGTCTAAAATATCAAAGGAGAATAAGAATAAAGTTTATTATTAAACATACAAGCTATGGCTAATCAACATACTTTCTTATATTTCTTGATAATATGTTGAATTTACTTTTGAGCATGTTTTGAAGAGGTAGTTAGTCAATCTTTATGTCCCTTTTGAAGATATGATGAAATAGTTACATCTCTATTATGGAATAACATGAAGTGGTTTAAAAAATGAATGATGTATGGTCTGGCACGGTGGCTCACACCTGTAATCCCAGCACTTTGGGAGGCCGAGGCAGGTGGATTATCTGATGTCAGGAGTTCAAGACCAGCCTGGCCAATGTGGTGAAACCCCATCTGTACTAAAAATACGAAAATTAGCCAGGCGTTGTGGCGGGTGCCTGTAATCCCAGCTACTTGGGAGGCTGAGGCAAGAGAATTGCCTGAACCTTGGAGGCAGAGGTTGCAGTGAGCCAAGACTGCACCATTGTACTCCAGCCTGGACACCATGAGCAAAACTTCGTCTCAAAAAAAAAAATGATGAATGATGTATTTCTAATTCTAGTGAGAAGGAAAGAGTATCAGTGCATATTGTCAAGTGAAGAAAGCAAACTCCAGAACAAAGCCTATGTATGTTCCTATTTATTAAAAACAAAAGCCGCATATGTATACAAATGTACTCTATCTTTCTGTTATAATTTTATGAATGCAGATGTATGCAAATACATATATTCATATACATAAGACTTAGTCTAAACAGGAATATTCTTTCAGGAGGGAATCTTGCTTCTCCTACAGAAAAATACCTAACATGGCAGGGGCAAAGATAATATTGGACCAAAAAAATCTGGACCTATGTCTATTAAATTGCTCACAGTGTTTATATAATATCGGTGAAGGGAAGTAAAATTGAGGTTAGTGAAAGAGACTCCACGTTTTACCCTAATACTTTTCTACTGTTTGAATTTTTTATAGTTATAATACATTCAGGTATAATACATAATTTATATATAAATACTATATATACATCCATACACACACATATATATATGTGTGTATATATATATTTTAATAAGAAACAAGGTCTTTCTCTCTCACCCAGGCTGGAGTGCAGTGCAGTGATCATAGCTCACTGTAACCTCAAACTCCTAGGCTTGCGTGATCCTCCCACCTCAGCCTCCTGAGTAGCTGGGACTACTGGTGCATGCCACCATGCCCAGCTAAGTTTTAAAATTTTTGTAGAAACAGGGTCTTGCTATGTTGCCCAGGTTGACCTTGAACTCCTGGCCTCAAGAGATCCTTTCCCCTCAGCCTCCCAAAGTGCTTGTATTACAGGCATGAGCCACTGTGCACAGCCTACTTATATTATTTAAAAAACAATTAATCAAATAAGTTGGTTAGGATTAGTTTCAGTGGCATAAACAGAAACTTAAACAATGTGAAAGCTTATTTCTGTCTCCTTCTGCCAGGTGAACACACAGTGTTCATCCCCTCAGGAGGACACAGCTTTTGAGGTACCATCTTGGAAGCAGAGACCAGACCTCACTAGACACAAACTTCCTGGCACCTTGATTTTGGACTTCATAGCCTCTAGAACTGTGAGAAATAAATTTTTATTATTTATAAATTACCCTGTATTGGATATTTTGTTATAGCAGCAGAAAAGGTCTAAGACAATGACTGAAGGACAGAGCTATAGGACTCAAAAGACCCTGGTCTTGAAGCCAGAAAGACCTGGCTTTGCCAGTAGCATGGTATTTCAATTAAGTATGATTAAACACTCTTCGAGGGAATAGAAAGGGGAAGGAAGAATGGAGATGGATCATTTGTTTCATGCCTTTTACTTACGTGTAAGGAATTATGAGCAGGTGCCTATGGATTTTGGAATATGCTTCTATAACACTATAAAAATTAGAAAGTGAAACTTATAGGCACAAATGTCAGTTTAAAATTTCTAATGACAATGGAAGAAATTATTTAGACTCTCTCCTAAACTATTACACCATACATCATTGCAAAACATTTTTTTTCATTTTGCCCAACCTCCACTCCTGTCATTCCACCACTCCTATAGTATCTAAAATATAGTTTCTTTTAGAGAGATTGGTGCACCACTCAACTTGTCAGCTTGAGGGCTTTGAATGGTGTTTTCTTTTTTTTTTTTTTTAATTTCATGGCAAGCTGACTTACAAGTGACTCAACTGTAAGCTAAGACTTATTAATAGCATGGTTTAACCACCAAAGATAATGAATTCAAACAATGTTACTTACAGCCTTTAATGTCACAGCCCCTAAAAACATTGAAATGTACATTTTTCACCTGCTAGTCATCTTCAGTATTCTGGAGAGGAAATATTCTTTCCTGTCCTTACAGTGGTTGTATATCTTAAAAGAGGACTATATGACACTTGAATATTGATATTCAACCTTAACCAAAGCAGTCACAAGAATACAAGCCATTGGCCTCTGGCCTTTTAGATATGTTCCCAACAAGTTCATGTGTACCCCATGAAAAATGTTAAATAAACTGATAAACTTTAAACATTTAAAAATATTTTATTTATTTACTTGCCACAGCTAGATAAGAGGAACTGGGTTAGTTTTGAAACTCTCAGTTTCCTTTTCTCTAAACCAGTAGCTATTGCTGGCCACTAGTATGTTGTTTCCTTTGCAGGAAGTTGCAAAAATGAGAAAGAAAAAAACGAAAAACAAAACCAAGTTGGTATTATTTTTAGCTTTCTTCTTATTTGGATATAGCTACAGTTCTTTTTCTTATGGTGATTAACATAACTATTCAAGAGAGAAGAACCAAGCAAAGGGGAGTAGTAGGGAATTAGTAGGGAATTGTGCCAAAGGACATATGGCAAGGTTATTGTCAGAAAGCTGAGCTGCTGAAATCCAGACAGTTTAAGAGCTTATCTGCTCTGCTCTGCTCCCACCTAGGAGGACTCCTACTACAATGCAAAGACTCAAGTTTCACCTTAATTAGGTCTTTCCCAGGCCAAGTATTAGTGACCTTGGGAAAAAAGTTTACGCTTCTCAGCTTCAGATCTTCCTCTGAATATTAGCACTGTGGTAATTGGCACAGTGGTACCTAACCCTTTGAGGGTCCAGGATTGTTTTAATGGTGAGTGATTTAAAAACTGAGTTTAAAAGAGCAAGGAGGATCCAATTTTGCAAAATTTCATTAACTCTGCTTAAGAAAACAGTATATTATATTAGCTTAGATCAGGAGTTGGGAATCCATAGCCTGCTACCATTTATTGTGTAGCCTGCAAATGGTTTTTACATTTTTAATACATTGGAAAAAAAATTAAAGAAGATTATTATTTCGTGATGTGAAAATTATACATGTTGAAAGGAAAACTTTAGAGTTTAATTGAGTAAAGAATGATCTGTGAATTAGGCAGCCCCCAGAACCAGAGTAGGTTTGGTTACAGCTGAGCATTTGCCTTATTTGAACCTGGTTTGAAGAGTTGGCTGCCTGTGGTTGGCTGAAGTTCAGCTGCTGTGATTGGCTGAGACTCACTACTTGTTACAAGAGTAGGTTACATATCAAGTTTTACATATCAAGTTGAAATATAGTTTTTTATGTACTGGGAAACCTTTAGGGTAAACTTAAAATATGTAAGGAGGCAGCTTTAGGCCACAATGAATTTAACAATTCCTCCTTTTGGTCAACCTGTCAATTTTGAGAGGATGATTAATTTTGAGGTTGCCCAAAACTTTAGGCATTGACATCACTTTTTATCATCATAAATAGAGTTATTTGGTCTCTAATGCCATTGGAAAATAGCAGAACACTGGATTTTGTAAGGTGGGAACAAGGAAACAGTATAGAAAAAAAAAACTGATTGGTTAACATCAGATTACTTTTTTATTTTTTTGTCACCCAGGATGGAGTGCAGTGGCACAATCTTGGCTCACTGCAACCTCACCTTTCGGGTTCAAGCAATTCTTCTGCCTCAACCTCCCGAGTAGCTGGGACTACAGGCATGTGCCACCACACCCAGCTAATTTTTGTATTTTTAGTATAGATGGGGTTTTGCCACGTTGGCCAAGCTGATCTCAAGCTCCTGACCTCAGGTGATCCACCCGCCCTGGCTTTCCAAAGTGCTGGGATTACAGGCATGAGCCACTGTGTCTGGCTGAGATTGCTTTCTTGTAAGTAATCTGTTGTTACTTTGGGTTACTTTTCTGTAAAGGATAGAGCAGAGGGGACTTCCTTATTATACTGGAATCTTCTGTCTTCAGGAGAAGAAAAAAAAAAACTCATCTATTTTGGGACCTGTTTTTTAAAGTTTTAGTTTGATTTTGTGGTGCTTAGCATGAGTGACTCCATTTTGGTTTGGTCTGGTCTGCTTGGGATTAGTGCAGGAGCTCAGTCCAAAACAATGACCTCTCATAATTTTGTTTAATACATGAAATTCAAATTTCAAACTTGTAGACATTTGCTCTCTCTCTTATATTATATAAGTACCTACACAATGTCCTCAAATTTGCTTTTTGATCTGTAAAGACTAAGATATTTATCATCTAGTTTTACAGAAAAGTTTGCAGATCTTCTGGTTTAAAAGAGCAGGAGATTTAGTGTCAGGCAGGTTTGGATTGAGCCCAAGGGCTGCCATTTACTGATTGTATGACTTTGAGCAAGGTATTTATCTTTTCTAAGCCTCAATTTCCTCATCTATAAAATGGGCACACAAATAGTATTTACCTTGGAGAGTTAAATGGGATAATGCATTTAATGTGCTTAACACAGTTGCCTATCAGATGCTTAGGGGCTCAAAACATTACTATTGTTGTTGTTGTTGTTTTACCCTAAAGTAAATGAGACAAAATAGCAAAGCTAAATGAGGAGGAATTTTTAAGTTACATCAGAAACTGTAATAGATTCTAAAATATTATAATTAAGAAATTTCATACTTATTTAAAAAGGCATTTTCAATTTAACAATTTAACAATTTAACCCTCTTATAAGTTAAAAAAAAAAAAAAAAAAAGCCCGGCACAGTGGCTCACGCCTGTAATCCCAGCTCTTTAGGAGGCTGAGGTGGATGGATCAGGAGGTCAGGAGTTCAAGACCAGCCTGGCTAACGTGGTGAAACCTCGTCTCTACTAAAAATACAAAAATTAGCTGGGCGTGGTGGTGCATACCTGTAATCCCAGCTACTCAGGAGGCTGAGGCAGGAGAATCGCTTGAACCCGGAGGCAGAGGTTTCAGTGAGCCAAGATCGTGCCACTGCACTCCAGCCTCAGCAACAGATCAAGACTCCATCTCAAAAAGAAAAAAGAAATAAAAATAAAAAGTCATGACCAGCTATTTTGGGAGAACTGAAATTACAACTCTATCTGAGAAAATAAAATGACAGGACTCCACAGAATCCATAGATAAAAATTTAACTGAAGAGGAATATGGAACAGACTAAAGGAAAAATTTTATCAAGCTGTAATCTTTATACTTGTGCCTGAGGCCAGAACTTGAAACTGCTGAAGACAGTGTTTCTCTACAAATGTACACAGGCACCCCATTTTGATGCACAGATAGGTGTTTATTTCTTTTAAGAATAGCAGCTTTATTGAGATAAATTTCACATATGATACAATTCACCAATTTAAAGTGTACAAGTCAATGGTTTTCAGTATAATCAGAGTTGTACTACCATCACCATAATCAATTTTAGAACATTTTCATCACCGCCCAAAAACCACTGTAGTCTCTCCCCAGCCCTCCACTCCTGGGAACCATTAATGTACTTTCTGTTTCTATAGATTTGCCTATTTTGGATATTTTATGTAAATGGGATCATACAACGTGTGGTCTTTTGTGAATAGCTTTTTTCACTTACCATAATGTTTTCAAGATTGGTTCATGTTGTAGCAGGTATCAGTCCTTTTTCCTGTTTATTGCCAAATAATTTTCCATTGTACGGATAGATCATATTTTGTTTATCCATTTGTCACATTTTGGTTGTCTATCAGTTGATAGATATTTGTGGTGCATTTAATTTTTGGCCAATGTGTAAAACTTATTTTGCTCTCACTGAGGCTACATACTGTTACAACAATGCTATTTGGTCAACTTGACTGAGCTGGCCTCATAAGTTACAGGTTGCTCATTGTTAGAGATGAGACTTTAGACCAGACTGGACAACATAGTGAGACCCTGTCTCTACCAAAAAGAAAAAGAAAAATTAGCCAGATATAATGGCATATGACTGGAGTCCCAGCTACTTGGGAGGCTGAGATGGGAGGATCACCTGAGCCCAGGAGTTTAGGACTGCAGTGAGCTGTGATCGTGCCAATGCAATCCATGCTGGGCGACAGAGTGAGACCCTGTCTCAAAACACAGAAAGAGGGATTTTAGTATAACATTCAGCCAGTGCCATATTGGGAACCCACAAGAATGTACTTTAAAAAATATGTCAAAGAACGTGGTGAGGGCTGTAATAGCTGCTATTCAGGCAGTAATGCAGTGCTGAAGGGACATCAAGCAAATAGTGTGATGCCTGTGGGTGCAATGTTACTCCTTCCCTTAGGTTGCCAAAAAAATCAATACTTCATAGCATTCCTGAAACGAAAAAGCTTATGAACCATTGTGTTTAGGGCGTAAGCTATCTATTTTGGGCTACCCATCACAGCTTCTCTCCTTTGGTAGAATAAAGTGAACTGAACCACCATGCCTAAGGTATTTGCCTTATTTCTTCCTCAGCTGGTTCATGGTTACATTGTCAAAGCTGGCAAAGCATTCAAGACCTGATTTCTCAGACCGAGTGTATGTGTGAATATAATATACTCATTTGCACAAATATAAACCCTCTGTCTTAACTGTGTTCTGCAAAAGGCGTGATAAATACTTTCAAGTTATATGTCCTTATCAGTAGAACTAATGGAATACACACAGTATATTATATGGGGAATTTCAGAGAAGGAAGGAAAAGTCAACCTTTTATTTGGCATCAGGATAGTAGTAAAACATTCTACTTGTGCATCAGATAGATTTTTATGACCTAACCTGGACAAGTAACTTAACTCTTGGTGCCTCATGTTTGAAAGAGGGATAACACTCTACAGGGTCATTCTAAGAATTAAATATTGCCAAAACACATGAAAAGATTCTCAACCTTGTTAGTAATCAAGGAAATGCAAATGAAGATCACAATGAAGTCTTCTTTTGTACTCAATTGATTGGTGAAAAATGCATGCCTGATAATATTGACATAACAGACCAATGAGATCTCTTATAATTTGCTGGGAAAATGTATCAATTTGTACAAACATTTTGAAAAATAATTGTGCATTTTCTTGTGAAGTAAAACATTTGAATAATCTAGGACCCAGCAATTCAGCTCTTACACAGACACTCAAGAGGAAGTTGCACACACATATGTCAGGAAAAATGTTCATAGCAGCCCTGTTCATAAGAGCAAAACCTGGAACAATTGAGAGGAAATGAATAAATTGCCGTGTAGCCACACAATAGAATACAAGACAGCAGTGATGCTGAAAAATATAGCAAGCCTCAGGAGTTTATATATTATATGGATAATTTTATGAAGCTCAAAAACACCCAAAATTAAACAACATATTCTGTAAGTACATACGTGGGATATGTGATAAAACTAAAAGGGAATGATCAGCAATCCAGAACCAATTCATGACTGTTGTTACTATCTTATGGGGCAGGCTGTGGATTGGAAGCAGGGGCGGTGCACATAGGTACGTGTAACTTACTGGTAATGCTTTTAGGTTAGGAATGAGGTCAAAGGAGTTCACTATAAATTTATATTAGAAAGAAGGGCTATCTATGGATTAGTGATGAGAGTGTCATGCACCAGCAAATACGATTAATGAACTTAGGTTACCTGAGGTCCAAATAAATAATGAGAAAAAAGTAAATAAAAGTGATGCATGAATACTAAAAATTTGGAATTACATATATAATATGTAATAATAAAAAAAGAAAAAATTGTCACTGGTTATCCTTCAGGTATAAAAATTACAATTAAAATTGTAATGTTATAACCTTCCATTCTTTCCCCTATGAATTAAAACTTTTTCTTTTAACGAGACTAAAAAATCAAGTTGATAAAATCTATGCCCTGTGGGAACTGGTTAGGTCAGGCTACCCACTCCAGATTTCCAGCAGGCTGGCCTCAGCTCTACCTACAGCCAGTAGCTTATTAAGGCTCTAGGCGCCAGTGACACCTTCAGACAGGTGGTTAGTGCGCCCTAAGGACTCTCCGCAGCGTCGCTCAGGTTCACAGAACACGCCCAGGGGCGTGTCCAGCTGTCGTCGGGGAGAGCCCACCTCCCCGGGGGGTGTGGCTAAGGGACGAGGCGCTTCTCGTCCAGAGCCCAGGTAATCCGGGCGGGATCAGCGAGCGTCGCGATGTGATGACGTCAGGCCCCGGGCAGGCCGGGAGTGGCGTGCTGGGCGTGCGCGGCTGCGGTACGGCGTGTTGGTCCCAGCGGTTCAGCTGAGGTAGGGACGTGCTGTAGGCCGGAATGTTACCGGCTGTTGGATCTGCGGATGAGGAGGAGGATCCTGCGGAGGAGGATTGTCCTGAATTGGTTCCCATGGAGACGACGCAAAGCGAGGAGGAGGAAAAGTCTGGCCTCGGCGCCAAGATCCCAGTCACAATTATCACCGGGTATTTAGGTAACTAACCATCCCAGTCACAAAATGGCGTGACCTCTGGTGTCATGGGATTTTGCGGGCTGCCGGTGCCTCTTCTCCTGAGGCATTGGGGCCTCATGATCAAGAGCAAATGTCTTCGAGGTAGGGGCTGGGTCACTTGCTTCTCGTATGGGTTGCCTCTCATCTTGGGAGTTAATGATGCCCGGCCCCCTCTGCGTTAGATTCCCATTTCTCAAGTGAGATGGAAAGTTAGCCTTTGAAACAAGGCTTTGACGCTAAGACACGCCCCCCTGATTGTCTCTGTGACCTCCTACCAAGTTATCTTACCTTCCTGACGCTCATCTACCTCACCTGAAAATGGAGAAATACCTGTCACCTGTGAAACAGGGCCGGAACCACCTACCTGTTGCCATTAAAGGATGTCCCGTCTGTAAAATGCCCGACACGTGGGGCTTTCGTCAGTAGATTCCCCTTCCCCACGAGCCAAAGTCCTCCAGCCAGTTGGCAGGGAGCGCTCCTATCTTAAACACTTTTTTTTTGAGGTCTGTTTGTAAACCACTGCGTAGGAAGTAAGAATAAAATCTCTGTCCTCCAAGACTATTTCTCAAACTAAGAACGTTTAGAGTGTACAGGGATACTCGAAACCACAAGTTTGTGAACTTGGTAGTTTCGTGAAGGGCGGTTTATGCACTTACACTAGAAGTTTCTTACTGGAAAAGTTTGAGAAATATATTTTTAAACCTTACAGTTAAATAGAAGGGCTAGAACAAATATATGACTGTATTAGAAGTTTGGAAAAAGTTAAGAAATGTAAATAAAATGATACTGTTTCCGGGAAATAATATTCCTAGTTGTTGCTAGAGACAGGTACAGACTTGGGCCACTTCGTGACCTTTTATGTAAAAATAAGAAATAACTGCTTTTGTTTTTTAAAAAACTTTGTAGACTGTAAGTTTATTCCCGTTTTTTGCTCGGAAGTAATTTTATAAAGGAATTTATTTTTGGCGTTTCCCCACAGTTATTCAGAGGCTGCTCTGCTGAGAAGATGAACAAATTTCTTGTCCAAAACAATGTATTTCAAACGTGCCGCTCGGGCCTTTCCCGTATTGCTCACTGGTAGGTCAGTAGATCACTGGAGAAAATGATCTGAAGCTCAGGAGTGAGAATTAATACCAGCAACCTTGTTGCTGAATCTAGGGATAGTTTCACTCCTATCCCTGACCATTTTCCCTTTCTGAAACACTGTTCTTTTGGCTTCTATTACATTTTTCTTCTGATTTTTCCACCTGCTTCTCTGGCTTCTTTTTAAGGCTCCCTCCTCCTTCCCCCTTTGTCCATCTTTAGCTACACACCTGTGTAATTTCTATTTTGATGTCCTACAACTTAAAACTTAACATGTCTGAAACTTCGTCTGTTACCATCCCCCCAAATCCTGCTTCTGTGATCCCAACCATTTGTAATACTCTAAAAGCCTCCTGACTAATCTGGAGTCTTGCTGCCCTTTAATTTATTCGTTGCATGTTAGCCTTAATGATCTTTATAAATGTCAATCCGACTGCGTCACACCTTTCAGTGGCATCCCTATGGGTTAAAATCCAAATTCCTTAACATGAATTACAAGGACCTGTAGCATCTGGATCTTGCCAACCTTTCCAGCCTGCCAAATTGGCCCCGCACAATGAACTAATGTTACTTCAAAGGTGCCAAGTGTTTTAGCCCCTTGGAATAGGTACTTTTTTACTGTGACTCCTCTGGCTAGATGTCCCTCTTAGGTTCTCCATAGCATTTTGTGCATCTCCTATTGAATATGTCACCCTGTGACATAATTGCCTCCTTATTCACTGAATTCCCCTCCATTCCCCCCTTCCCTTAATTTTTTTTTTTTTTTTTTTTTTTTTTTTGAGACGGAGTCTCGCTCTGTCGCCCAGGCTGGAGTGCAGTGGCGGGATCTCGGCTCACTGCAAGCTCCGCCTGCCGGGTTCACGCCATTCTCCTGCCTCAGCCTCCCAAGTAGCTGGGACTACAGGCGCCCGCCACTACGCCCGGCTAATTTTTTGTATTTTTAGTAGAGACGGGGTTTCACCGTTTTAGCCGGGATGGTCTCGATCTCCTGACCTCGTGATCCGCCCGCCTCGGCCTCCCAAAGTGCTGGGATTACAGGCGTGAGCCACCGCGCCCGGCCCCCTTAATATTTCTAAGCTCTATGAAGGCAGAGACTATCTTGTTCACTTTTTCACCAAGGCTCAGCATAAATCTGTAACGTATTAGAAACCTTCGAATGAATGAGCTATGTCTTAAAGTGTTTTTTTTTTCATAATATGGTTAAAAAGCCCTAGTAAATCTTCTCTTAGAAGATTTCTTACATTCACCCTTTCCTTTCAGTTTTCACATCACTGCCCTGTGAAACACTCATGTTCAGGGCCTCTGTCTCAGGCTTGGACTGGTTTTAAGATTTTCCTCATTGCCCTAAGTCTCTCCCATTCTATACTTCATATTTTTGTGATGTTGAGCTTCCTAAAGTACTCTAAATATAAGCCTTCATCTCTTAAAAAGCTTTGAAAGGAATATGACCTAAAAGATATTAATACCCTAATACTCTGTAAAATCTTCCTAGTTATATACTAGAAAACTTAATGTATTTCAGAAGACATGTATAGCCTACATGTAAAAGTTTTTAGCAGCACTGTAATAGTAAAACACTGGAAACAAACCAAATGTCCAACAAAAAAAAAAGATAAAGAAATGATATAGTCATACAATTGAACTACAATACTATGCAGTTAGGATTTTCTTTTTTTCCTCTATGAATTTTAGTGTGTACGGTTCACAAGACTATTTTTTTTCTACTGGAGATTGACATATTGGGTTTTATATGCCACCTGCTGGATAAAGTTGGTATAGCTTTATGAATTTATCTTACTGAACATTCTGTCCATTGTTGACACTACCTGGCTCTATTCCCCATTTCATAAAAACTTTTATAGATTGTTTAAAGCATACTATAAGTAGCCATATAGTCAGCCTGAAGTTGCGTCTTGTTAATGTTGAAATAAAAGGTCATTATAAATAAAAGATTGTGTGTAAATTTTAGGGAAGGTTAGGCTAGGTTGAAGAAACTGTTTCAACTTGTAGGAGTGTTTGTAAATATTTATAAAATTTTATGTCTACATAAAGTATTTTGCAACAGGTTTCAAAGGATGCTTTAATCTTATCCTCTAGGATATTCTATACTAAAATAATATATGAAAAATAGCACGCAAATTCTCAAAAACGTTAGGATTCTTTATATGTTTTTTGTATCTTTAAAATTATTTTGAATTTTTTTATTTACAAAAAATATGTTTTATAGGTGCTGGGAAGACAACACTTCTGAACTATATTTTGACAGAGCAACATAGTAAAAGAGTAGCGGTCATTTTAAATGAATTTGGGGAAGGTAAGTAAAGTTCAATAAATGTCATGTTGCAAGATTTTGTGTGACTGTTTATTCCTCTGGTGAATTGCTATTCCATATTTAAAAATGAAAATGCAAGGTATTGTATTGATGTGGATAGCTTTAGAAAAGTTGGATTAATTTCTGTTAAGATTTATATGGGTTGAGATACTGAAATTAGTTTTAATAAAATTTTATTTTGTATAACTTTGGAATTCTTATTAACAGAATTAAACTACATTTTTACATGAAATAAATGACTCCAGAAGTAAAAATCTAGACATATGAAAAAACGTTTATTTTTTATTTTATTTTATTTTTTTTGAGATGGAGTCTCTCTCTGTCGCCAGGCTGGAGTGCAGTGGTGCAATCTCAGCTCACTGCCACCTCTGTCTCCTGGGTTAAAGTGATTCTCCTGCCTCAGCCTCCCGAGTAGCTGGGACTACAGGCGTGCGCCACCATGCCCAGATAATTTTTGTATTTTTAGTAGAGACAGGGTTTCACCATGTTGGCCAGGATGGTCTTGAGCTCCTGGCCTTGTGATCCACCTGCCTCGGCCTCCCAAAGTTGCTGGGATTACAGGCATGAGGCACCATGCCTGGCCAAAAAATGTTTTTTTTAGGAATTAGGAAGGCACTTTTGTATGGACTCTATTGCAACTCATGAAAAATACTTGAAAATGCTTCTGTTATTAGTTAACTTTGTTTAATGTTTATTATCTGCAATGCAGTTAAAACTCAATATTTTAAAAATAAAGGTAAACATATGGTCTTTATCCTCATGTATTTTAAGTTATCTGTGAAAATAAGTGTGCTTAACTTCTCAACTGAAATATTAAACTGTAGTCAAAAAAATAGCTCTAGACACAATACTTCTGTTATCTTTATAGAAGTTTTTCTTCATAAGTATGAATTGTAATCAAAGCTCACTTCTAGCCAAAAAACAATATCTATTAAATGATTTCTTTTAAAATGTACTATTTTTTTTCAGTTGTAAAAAGTAAAAGAGCTAGGTTTTATGAACAGGATGGGAAGCCAGTTATATTCGATTTCTGGTTTTAATAAACTAAAGAGAAAAGTGCTTTTTAGGCAAAAATCCTGAGATTTCTAATAACAGACTGTTTTTTTATCATCTTATTAAATAACCTATTGCACACTGATTACATTTATTCTTACTATTTTCTTTATTTTTTCCTGGATCATTTTCGCAATTTTATTTTTCACAGCATTCTCAATACTTTTCTTCATGTTTCCTTAATGTTCTGTATATAGTCCGAATTCTGTAGCAACCTCTTTAGAAGCTCTTTATTAATACCTAGCTGAAATATAAAAAATACGTAAGTGTAAAACTACTCGATTTTATGGGAGCTCATTTGCTTAGTGGGCTTTTAGAACTTCACCGTTTGGTATATTTCTTTATTAGAGGAAAAGTAAAACATTTAAAATAATTCTTATAGATAACAAGCATTTCAAATATAGTTTATTCTTTCTTAAGTAAGTATTGCTAGGAAAATATGTGAATTTGACTAAAAGTTTAGGTTTTTTTTTTTTTTGAGATGGAGTCTCGCTGTGTTGCCCAGGCTGGAGTGCAGTGGCACAGTCTCGGGTCACTGCAACCTCCGCCTCCCGGGTTCACGCCATTCTCCTGCCTCAGCCGCCTGAGTAGCTGGGACTACAGGCGCCCGCTACCACACCTGGCTAATTTTTTGTAATTTTAGTAGAGATGAGGTTTCATTGTGTTAGCGAGGATGGTCTCGATCTCCTGACCTCGTGATCCGCCCGCCTTGGCCTCCCTGTAAGTTTAATTTTTAAATGAGCACATGGTACACTGGCCAAAAACCTTCCTCAAGATGAACTAGGGTTTTTACTCATTGGGAATATTCAGCAGTTTGTCTAACAGAAACAATTTAGAAGAAGAATGAAAAGAAAAAGATAGATAAGGCAGTCTCTTAAGAGGTTGAAGGGCATACAAAATCCAGTATATAAAACATACTAGTCTATTTAGAAAGTTTACCCTGGACAAGAAAAAAATGCCTTCAAGATAGCTACTTTATTAAGAAATGGGGGTGGCCAAGTAAGAGGCCTAAGGAGGAAGTAGGTATGTTTATCAGTTTAGGATGTGTCTTTTTCAGGGCTTAAGTCATCTTAAATAAAAGCTAACATAATGTAGTGTACTGTAATTTAGATATCGAGGCTGCATGAATAAAATGAAAGAATATAAGTTATAAAATGCAGTTTCTGCTTTAAGATCTCCATTATTGAGTTATCCTCATCTTTGTTTTTTGTTGGCTAATGGACATAAGCTAAAGAGTGCTGTTTGTTAATTATTCTAGGAAGTGCGCTGGAGAAATCCTTAGCTGTCAGCCAAGGTGGAGAGCTCTATGAAGAGTGGCTGGAACTTAGAAACGGTTGCCTCTGCTGTTCAGTGAAGTGAGGAATGTGTTTACTGTGTACATGGTTTACTAGAAATGTTTATTGATTATATTTCCAGCTTTAATTTTCTTGAGTAATTTAACTGAATTTACACAGTTTGCTTCATTGTATTTTCAAACAAATAGAAAATAAACTTATTAGGAAGCATTTTCTTAAAGTGTTTCTTGCTGTCTTTTCTATCTGCTCTAATGTTTTGGTCCTTTTATTGAGTTTTTATTGCTTTTGATGTCAGGGCTTATTTAATCTCTAGTGCATGAAAGTCTCATATGTAAAAAATGATTATTCTGAATTTAATCTGTCATTGGTCATATTTCTAAGTGTTCAACCTTATAAAAAAAATAAATGACTATCAAAAAAGAGAAAAACCTTACATTATGTTCTACTAGTTAAGTTTTCAAGGACAGTGTTCACTAGTCTACCATAGACCCTAGAAGAGTTACCCAACACATAGTAGCACTCAAATATTTGTTGAATGAATTATAAAAATGACTACTTGTACTGTTAATTTTGTGTATTCTAGTGAATTAAATCTCTTCGGCATCATTTACTCCCTTAGGTATTTGACTTTGTGTCAAATGTTTTGGCAAGGATAAAATTATAACAGACTTTCTTGAACAACCAAAATATAATCTATTAAGGATTTTCCTTCACTTTTGATAAAATAAGAAAAAAGGAAATTAAAACCTTGCATCCTAATGTAAAATAGAATTATATGGTGTTTAATATCAGTGTCCCTTTAGCTATTATATTAAACTACTATAGTTAATAAATTTTATCATTATTTTGTATGTTGGTTTTTAAAAATTTCATAAAGCTATAAAAAGATACTTGGTCAGATAAAGTTTCCTCTGCTTTTAATTTTAATAAAGTATTATTATGTATATGATTTCTTTTTACCTATTATATATATGCATCTATTGTTTTCTCACTGGTAAATATGGGACGGACATTTTGTTAGAAGGTTAGAAGTGAGTTAAATTTTCACATTCCTAAGGGTACTTTTGTCTTGGGTTGTTGAATATATTTTAAAGTGTTTATAATAATCACTTCAAAATATTTAGGTAATTAACTGTAAATGATGTTTTGGTATTCTCCAGGGACAATGGCCTTAGAGCTATTGAGAATTTGATGCAAAAGAAGGGGAAATTTGATTACATACTGTTAGAGACCACTGGATTGGCAGACCCAGGTAAGAAGTGAGGTTGTTAATAACCAGAATATAGTTCTGTGATATACTGTAAATAGATGTATTAGAGGAATATCTAACATGAGGATTAAAGCTTTTGTTAGTATTAAACCAAAAACTTTTTTTGGTTTAAAAGAGGAAAAGTACTCGGTTGTCATTTTCTTTGGCAGTTGAATGAATGAACGGAGTATTTCTTGGTACTTTTAAGCTGTTAATAGAATTTGAAGTTTTATTGATTGACTTAGGATTATTTGTAAGAACAGAAGTTGTTAAAAATAAGGACATGTAGGAAGAGCAGAGACGTTCTACCTCTAAGTACAGTTGTCCCTTGGCATCCATGGGGTATTAGTTCCGGAACCTCTGAGGATACCAAAATCTATTAATGTTCAAGTCCCTTACATAAAATGGTGTAGTATTTGCCTATAACCTATGCACATCCTCCCATATACTTTAAATCATCTGTAGATTACTTATAATACCTAATACAATGTAAGTGCTGTGTAAGTAGTTATTACACTGCATTGATAAGGGAATCATGACAGGGAACTCTGAACTCTACTATGGAAAGCTACACAGAGTCAACCTGTTTCTAACAATGGGTTTCTGTTACCTTCTTACCAAGCTCTAATTCTTGATAAAGTCTGCTTATTTTCCCCAAATAACTTTTAGATAAAATCTTTATTTTCAGTTTGCATAAAAGTTAGTGCTTATTCTGTGAATCTGTGAATCTGACCCATACCATTATTTTTTTTTTTTTTTTTGATCTGGGTCTCTGGCATTGGGGCGATTTGTAAAACTATATTAAAGTATTTGGGGGTAATTTACTAAACAGGTCATAGTTGTCCAAAAGAAATATTGAAGTATCCTGAGAGTTCAAATGTGATCCGTGGTTATTGTAATTAAAACAATTACATAATAACATCATCCCCATGTTTTCAAAGTAGTATTGAATTAGGCTATTTTGGTCCTTATAGTAGGCATGGGTTTTCATACCTTTCTGATAAATCTGACTGATGATAGGACTTGGACTAATATGTTGGTGTTAAATATTTGAATCTGGTAAGAAAGAAAAATATATTGTATGCTTTTATTAGAAATAGCAAATATCAGTTTATTTCATCATAGCCAGTTTTGCCATTTTATAGACAAAAACTTGATACTTTTGAGAGTTTAATTAAACACGATTCAGCTTTTCAGAGGAAGAAAGAAAAACTAAAGATCACAGAGAAAGCTTTTATACAAATTGTAGTTATAAAAAATCTTAATGTTTCTTGCTTCTAACTTTCTTTACAATAAAGATTTTATTGTTTGGGTAAAGATGGAACATTCATTGTAAAAAAATTTAAATACCTAAAAAATACAAAGAAGAAAGTTGAAAAGTAATCATCTCACTATTGTGATATACAAGTAGGGGCTGGGCATGGTGGCTCATGCCTGTAATCCCAGCACTTTGGAAGGCTGAGGCAGGTGGATCCCTTGAGGCCAGGAGTTCAAGACCAGCCTAGCCAACATGGTGAAATCCAGTCTCTACTGAAAATTCAAAAACTAGCCAGGCGTTGTGGCGCACCCCATAATCCCAGCTACTCAGGAGGCTAAGGCATGAGAATCACTTCAAAGCTGGGAGGCGGAGGTTGCGGTGAGCCGAGATCACGCCACTGCACTCCAGCCCAGGCAACAGAGCAAGACTGTATACACACACACACACACGCACATGCACACGCACACACACACACACACACATTCATACACACACACACATTCATACACACACACACAAGTAGGTAAATTTTATTCCAGGGATCTCTCTATGCCAGTGCTACTTGGTAGTATGTTGAATGGCAGCCTCAGCCTCATCTGGGAGCTTGTTAGAAAGGCAAATTCTTGACCAACCCAGATCTACTGAATCGGAATCTCTAAGGGAGGGGGTCAAGCAAGCTGTTTTTAATAAGCCCTTCAGGTGATTCTTATACTGTACAGCCATACCGCAGGGATATTGTGGGCTTAGTTCCATATCACTGCAGTAAACTGAATATCACAATAGAGTGAGTCACACACATTTTTTTGTTTCCCATTGCATATAAAAGTTATGCGTTTTGGCCGGGTGTGATGTCACAGGCCTGTAGTCCCAGCTACTTGGGAGGATCACTTGAGCTCAGGAGTTTGAGGCTGCAGTGAGTCATGATTGCACCACTGCACTCCAGCCTGGATGACAGCATGAGACCCCATTTCTTAAAAAAAAAAAAAAAAGCTGTGTTTATACTATACTGTAGTCTATAAAATGTGTAATAGAATTGTCTAAAAAACATACATACCTTAATTAAAAATATTTATTGCTAAAAAATGCTAACAATCATCTCAGCTTTCAGCAAGTCATAATCTTTTTGCTGGTAGAGGGTCTTGCCACAATGTTGATGGGTGCTGACCAATCAGGGTAGTAGTTACTGAAGGTTGGGGTGGCTATCGCAATTTCATAAGATAATAATGAAGTTTGCTGCATTAGTTGACTCTCCCTTTCATAAAAGATGTCTCTATAGCACATGATGCTATTTGATAGCATTTTACCCACAGTATGACTTCTTTCAAAATTGGAGTCAGTCCTCTCAAACCCTGCTTTATCAATTAAGCTTCTGTCATATTTTAAATCCTTTGTTGTCATTTTGACAGTGTTCATAGCATCTTCACCAGGAGTAGATTCCATCTCAAGAAACCACGTTCTTTTCCCGTCCATAAGAAACAACTTCTCATTAGTTAAAGTTTTCTTATGAGATTGCAGGAATTGAGTCACATCTTCAGACTCCCCTTCTAATTCTAGTTCTCTTACTGTTTCCACCACATCTGCAGTTATTTCCTCCATTGAAGTCTGGAATCCCTCAAAGTCATCTGTGAGGGCTGGAATCATCTTTCAAACTCCTATTCATGTTGATACTCTATTCATGTTGATACTTTGATCTCCCATGAATCACAAATGTTCTTAATGGCATCTAGAATGATGAATCCTTTCCAGAAGGTTTTCAATTTAGTTTGCCCAGATCCATCAGAGGAATCACTGTCTATGGTAGCTATAGCCTTATGAAATATATTTCTTAAATAAGACTTAAAAGTCAAAGTTACTCCTTGATCAGTGGGCTGCAGAATGGATGTTGTGTTAGCAGGCATGAAAACAACATTAATCTCCTTGTACATCTCCATCACAGCTCTTGGGTGATCAGGTGCGTTGTCAATGAGCAATAATATTTTGAAGGAATCTTTTCTTTTCTAAGCAGTAGATCTCAATGGTGGGCTTAAAATAAACCATGCTGTAAACAGATGTGCTGTCATCTAGGCTTTATTATTTATAGAAAACAGGCAGAGGAGATTTAGCATAATTCTTAATGGCCCTAGAATTTTCAGGATGGTAAATGATTATTGGCTTCAACTTGAAGTCACCAGCTGCTTTAGCCTCTAACAAGAGAGTCAGCCTGTCCTTTGAATCTTTGAAGCCAGGCATTGACTTCTCTATAGCTATGAAAGTCCTAAATGGCATCTTCTTCCAAAAGGAGGCCATTTCATCTCCATTAAAAATCTGTTGCTGGCCGGGCTCGGTGGCTCATGCCTGTAATCTCAGCACTTTGGGAGGCCGAGGTGGGCAGATAACGAGTTCAGGAGTTCAAGACCAGCCTGGCCAACATAGTGAAACCCCATCTCGGCTAAAAATACCAAAAATTAGCCTGGCTTGGTGGTGGGAGCCTGTAATCCCAGTTACTTGGGAGGCTGAGGCGGGAGAATGGCTTGAACCCGGGAGACGGAGGTGGCTGTAAGCTGAGATTGCACATTGCACTCCAGCCTGGGTGACAGAGCGAGACTCCATCTCAAAATAAATAAATAAATAAATAAAAAATAAGTCTGTTGCTTAGTGTAGCTACTTTCATGAATGATGTTAGCTACATCTTCTAGGTAGTTTACTACAGCTTCTATATCAGCATTTGCTGCTTTCCCTTGCACTTTTGTGTTATGGAGATGGCTTCTTTCTTTAAATCTTGTGAACCAACCTCTGCTACCTTCCAACTTTTCTTCTCTAGCTTCCTCACCTCTCTCAGCCTTCATAGAACTGAAGAGAGTTAGGGTTGCTCTGAATTAGGCTTTGGCTTAAGGGAACATTGTGGCTTGTTTGATCATCTATCCAGACCACTTCATATCAGCAATAAGGCTGTTTCATTATCATTTGTGTGTTTACTGGAGTAGCACTTTTAATTTCCTTCAAGAACTTTTCCTTTGCATTCACAACTTAGCTAACTGGCTCAAGAGACCTAGCTTTTGGCGTATCTTGGCTTTCAACATAACTTCCTCACCAAGCATAATCATTTCTAGCTCTTGATTTAAAGTGAGAAACAGGTGACTGTTCCTTTCACTTGAACACTTAGAGGCCATTGTAGGATATTAATTGGCCTAGTTTCATGTTGATCATATTCTTTATGTTGTCATGGTTCTGTCATAATTCTTTTAGTTCTATGTTTTAATAGTTTTGGTGCTCATTACCAGTACTGTTGCTTCTCCATTCCCGAGTTAGTCCATCTCCTGATTGAATTTCATTGTCAGGCAGTCTTTTCAAGTTACAGGTACTGCATGCATTCTTTGGGTTCTTATACACTTCATTGATTCAAAATATTTGTCTTTTGTTTTTATATTACTTGAAGGATTACTTGGCTAGGTATAAAATTTATCAGTCACACTTTTTTCCCCCTCAACTTTGTAAATGTTGTTCCATAATCTCCTAGTGTTTGATTGGCTGGATTTCTTTGTCCAATGTTTTCTCTTTTTATTAGGAAGAATTTGTGAGTATTATAGTCTCTGAGTTTCAATGCTTGCTGTTTTCTTTAATGCTTGAGAATGTCTGTCTATTGCTTTCGTTCCTGAAAAATAACTTGTTTGGGAACACTTTCATTAGAACTTTGTGGTCACTGTTTTATTATTTTGGGACATCTAGTGTTACTGTAGAAAAGTCTGATTTTTCTCCCTACCTCCTTGAAGGCACTTTTTTTTTTTCAAATCTAAAATGCCTGAGAGTTTTCTTCTTTATTTTTGAAATTCAGTAATATAAACAAGGTATATCTAAGTGTCACTTATAATCATTTTTCCCTAAATTATAATATGCCCTTAGTTCTTCTAAGAACATTTTCCTTGTTTATTACCATGAATACTTTTTTTTGGTCAAATTATTAGATCCTCTACTTCATGACGCCAGTTTTTTTAATACTGAATTTTCTTTTGTTGTTCGTATGTATTCTAATTGCTTTGATTTGTCTTTTACCTTTGCATTTACTGTGATCATCTGAAGCCTTTCTTTTTGTCAATAATTCTGTTTTCTCCAGTGTCTGTCCTGTTTTTGATATTTTAAATGAATTAATTGGTTAAGTCATTGTGTTATATAGGCTCTAAGTTTCTTTAGCACTACAAACGCATTTTCATCTTATTCTGCTTCTTCTTGCTTTTGAGCTTGTTTATTATAAGGTTGTATTGTTTTCAAGTTCTTCATTATGATGAAGTTGTTGGGAATTTTCTTTAGTTTTTATTGGGTTATGTATCCTTCCAGAATGGGTTCTTTGCCACTTGTGTGCCCTATTCATTTCTTCATTTTGTGTTCTTTCTTGCTTTTTGTTCCCTGTATGTGTGTGTTTCTTTTTGTCAGGCTGTAATACATATGCATACATGTTTCTTCTTGATGTGGGAGAACTTCTATGTGGTGCTGATGGGAAATATTTTTAATACTCCACTCTCCTTACCCAAGTTTGTTTTTCTCCTGAGCCCTAGTTTGAAAGCTGTATATTGTTGGAGTGGAGGGAAAGAGAAGGGAAAAGTGGTGATTCAGAGAGCCAAATGGGGCAATGTGGCTTTTAGGCTCTGCTCTCTTGAAGTACCAAGTATTTCACTCTTGGGTCTGCCCAACTGCTTATGAATAAAATTCCTTTGCCTTGTATGGGGACATCATTCGACCTCAGACCTCTCATTTCTCTTTGTTCTGAGCCCTAGAATGTGACCTGACCTTCTCCTTCCCAAAGCAAGGAGATGGTTAAAACTCACTCTTGAAATTTTTTTGTTGACTTTTCCTTGTGTTGCTTATTCATTCCTCGGCTCTACTTTTTGCCATTTTGGAGTGTATTTCTGGTAAGTGTTTAGGATTTTGTAAACTATTTCCCTACAACCTCTTATTGGAGGTAGGGGTAGAGTTGGGAATGACCATCAATCACATATAACTTTGTTTCTTATTTTGACTATCAGTCTTCAAAATTTATGGCAGGCCCTTTTATATTTGGTTGCTGCTAATAAAATGTTGGCCTTTTTGTTTTATTTTTTATTTTTATTTTTTGTTTTATTAGATTTTGAAGAAGGGAGATTCTAAAATGTAGTTCAGGTTTTCTCAGTGTCAGCACAAATAACATTTTGGGTTGGATAATTATTTGTTGTGAGGGGGTTGCCCTGTGCAGAGTAGGATATTTAACAACATCCCTGGCTTCTACCCACTAGATGCCAGTAGCATTCCCCTAGTTAAGACAACCAAAAACATCTTCAGACATTGCCAAATATTCCCTGGGGAGAAAAGCACCCTGGTTTGAGAGCCACTGATCAATGTTGTTCATTCATCTTTACTCCTCCTAAATACCTACATCCAAATTTTAAATAGATCTTTCTCATGTAGTCTGGCAAGTATTATATCAAAGATAAATACCAGTTTTAGAATAAAGCATTAATATACTCTTACATTTCAACTTAAGAGGCAAATATTAACAGTAGGATTTGTAAACTATTTATTGGAATAAAAATCAATGAATTTTTAAAAATTACAAAATGATTTATGTATGTTAGATATTTTACTGAGTGAAAAAATTCATGCTTTTTTAAATGACTTATTGTTTGGAGTAGTGATACAGTAGATTTAATTTTCCCCCTCATTAATTAAAATCATGTTTTAGCCAAGAAAGTGAACAAAATTCTTATTGGCAATTCAGTTGTTTCCCGTTTTGGAGACTGACACTCTCCAGTTCTAAGTTAAATAATTGTCATGGTAAAGTAATTTCCCTGAAAAGAACGGACATTGATTCAGCCCCTGTTACTCACAAATCCTATTTGAGTCAAATTGGAAAACTATTAAGCTTTTGGGAAAAAAATCAATAGGTATCAGGAAACCATTAGATCTTGTGGCCCTTGCTATATCTTGCATGAGTAATCACTGTAAACAGCTGACAGGTATTTCATTGTTGACACCGAGTGATGCTTGGGGGACCACATCTTGGCAGAGTAGGTGGACAGCTTTAGACGTTGGAATGAGTTTGATTATCCTTGTTTTTCTCCTACACTCATTCTTTTAGACAGCCCTGTCACTAACTGGGCCTGTGATGCTTTCAAAAATCAAATACTTTCCTTGCTGTCAGTTTTCTTTTTCTTGCGTTGTGGCATACTAATCAGGGTATGTGGTTTGGTACTGAACCAATTTCTGTCAAAAGCAAGTTTTAATTTATTATTTAGGAAAAATTTTTCCTAAGACCCAGGTTTTATACAGTACTAAATAAATAGTGTGAGGAATAATTAGTAATGCCATAGAGTATATAATTTTACTTCTAGTTCTACACAGATTACAAGTAAATTTTTTTTGGGCAAGTGATTTTGGAATTATCTATGTTTTGTTTTCCTTTTCCTTTAGAGTGATAATTCACTATTTATGATTGAATGATTATCATATTAAAGAGGTGAGAAAATAAAAATCAGTCTGATGTGCACAAAGCCATACTGCTCAAATTGTTTGATAATATCTGTTAATTAAATTATTATGGCATCGGTAGAAGAATGATGTTTTGTTTATATGTGGTTAGAATTGGTCTTTTTTAAAGGAAATAACAAGAGAGATGGAAATGGAATGGGTATAAATAGTAAAAGGTTCTATCACTGTAACTCCCTTTTGCTATAAATAGTGAAAGCTTCTATCACTATAATTTCCATAAGAAGATATATGTGTTTACCTGTTAATTTTATCAGGGCAAATTAAAACATGGATAGAATCATGTTTCTCAGTGTGAAGAAATATTTTTATTTGATGAATATTATATATTTTCAGGTGCAGTGGCTTCTATGTTTTGGGTTGATGCTGAATTAGGGAGTGATATTTACCTTGATGGTAAGTTAAAAAACAGTTTTCTTTTATCTTTCTTGTTTTTTGTTTTTTTTTTTATTTTTTTCTGAGACGGAGTCTCACTTTGTTGCCCAGACTGGAGTGCATGGAGTGCAGTGGCATGATCTCGGCTCACTGCAACCTTTACCTCCTGGGTTCAAGTGATTCTCGTGCCTCAGCCTCCCGAGTAGCTGGGACTACAGGCGTGCACCATCGTACCTGGCTAATTTTTGGATTTTTAGTAGAGACGGGGTTTCGCCATGTTGGCCTGACTGGTCTTGAACCCCTGACTTCAGGTGATCCGCCAGCCTCGGCCTCCCAAAGTGCTGGGATTACAGGCGTGAGCCACCACACCCTGCCTCTTTTGTTTTTTAGTAAAATCTTTATGGTTAAGCTTATTGTTGTTCATTCATATTATAACTTTAATTCCTTGCATTGTTGTTCTTTTCACACTTTAGTTTAATGATGAAATCTTTGTTCATATAGATTAAAAAACCCCAGACAGTGGTGGAACTCGATGTCACTCAACTTCCAATTTAGTGCTTCCACTAAGGTTTTCTTTAAAAAAAAAATGCTTTGTAGGTTTTCTGTATCCTCTGTTGTTTGATTTATGCCCTTAATATAATGTTAGAGCCTTTTATTTTAATCCTCCAGGCAATATGAGGATCATATTTTTGCTTTTATTTTCTCTTGAAGATAAGAATTAAACACTCCTCCCTTACTTTATTTACCTGAACACTTTTGGGCAGTGATATGCCTTCATTTAAAATACATTAGAAACTTTCTTAGTTAAGCGACTATGTTTTCTCCCTTTCTCTTTCCCTTTTTCACCTTTTTAAAAACCAGTCGAAATTTTCTTACTTTTTCAAAAGTAATAATCATTAAGAAATTTAAGAATTATTAAGCTGGGCCCCATCATTGAGCTCTAATATATGTGGTGGGTAACTGGTTGAATTCCTTAGGCATAATTAAACTCATTCTTTTGTTATCAGCATATATTCAGAGATTGCAAAATGAATTGGTAGTTTGGAAACTTAAGCATATGTTATGTAAAACATTTATGAGTTGGATTTGGATTTGATGAGAGATGTTAGGAATGATACCTTAAGATGTCTCATTCTTTCGGCAATAATTTAAATCTTAAGAAAAGTCTTGATTTTGATTATGTGAAAATAAACTAGAAATAACCTGTCTTATGTACTTATCACATTTGACTATGTTATGAAATTTGACTTATATTTTGGATTGTAAGCTTTTTCAGTGCCAAGGAAATCTTATTTTCTTATTTATTTAATTTAAAATTTTTATTTGTTTTATATCTTCTCTAGTGCCTTAAAATAGTGCTAGCCACTCAGGAAATGCATTGACTTATTACTGGAATTTAATTAAATGGCAGCACTGGCAAGAGAAAAAAACAGTACATTGTTTTATTGAGTAGTATTTGTGAACTGAAATAGGTTAGTTTTAATTTTCATTCTGAAGTATGGTTGCACAAATATTAATAAACATTCTTTTTAAAAAGTGATTAAAATGTTTTTTCCTTTGTAGGTATCATAACTATAGTGGATTCAAAATATGGATTAAAAGTAAGTTGAAAGATTGCTATGAGTGGCTCATTATTGAGAGCTGGGAATATGGGGATTGATTGTTTAATTTTCTTTATGTTTGTATCTGAAATTTTCTTTAACAAAAACCTTTCTCAAAAAGATATCCTGAACAATAGGTGAAATTTGTGTTTTAATTATTAGTTTGTGTTAAATATTTCTTTTCTATTACTCTGAGTTTGATTTGGTGATAAAATTTGGAATTATAATTTGTAATAAGCATATGGGGTTAGGATAGAGTTTGGTATGTATAACTCTTCACAAGGATTCAACCCCAATATTGGTAAGTTTTTCTGTTCCATAGAAGAAGCTGAGCTTGATAAAGCATCTGAGATCTTATTTTTCTTGTTAAATTACTATTAAACACACACTGGAAATGAGTTTTTAAAAAATATTGAAGACCTAGGTGATGGGTTAATAGGTGCAGGAAACCACCATGGCACCCGTTTACCTATGTAACAAACCTGCACATCCTGAGCATGTACCCTGGAACTTAAAATTTAAAAAGTACATATTGAAGAAAATCAGGATATACACATAGGATTAGTAAGAAGACTCTCTCCATTAAAAGGCATCTTGCATCGCTTCTTGGTCTTTTGGCTAAGATCAAGTGTAAAAGACATCCTGCTATGAATGTTTTTGTTAACTTCTAAGGTCCTAGAATGCATTTAAATGAGGTTTAATTTATAAAATGCATTTAGTAAGATCTTTAAAAGTATGTTGTTACATACAGTAAAATGATGTTTCTCAGCTTCCCAAGTGAAATACCACTAAAGGCAGAAGAGAATGAAATCATCCCACCCACTGACCCGTTCCCAATCTGAGCATATGGATAGGGCCCAAAGCAGTAATTTCTTAGAAGTTTAAATTCAGTGTTTAAAAATTAGTGTCTGTTTTGTATCCAACCTCATATCTGAACGTGTTAATTTTTTTTTTTTTTTTGAGACAGAGTCTCACTCTGTTGCCCAGGCTGGAGTGCAGTGGCACCATCTTGGCTCACTGCAACCTCCACCTCCCAGGTTCAAGCGATTCCCTTGTCTCAGCCTCCTGAGTATCGGATTACAGGTGCACACCACCATGCCCAGCTAATTTTGTATTTTTAGTAGAGACAGGATTTTACCATGTTGACCAGCCTGGTCATGAACTCCTGACCTCAAGTGATCCACCCGCCTCGGCCTCCCAAAGTGCTGGGATTACAGGCATGAGCCACCACGCCCGGCCTGAACTTGTTAATGTTTAAGTTTGCTTTTTTTTCCCAAATCTTTGCTGAAATTGTGCTCTAAGGGGATATGTCAGGTTTGTCAAATAGCTACCAATACCTCTTCACTGGGCCTTCTCTCCCTCGTTGATAGAGTGCCCTAATTTGAAAAGTTTGGAAGAAAACTCCTTTTTTAGAGTTTAAAATCTCAATTTATGAATTTATGAATATAATTTAAGAATCCAAGAATGATCCCAAATACAGTATTACAGTTTCACGCAGAAAAATTCCAATGACTGTTGAAAATCATATTTCTTGCAAAATGCTTATGGAGGTAGCAAAAAAGCCCCAAATTATTCATTTTGAATGTTTATTATAGGCATGTTTGAATCTACCTCTTCCATAAATTTATTACAAAATTTGATATACCTATGTGACAGATAACTGCTAAGACATTTTGTTTTTTTTTTTATTTTGATAGACTGAAAATGCCATGCTAAAAGTCAAACTGTTTATGTATTTTATGATTATAGGAATAATTTTATATGTATAGTTGAGTATGGAGAAGAGTTAAATAGAATCTATTATCAGCATGATGGAGGCCAAAAAAACAAAGCAACATTCTGAATAATGCAAACACAGTAAACGTTTAACCTCCTGCTACCTTGATAAAACCTCTTAAATTATTAAATCAATATACCTACACAAAACTGACACACTGTCAGGATAATGGAAACTTTAGATTTTCTAAGTCGGATGCCAGATAAATAACTTTGCTTTGATATAAAGAATTTTCCAACTTGTCCAATTCCTCTGGTTGCAAAGCTTGACCTCAGTAGCTGCTTGTGATTCAGAGAATTCTGAGGCAGTACAAGTAATGACACTTGGATAATGGGCAGCAATTTAAGAATGTCATGCTTCACAGAGCCAGCCCATCACAAGTAAAGCTGAGAAATGGTACCCTGTGGCCAGCCAGCCAAATTGAAACTGAAGTGGTAATTGATATCATGGGGTATCATGCTAATGGGATTGTCACCCATTGATCTGAAATATTCATTTTTTAATCATAGGCAAAGAATTGGACAACTTAAAATGACAGCTCTCTATTCTGAGGACTTGACACCCAGGCTACTGACATTGTTCTTTTCGGTTCTACAAATGTGACAGCATTTAATGCAATAGAAGCAATGAATGAAGTTACCCAGAGAAGGTCAAGTGAGAGGTTTCTTCTTGGTTCCTCTGTTATATTGCACAATCTGTTGAAACAATTCAGTCAGAAAACAGTTAGCTTGGAAAAGGCCAGAACAATAAATAGACTGACATTATGCAATAATTTTTTAAAAACTAAAATAGTGTTACATCTGTAACCAATCCATTTGAAAGAAATAGTTCCTGCTGCTGCTTTTTAAAAATGACACCAGACATCTTTGACACTAGATTTATTTCCACTCTGGTCAACAGCAGTGTTCTTTCATAGCCAGTGGGTTTTAAGATAGTTTTTTCTTTTCTTTCTTTCTCTTTTTTCGGTCCGGCTTCTTTCTTTATTTCTGCAGAAAAGGACACCCTATAGCCCTTCATGAAGTTAGGTCTACAGTGGTGTTATTTCAGAGAGTTCCTTTGTTTCTCTCCCTAACCCCCCCAGCTTTATTGAGGTACAATTGACAAGTAAAAATTATATATATTTAAGGTATACAATGTGTGAATTACATTATAAAACAATTGAGCTAGTTAACCTATCCATCACCTCACATTGCTATTTTTTTGAGGGGGGTGGTAAGAACAGTTAAGATCTATGTTTTAGCAGATTCAAGTATACAATAGAATTAACTACAGTCATCATGCTGTAATTAGCTCTCCATGACTTATGCATCTTGTATAACAAACTTTGTATGCTTTGACCAACATCTCACACCGCTCCCCTTTAATTTCCTTTGTTTCTTGTGGTAAGTTAAATTGGGGTTTTGATCCTTAGCCTTTTGAATATGTTGGATTAATTAGTATCAAAATTATTTTTGTCTTTTTTGATATATAAGCAAAAGCCATAGTTGTTAAGCAGAGATAAGGAATACTTTGGACATCTATGTAATATAAAATATTTAAAAAATATTTTGCAAAAATTTTTTCTTCATTTACTTATACAGGTGGAATAGAATGCCAAAATTTCCATTTTGTTTTATTTTATAAATGAAAGTCATCTGACTTAATGACCAAATGGTATATAATGTATTATTGGAGAATGTTCTTTTGAATAGAAGACATTGATTTTGTACTTTTTGCAGAGTTTGACTTGGGAAGGTAGGAAGTCACATGAGGGAAGTGCAGGGCTGATGTCTAGAGAAAATAAATGTTAAGATGCACTTATTTTTTAAATGTTTGTATGGCTTTCCTATGGGCATAGAAGAGGACATTTATCTCTTCTGCTATAATGGTATATGATTACATATAATTTTAATACAGCTGTAAATATTGGCAGGCTCTCATTTGGGGTGATTTTCATTTATTTTTATATTTGATACTTTCTGACTGCCTGGAAGTAGTAAAACGTTAGTCTACCACTGTTAGCTTTGAGTGAAGAATTCTAATATTTTGGAGAGGTAAATGCATTTAAAACATTGCACATTACCTTGTGAAACTAACATTGTATTAGTTACATTTAGGCATGGAAATGCAAAAACAAATCTGTAATTCTTCTGTCATATCATTTTTATGCCTCACAAACTCATAGCCAAATAACCCCAATTTCATATGTTAAAAAAGCTTTCATAAGGTCAATAATATAATATCTTGAAAAATATTTCAGTTTAAAAAGAATTTTCAGTACTATAGGATCATTCAGAGGCAGATGCCTTGCCAAAAATATATCATTGTTAAGTAGATTTACTGCTTAATGGGAAGAGATTTGTTGCTGCATGTTAGATGGCATTTTTCATGTAACATCTTTTATGTATCCCCACAACAGGAGGTGTTAATTACAATTCATTCAACAAATATTTCTTGAGCCTGTGTGCCAGGCACCATTCCAAGGTCTGTTAGCAGCCTCATTCTCTAGAGGCAGAGTATATAACAATAGGACTTGTTGTAGCCTCAGGCCAAGATGAATTATGAAAAAAATATTAAACTTGGTCTTTTGGCATGGAATGATTTTTGATACAATACTTGTCAAGTTCTGTGACTTCCATAATTGCAGAGTGGGTCTGCAGTTGAATTGAACAAGATTTTGCCTGAAGTAGAAGTATCATTGCCATGATTTTATTTCAGTTTTGTTTTCCTCAAAATAGAATTTGCTGAACTTTTAGAAGGAAAAAATGTTTCTTCTATAGACCTAATCAAGCTTGTTAAATAAAATTATTACCTGCTTGCTCTGAGGTTCCAAACTATTCAGATACCCCTAATGATCATCTCCCCATGTATTATGAAACTGGTTTGGCTCTGATATATGATTATTGACATTTGTGTAGCATTGTACACAGACTGATTTTATGTGGCATAAAAGATTTCACAAAGACTTTAAAATTATGTCATTTTACTTGATGGGTGTGTGTTCAATTAAAAAAAAAAGTCCCTGTGATTGTATATAAAATATAGTATCCTGTGATGATGAGGGTGTTAGATTTAGTTTCTTCCTTTATAAATGAAAATAGCCATCTCCCATAATTATTATGAAAGCTAAATGAGAAAAATGTATATAATTTATAAAGTTAGATTCAAGGATTTAATTCATTTGTAAAGTTGGCTTCAAATAGAGAGTATTACTATAATCTAGTTGCCTCTAAACCTCAGTAGCCAGCTTTTTATTGTGACAGGGAACCTCTATTGAGGTTTGAGGTAATGAGGGTAAAAGTGTAATTTCCCAGAGAAGAAGCTTGTGATGTTGATGACGTTAGGGATGTAAACAGGATTATGAGGGGGAAAAAAAAAACAGACAACAAAGCTTGCCTCCAGAGAGATGAAAACTACCACTTGGGCTCTAAGTCAGTGTCAAAATATTTTTTGGAGTTAGCCTGACTCTGGAGAGGTCAGTAAAATAAACAGTTGCACTGAGAGGCCAGATTAGCAAGTATGGGTTTCTAAATGATAAACTGCTTTTAGGCTAGAATCAGGGCTGAATCAGCCTTCCCACCACTTATTTGTTTCTAGGGTGTTTGAAAGGCCTAGTACTGAGTTCACGTGGTGCATGATTGTGGGCTGGGGTGTAGGGAAGTATTTTAGATTCTAATATGGGGGTTTGGTGTGAAGGGAAGTATATTAGATTCTAAGAAACTATATTTCAGTGGTTATCCTTTTTTAAAAATAAGTAATAATGAATATTTAGAACCAGAACAGTTTTGTAAGAAGGAAAATACCTAAAATCTGAACTGTAATCTTCTATGTTTTTATGACGTTATGTGAATCAAAGGGGTTTTCCTTTTAAGTAAAAGAAAAGGTCAGGAGTATGAAATCCTAAGCCCTCTTCCTCCCCCTATAAAACCCCACAGGTTCACTTGTAGAAAAAAATTGCAAATGGGGAAGAAAAATGCTTTTAGCTAGAAAAGTTAGTTTTGGATTTGTGTATTCAGTAACAGAACATGTTGAAGTTTTTATTAGATGCAAGAAAATGTCTCTAAAGTAAAATCCTTTGTGTTGACATTAGATTTTTTATTGTATTATAGTAACTTTATTCAAACTTTTTTTTGTTTAGCATTTAGCAGAAGAGAAACCTGATGGCCTTATCAATGAAGCTACTAGGTATTCATATTTAAAGTATATATTGATTGCTGGCTAATTGTAAAGAGAAAAATCACTAAGATGAAAACCAAAAACAAACTAAGAAATTTTAAAACATAGTCAACGAAAATTTATTTTCTTTTTTTCCCTTAGTTGAATTATTGCTATCTATTTATAATGATCTGATAACTAAACTTTTACTTAAAGTCATTTTTGTCGTAGCATAAAGTGAATGCTGAACACAGGATTCTGTAATTTTGAGGAACTCGGGAAATATTAACATTTAAAAATATTTTCTTGTTATACAATTTCTTTGGGATTGAAGATTTTATATATATATATATATGTATAATAATAATAATTATTATTATTATTTTTTGAGACAGAATCTCACTCTGTCACCCAGGCTGAAGTGCAGGCTCACTGCAACCTCCGCCTCCCAGGTTCAAGCGATTCTCCTGCCTCAGCCTCCCAAGTAGCTGGGATTACAGGCACCCGCCACCATGCCCAGCTAATTTTTGCATTTTTTTTTAAATTTTTTTATTTTTATTTTTATTTTTTTTAGTAGAGATGGGGTTTCACCATGTTGGCCAGGCTGGTCTCGAGCTCCTGACCTCAGGTGATCCACCCGCCTCGGCCTCCCAAAGTGCTGGGATTACAGGCATGAATCCACTGTGCCTGGCTGAACTTAAGTATTTTTGTAACTTTTTTCCTTATGAAAATATGGTTATTATAGAAAATATAAATAAGCCAAATAGAAAATAGCCAGATTGGATTTGTGATGTACATACTGTTGAAACCTGCTCTTTCAGTGAACTAAAGTGAATTCAGTTTTGAGAATTTAGTTGTATTCTTTGAGATAAAGCATAAGACCCTGAATAATTGAGGAAAATTGAAAGAATTTCCAGTTTTACTATCCTGTTAATAGAAAATAGAGCTTCTGATTATTATCATCTACTTTGTTATCTAGCATTCAGTCAACTGGATTCTTTACAGAGATAATATACAGTATATTTATAGTGATAAAGAAGACATTTGGGCAATATCCTGATATATCTTCTGAAGTATAGCTTATTTTTTTTAAGAAATGGAGTCTTGCTATGTTGCCCAGGTTGGACTTGAACTCCTGGGCTTAAGGGATCCTCCCTCCTCAGCCTCCTAAGTAGCCAGGACTACAGGTGTGCTCTACCATGCCCAGCTCTGAAGTATAGTTTTAAAAAACCTGTTTAATACAGTTTTTAGTATTAAGTGAAGTTATTCTATTTCTTTGAAAATTTTGGTAAATATTACAGTATTTTAGTAGGTAAACTCTTCTTCTTTTTACCATATTGGATATCTGAATTTTATTCTTTTCTTCACAAAGAAAATTATGAGTTTAAAATCATCCTTTTGATTGTAAACTTTTTGAGACTTATCTTTGTAGCACAAGAGTAGCAAGTAACAGAACTTAGTAAATACTTTGCGAATGGGTAATGTGAAATCTGAACTTGCATAGTAATGAACACAATTCATCCACATTGAACAATTAGCGGATTAGGAGTAAACTGAGTCACTCCTATAGAGCACTGTATAATTCTTAACTGATATATTGATCTACATGAGGCGTTTTTATTTATTTTTAATTTGTTAGCATTCCTCTTTTGATGTATTAATCTGCATGCGTGTATATTATTTAAAGTTTCTTAACATTTCTCTGTTTGCTATTTTAGGCAAGTTGCTTTGGCAGATGCCATTCTCATTAATAAAACAGACTTGGTTCCAGAAGAAGATGTAAAGAAATTAAGAGCGACAATTAGGTACGAAATGATAAGTGTGTTAAGTGCCTACAGATCCATGTTGTATACACAGAATATTTTTTACTCTGATTGTTGCCCTGTAGAAACTTAAGGTATAAGGTTGAGCTGCTTCAAGAACGTTAGGGAATCACATATATTGTTGATGGCTAATTGTTATATAAATGGTAATACATAAAATTAGTCCCCAGTGCTTGCAGAATATAGTTCACAGTTAATAGACTGATATTCAGGGTCTTCGCACTCCATCTTTCTTTTCCTGTCTTCTCTTTGACTCTTTCCTAATGTCAATCTTCCCTAACTTTACCCAGGATGGTTAATTCACTTTCCCATGGATGCATCCTGTCAGTTCCTGTCTTTACTCATAATGTATTCTCACTCTGCCAATCCCTGAGTTCTTTCTTGTTCTGTTTTTTTTTTTTTTTTTTAATTTATTCTATACAGCCTATTCTGTCTCTCCCCCCTTCCTATGTGAAGTCTTCCCTGACTCAAGTGGTCTCAGTTTTCCCTGAACTCTTGTTGACTTCATCTTCCTTAACTGTCAACCATGCCTTGTCTTCCAGCTTGCTTTAATATCTTCTTTGTCCATAGCCAAGGCTGATCAGCATAGGACAATCAGGACAATATGAATGATGCTCAAATATGTGCTAACAGTCATTTTGCTGACTGTTCTGGAGACTCCCATTCCTTTTGAAAACAAAGATGGACTTTTCAAATGAGGTTATAGTTCAGGGGCTTTGTTTTGAATTATTTTGTAAGACCTGAACTAATAAAAGCCCTATACAGAGAGACATTCGGTAGCTATTATTATTGGTTATCTTTAATGTGTACAATGCTTTGAGCGTGATGGCTCAAAATTACTATTCTTAGTATTTATAAGTTCTACTGACATTAGATTTTGAATCTGTCATCTCAGTTCATATAGTATATATTATAAATTGAATCAATAAAGCTAAGGCTCATTAGGAGATTATTTGCCATGATTAATGATTGTGGAAGAAAGAAATTCATATTTTTTCCACATATTTCATCTTATTTTAATAGTAATGTCCTTAAACTTTACTATAAAAAAATATAATGTCTCCATGTGGAAGGTAGGTATTGTTGCGTAGTGTTAAAGATCACAGACCTTGGAATCTGCTTGGGTTCTAATCCTTGGTCTGTTTCTCATTGTCTTCTTAGGGAGCTTATTTACCCTTTTAAAGCCTCCTCTGTAAAAGGCATAATGCCTATCATAAGTTTGCTTTGAGTATTACATGAGACAATGTTGGTAAACTTTGCACAGTGCTGACACATAGTAAGTGCTCTGTTAGCTATTATTATGTAATTTTTTTCTTAGCTTACATAGTAAGTTCAAGGTATAGTAAAAAAGGGAAGAAAGAAAAAGATGGCTGATTTTGAAAAGGAGAAAGTGATGAATGAAGATTGCTTTTACATTTTTTGACACTGGTCTCCTAATCTTGTTTCTCTTCATAAATCTTGTGTACCATTGTGATTGCTAAGAAGAACACAATCTATTTAGCAAACGTTTTTGGCATAAAAGGAATGATAATTATTACTTGACTTTTATATCCTTATAGAGACCTAAGCTAAATCTCTGACACTGACAATATTGACTATTAGCCAGCTTGTTAACAGTACTAGAAATGAATTTGGAAGAAGCAATTTGATAAATTACACACCCTTTTGGCTTTTACCCTCCCTTTATATCAGACTTGTGACTGACTCAGAATGATATTTGGGGAGGTGAAAAAAGGTAAACATGTTTGAGAGGAATTAGCCATCAGACTAGAGTGTATTCAAAAAAGAAGATTTAAGAATTTTGTAAAATAGTGGAGAGACTTGCCTCAGAATCATTATATGTGGGAAGCCTTACCCATGAGAACAAACTTGAACAAGTAGCAAGAATCTTGGGTAAGTAACCCTAAAGACAATTGAATTCATGATAGAGAATTGATGATTGATGATAGGCAATGGAAAAGATAAATAGATGAGGTGTACAGTGTGTTGAAAAGAATTTAACAGGTACTTTTTGGTGCCATACAAAGCCATATTCTATAGTATCAAAAGAGGGAGAACAGGCATAATGGGTAGAGAGCCTAATTAGGGAACTGACGAGGTTATTCTATAAAGGAACCTGGGATGTGTGACTTAGAATTACTGTGAATACTAAGGACAGGCTGGGGGCAAAGCAACTTACAACTAGGTTTTTATTTTTAGTGTGTATATAGCCATTTCTACCATGTATGCCTGAGGAAAAAAGTGACCACCGTAAAAATTTTGAGTATCTACTCATTTTTAAGAACACTAGGATAACTGACTATTTATGAATGATTTTTTCTAAAGTGAAGCGTCTTTTTATTAACCACAAAGTAGCCCTTAATCTGACAGTTGTGCGAATTTTTGCATATACGTTTTATTGCTGTATGAGTGGAATATATGTGATTTATTGTTTGAAGGAAAATCACAATTATTTTTTAAAGCAAGTTTTGTTTTTCTGTTTTTAATTTTTTTCTGGTTCCAGATGTATTTGGGTATGCTTATTTCCTGTTTTAGAAACAATATACTTTGTATACTTTTTTAAAAAGTTAATTTTTACTTTTAAACTTTGTCTTCCTCATTTATTATTTATTTCAGATCCATAAATGGACTAGGACAAATCTTAGAAACACAAAGATCAAGGTACTTTAAAAAAGCTATTCCTATTAATAACAAATCATTTTAGTTATTAATAATAAACATTAAATAATTGACAAATATGCTTGATTCTAATATAAGAAAGATCTAAGTGCATTTAAAAAGAATTGGATCCAAAATGTTGTTTGGAATGCTCTTAATAAGTTAGTTTGGCATATTTGGCTAGTACATTTGCCTGTCTTCAAAACTAAGATTACAAAGCCATGATAACACTGTGTAAGTGTTTGCTTACTGAGGAAGAAAAGACTTCCAAACACTCGAGAGGGTAACTCAGTACAGAAATCTGAAGTATATTGAGGAATCTTAATTTGAAGTGTTTAAATGGCTTTTTAATATTTAAAAAGCCTTCTTAGTGTTTTATAGTTGCCAAAAAATACATGGAGTCTTTACCTTGAAGTTCCTGACAAATTCTTTTATTAAATTTTGACTTTCATTTTCTCTAGGTTCTGTTCCTACAACATCTGTGAAGTGTATTTCTGTAGATTAAATTCTGTTTTCCATTGAATGTTATCTTAATTTCAGAAAATTTCTGTGCAGGGTTATTTTATTAAGCTCATTTTTTTTTTTTTTTTTTTTTTTTTTGGTGAGAAAGGCTCAGCAGCTGATAGACTCAGCAACAGGCAGCCAGGAGCTCTGAGGCTCACAGCTGGCAGTCTAGTTCCACTCAGTCTCTACTTGAGAAATTCTTTCTTTGGAAGTACAGCAGAGGCCTTAGGTGAATGGCTTGTCTGCTATGGCAGAGATTAGAGGTGCTGCCAGACTGCCATAAGTATTAGGCAGTAACAGCAGCAGCTGCTTATATGCATGTGAACAGCTGGGGAATTAATTTGGTATGCATTCTCAGGAGCCACTCATCTGCTGGCAGAGGTAGCAGAAGAATGCCCTTAGTGTAAATCCTCTACAACCATACACCAAATGTGCTCCCTGCATTTCAAATTCCATTGTAGAAAGTCTCTGATAATCTCACTTATACCATGAGCCATTCCTCAGTATCTGTCCTCTTCCTGTTAGTGTTCTACAATTCCTTTCTCCTTAATTTTTCTCCGCTTTACAAAATGTCACACAGACAAGTGCATAATACTTAAACAAGCTTTTAAAAATAATGCTCATAAATAGCTTTGGTTCTGTCATAATATTCGTATTTATAAACATTTTAAGTCAATTCTCTTCTTTTGTTTTCATTTCAGAAATATCCATGTCCTGAATAAAAGTTGTGTCTTGATTAGTTTATTATGTAACAATTTAGTGTGTTTGACATTTCTAACTTTTATTTCTAACATTTGCTTTATTATAGAACAATAAACATGCAGTGATTGATTTTTCTTACTTCAAGTGGATGAGTGAGCAAGTGACTAAAATCTTCCGTGAATTCTTCAGTGTATGGTGCTTGCCAGTGCATCTGAGAATCTAGGGACTTTCTGAAATAGTACTTCCTTGCTATGAGGACTGAAGTTGGATTAGAATCCTTTTCAATGAAGATCAGATGTCCTGAGTAGAATTCTTACTATTGGGTCCTGAATCTTACATTAAATATTCTCTCAAATTCCTTGAGGCATAGCAACTTGAGCTTACCAGTTTAGAAACTGGAGATTTGGGCTGGGCGCGGTGGCTCACGCCTGTAATCCCAGCACTTTGGGAGGCCAAGGTGGGCGGATCACGAGATCAGGAGATGGAGACCATCCTGGCTAACACTGTGAAACCCCGTCTCTACTAAAAATACAAAAAATTAGCTGAGCCTGGTGGTGGGCGCCTGTAGTCCCAGCTACTCAGGAGGCTGAGGCAGGAGAATGGCGTGAACCCGGGAGGCGGAGCTTGCAGTGAGCTGAGATCGCACCACTGCACTCCAGCCTGGGTGACAGAGCGAGACTCTGTCTCAAAAAAAAAAAAAAACAAACAAAAAAACCGGAGATTTGGTTAACAAAATAGTCAAAGTCACTCTTACAGAAGTTTTGTTTTATTTTTTGTTTTTTAAAATTTTTTTACCATTTTGTAGCTGACAAGTACTGACAATAAACTGCTATAAGCATGTGTAGAAAAAGGCTCACCTTGAGTAGTTAAGAGTAAGGAAAAGGAATAGTGTGTAGCATCGTCTTAGTGGTAAGACTTAAGTTGATTTAGTAGCAAATGGAAGTACTAGTGAACCACATAGATTTCAGAAGTAGGAGTAAAAGGTTAGAAGATGTGTCATTTTAATCTTCTCTAGACTTTTTCTTAATTTTTAGAAATGTAAGTGGACTGAACAGAGGAAAACCAAAACACAGCTGGTCAATAATAAGTTAAATTAATTTGACAAACTGCCTGCTATGCATTTCATAGCATTTTAAGGACTATATAAGCAATGGATAAGGCAAAAACTCTGCCTTTAAGGAGATCAGTCATTGGGGGGAAACAGAAGCAAACAAACAAAAAGGCAACATAATAGATATTAATATTAATACAAGAATTTTAAAAGCACAGAGTTCTATAATAATAGGAAAATAGAGGGAATGCTTGCTCAACTTTTCTTGAAAAAGAGTCAGGAAAATATTGACCGAGAAGGCAGTCATTGACCTGAGTCTTAAAGAATGAATAAGGTTTTTACAGATGGAGTAGGGTAGGGATAACTTTCCAGGTATAAGGAAGATTTTGTATTCCAGGGACCTTTGAATATTTTAGAATGGCTAGAAAACTTGGTATTATGTAGCACAGAAAAAGTAGTATGACTGAAGAGATAGAGAACTTACCACAAAGGGTCTTGAATGCCATGATACATAGTTTGGATTTTCTTCTGTAGGGAGCAAGGAGTTAGTGAAGGATTTTAAAAGCAACATGACTCTTGGGAGGTAGATTCAATGTGAGGCTAATCTCCGAGGTATAGGAAATACAGGAAGGAGGAGCAACAGGTCGGGTAGTGGTGGAAGCAGGTTTGGAAAATGTGATTAGTTTTGTAAACGTTTTTGAGTTTGAAGTGCCACTGGGGAAGGCTTTTGGAAATTTATTTCCAGAGTTCAAGACTGAGCTATCATTGCAGTTTGCTCAGCTATTTACTGAGCTATCTACTGTCAATTTGGATAGTATCTACAGTTTGCATTGTAGATACTGGATACTTGGATTGGCTGGTGCACCCTGTTTGTGAGACTCACTGGAGTTTGAAGAGATGACCACTGGAAAATATCCCTAAGCAGTAGCTGCAATTCCACCCCCACCTTGGAGAGCCAAAACCCTCTTCGTTTTCACTCTCCTGTCCTTGGTCTTAGGCTACTTAAAGCAGCCTTTAGACATAGGGAAAAATTGAAAGCCTCTCTTTTAAGAAAAGCATTAGGTACTTCTGGAATAGAGAGTTCAAGAAATTAGGAGAAAAATGAACTTTTGAAGCTTTTTCTTTCCCTTTTTTGTTTACTTCATTCTCTTACTCAGTTTTAAAATGCTGGTAATGGTCTTTTTTTTCTTTTTTTTTTTTCTTGGTGATTTTAATGCTTTGGAAAAGATCTCATGGTTTTATCTCCAAAGGAGGAAATTAATTTGATGCCATGGAAATTAGTTTTCTAGTCGTATGCCTTGAATGAGTGAAGAATTTCTTTTTCATGGTGGTACTAAATTTGGGGAAAGCTATAGAAACTTTCATCTGGAAGCTTACACTTTTCCTCTTTTTTGAAAATTTGGTGAGAGACTTGGATATTTTATTATTTTCTGTAAAAGAGTGTAATTTGTTGTACAGGTCTAATATTGATCCTTTTTTGGAAGTATGGAAAGAATCTGAGTATAAAGCAGAATTACCTCTGGATGGCATGTATTCTCAAGGACACTGTCACAGTGAAACAGTTTATTTAGAAGCTTGTGTTTCCAAAGTGTTGAATTTGATATTCACAAAATTGGCATGTGTAAACTTTATTAAACTTTAAGCTATTTCCTAAGATGAAGATGACAAACTTGGAGGGAAACTTCATTCATTTGGTTTATTTTTATTTTTATTTTTATTTATTTTTATCTTTTTGAGACAGAATCTCACTCTGTCCCCCAAGTTGGAGTGCGGTGGTGCGATCTCGGCTCACTGAAACCTCTGCCTCCTGGGTTCAAGCGATTCTCCTGCTTCACCCTCCGGGTAGCTGGGATTACAGGTGTGCACCACCACACCCAGCTAATTTTTGTATTTTTAGTAGAGACGGTTTCGCCACATTGGCCAGGTTGGTGTCAAACTCCTGGCCTCAAAGTGATCCGCCCACCTTGGCCTCCCAAAGTGGAGCCCCCGTGCCCCTTGTTTGTGACCTGTCAATATAAATATGCTCAGTAATGGGGGGAGGGGTGGGGGGTGAAAAAGGAAATATGTTTAATATTAAGACTTTGGCCTTTTAGTGTAAACTGATATTCAAAAATTTCTTCATAGAACATTTGCTTCTTTGCTTGATCATTTTTCTAATTCTGTACATCTAAAATGCCCAGAATTTGAGTTGCTGTTATAGTCTACTAACATAGAACTTTGGAGTAATAAGATGGGAATTTGTCTCTCTTTTGCCAAGACAAGCATTCGTAATCTAACACAGTATTGTTGCCACGAGTACGAGTATGTGATAGACTGTTGAGAATAAAGAAAGCAGGCACAGTTGGTCAGTCCTAAGATAAAGGAGATGTTTTTCTTATATGTTTGTGCATTAAAGAAAAAAAAATCTTGAATCTGACCAATGATGTTTTTTTTCCTTGTAAGAAAATTTAACAAATGTTTGGCAAGCTTCTGGAATCTAAATTTGAAATTATACATTTGTCATTTTCTTTAAATATTTCTTCACCTCAGCTTTGATTATGAGAAATCACTGTCCTCTGCTGTTCTTTTTTTTTTTTTTTCTTTTGAGGCGGAGTCTCACTCTGTGCCAGGCTGGAGTGCAGTGGTGCAATCTTGGCTCACTGCAACCTCCATTTCCTGGGTTCAAATGATTCTCCTGCCGCAGCCTCCCGAGTAGCTGGGACTACAGGTGCGTGCCACCACACCCAGCTAATTTTTGTATTTTTGGTAGAGACAGGGTTTCACCACGTTGTCCATGGCCAGGATGGTCTTGATCTTGACCTTGTGATCCGCCCGCCTCGGCCTCCCAAAGTGCTGGGATTGCAGGCGTGAGCCACCGTGCCCGGCCTGTCCTCTGTGGTTTTCTGGGCTTATGTTAAAATTATAACTCAATCACCAGTCTTTATAAATTTGCTTTTTTATATTTAAACCAAACCTAATGCTAATTGTGATATGTTATTTATTCTCACCTGATTTGAATCATTGGATTCAATTAAATGAGTTTAATTATCATTAAATAATTCTAAGAGAAATAATGTCTATTCGGATGGTGGGAATTTTCTTTCTACATGCAGCCCCATTCTGAATGAATGAAATCAAATCACGTGAAGATCAGGGTCCTAGAGTAACTTAATATTTTGTACATTGGTTATTTGACTCCTCATTTTTATATTACATGTTATATCAAGGGAGGGGGCATAAAAGAAATACAAAAATTGCAGAGGTATCTGGAATGTACCTATTTGTTAATTCTATTTGTCATTTCTTTTGTTTCATCTTTTGAGTAATAAGCTGCTTGGAAAAGTTTCTGTTCTTTAGCTGATTTTTTAGCTATAAAAATGTATTTGAAAAGCTCATAAATTTCAGGATTGAAAAGATAATTGAAAGTTTTAAAAAAACCTAATTCATTGAAGTAATAACCAAATAATTTTCAATCTTGATTCAACTGTGATTCAAATCTTACACCATTTGCCCACTTCTATGAATTTTATGTATAAAATTTTTTAAGAGTCAGAGTTTTTTTTCTTGATTAATTGGATGTATTTCACAGAATTTCCAACTGCTCACGTTAGTTTTCTTCCTTTTAGAGTTGATCTCTCTAATGTATTAGATCTTCATGCCTTTGATAGTCTCTCTGGAATAAGGTATGTTTTGTATAATTTGGTTACTTTTATTGTTATGTACCTTTTTTCCCCATAGTTAACAGGAATGATTTGCACAATTGCATCCATGATTTAAGCTTCCTGCCATTCCTTTGGCATACAAGACCATACTTAATGAGGTATATTCTTGGAAGTTTTACTAACTGGTTGTTTGGAAATCATATTGCATTTTCCTGTAGAAATTATAGTGTAAATGATAGTTAACTTTAGAGGCTAATCGTTAACACTTCTACACCAAACACTATATCTAGTACTCTTTCTATGAGAAAATGCATGAAATACATAGAAAATTTTAGCTTAGCGTTTTCACACAAATAACTCTCTTCACTTTATTTTTTTATTTTTTATTTTTTCTTGAGTTTTTTTTTAATTTATTTATTTATTATTATTATACCTTAAGTTTTAGGGTACATGTGCACAATGTGCAGGTTAGTTACATATGTATACATGTGCCATGCTGGTGCGCTGCACCCACTGACTCGTCATCTAGCATTAGTTATATCTCCCAATGCTATCCCTCCCCCCTCCCCCCAACCCACAACAGTCCCCAGAATGTGATGTTCCCCTTCCTGTGTCCATGTGTTCTCATTGTTCAATTCCCACCTATGAGTGAGAATATGCGGTGTTTGGTTTTTTGTTCTTGCGATAGTTTATGGAGAATGATGATTTCCAATTTCATCCATGTCCCTACAAAGGACATGAACCCATCCTTTTTTATGGCTGCATAGTATTCCATGGTGTATATGTGCCACATTTTCTTAATCCAGTCTATCATTGTTGGACATTTGGGTTGGTTCCAAGTCTTTGCTATTGTGAATAATGCCGCAATAAACATATGTGTGCATATGTCTTTATAGCAGCATGATTTATAGTCCTTTAGGGTATATACCCAGTAATGGGATGGCTGGGTCAAATGGTATTTCTAGTTGTAGATCCCTGAGGAATCGCCACACTGACTTCCACAATGGTTGAACTAGTTTACAGTTCCGCCAACAGTGTAAAAGTGTTCCTATTTCTCCACATCCTCTCCAGCACCTGTTGTTTCCTGACTTCTTAATGATTGCCATTCTAACTGGTGTGAGATAGTATCTCATTGTGGTTTTGATTTGCATTTCTCTGATGGCCAGTGATGGTGAGCATTTTTTCATGTGTTCTTTGGCTGCATAAATGTCTTCTTTTGAGAAGTGTCTGTTCATGTCCTTCACCCACTTTTTGATGGGGTTGTTTGTTTTTTTTCTTGTAAATTTGTTTGAGTTCATTGTAGATTCTGGATATTAGCCCTTTGTCAGATGAGTAGGTTGCGAAAATTTTCTCCCATTTTGTAGGTTGCCTGTTCACTCTGATGGTAGTTTCTTTTGCTGTGCAGAAGCTGTTTAGTTTAATTAGATCCCATCTGTCAATTTTGGCTTTTGTTGCCATTGCTTTTGGTGTTTTAGACATGAAGTCCTTGCCCATGCCTATGTCCTGAATGGTAATGCCTAGGTCTTCTTCTAGGGTTTTTATGGTTTTAGGTTGAACGTTTAAGTCTTTAATCCATGTTGAATTGATTTTTGTATAAGGTGTAAGGAAGGGATCCGGTTTCAGCTTTCTACATATGGCTAGCCAGTTTTCCCAGCACCATTTATTAAATAGGGAATCCTTTCCCCACTGCTTGTTTTTCTCAGGTTTGTCAAAGATCAGATAGTTGTAGATATGCGGCGTTATTTCTGAGGGCTCTGTTCTGTTCCATGAATCTATATCTCTGTTTTGGTACCAGTACCATGCTGTTTTGGTTACTGTAGCCTTGTAGTATAGTTTGAAGTCAGGTAGTGTGATGCCTCCAGCTTTGTTCTTTTGGCTTAGGATTGACTTGGCGATGCGGGCTCTTTTTTGGTTCCATATGAACTTTAAAGTAGTTTTTTCCAATTCTGTGAAGAAAGTCACTGGTAGCTTGATGGGGATGGCATTGAATCTGTAAATTACCTTGGGCAGTATGGCCATTTTCACGATATTGATTCTTCCTACCCATGAGCATGGAATGTTCTTCCATTTGTTTGTATCCTCTTTTATTTCCTTGAGCAGTGGTTTGTAGTTCTCCTTGAAGAGGTCCTTCACATCCCTTGTAAGTCAGATTCCTAGGTATTTTATTCTCTTTGAAGCAATTGTGAATGGGAGTTCACTCATGATTTGGCTCTCTGTTTGTCTGTTGTTGGTGTATAAGAATGCTTGTGATTTTTGTACATTGATTTTGTATCCTGAGACTTTGCTGAAGTTGCTTATCAGCTTAAGGAGATTTTGGGCTGAGATGATGGGGTTTTCTAGATATATAATCATGTCATCTGCAAACAGGGACAATTTGACTTCCTCTTTTCCTAATTGAATACCCTTTATTTCCTTCTCCTGCCTAATTGCCCTGGCCAGAACTTCCAACACTATGTTGAATAGGAGTGGTGAGAGAGGGCATCCCTGTCTTGTGCCCATTTTCAAAGGGAATGCTTCCAGTTTTTGCCCATTCAGTATGATATTGGCTGTGGGTTTGTCATAGATAGCTCTTATTATTTTGAAATACGTCCCATCAATACCTAATTTATTGAGAGTTTTTAGCATGATGGGTTGTTGAATTTTGTCAAAGGCCTTTTCTGCATCTATTGAGATAATCATGTGGTTTTTGTCTTTGGTTCTGTTTATATGCTGGATTACATGTATTGATTTGCATATATTGAACCAGCCTTGCGTCCCAGGGATGAAGCCCACTTGATCATGGTGGATAAGCTTTTTGATGTGCTGCTGGATTCGGTTTGCCAGTATTTTACTGAGGATTTTTGCATCAATGTTCATCAAGGATATTGGTCTAAAATTCTCTTTTTTGGTTGTGTCTCTGCCCGGCTTTGGTATCAGGATGATGCTGGCCTCATAAAATGAGTTAGGGAGGATTCCCTCTTTTTCTATTGATTGGAATAGTTTCAGAAGGAATCGTACCAGTTCCTCCTTGTACCTCTGGTAGAATTCGGCTGTGAATCTATCTGGTCCTGGACTCTTTTTGGTTGGTAAGCTATTGATTATTGCCACAATTTCAGATCCTGTTATTGGTCTATTCAGAGATTCAACTTCTTCCTTGTTTAGTCTTTGGAGGGTGTATGTGTCAAGGAATTTATCCATTTCTTCTAGATTTTCTAGTTTATTTGCGTAGAGGTGTTTGTAGTATTCTCTGATGGTAGTTTGTATTTCTGTGGGATCGGTGGTGATATCCCCTTTATCATTTTTTATTGCGTCTATTTGATTCTTCTCTCTTTTTTTCTTTATTAGTCTTGCTAGCGGTCTATCAATTTTGTTGATCCTTTCAAAAAACCAGCTCCTGGATTCATTAATTTTTTTGAAGGGTTTTTTGTGTCTCTATTTCCTTCAGTTCTGCTCTGATTTTAGTTATTTCTTGCCTTCTGCTAGCTTTTGAATGTGTTTGCTCTTGCTTTTCTAGTTCTTTTAATTGTGATGTTAGGTTGTCAATTTTGGATCTTTCCTGCTTTCTGTTGTGGGCATTTAGTGCTATAAATTTCCCTCTATACACTGCTTTGAATGCGTCCCAGAGATTCTGGTATGTTGTGTCTTTGTTCTCGTTGGTTTCAAAGAACATCTTTATTTCTGCCTTCATTTTGTTATGTACCCAGTAGTCATTCAGGAGCAGGTTGTTCGGTTTCCATGTAGTTGAGTGGTTTTGAGTGAGATTCTTAATCCTGAGTTCTAGTTTGATTGTACTGTGGTCTGAGAGATAGTTTGTTATAATTTCTGTTCTTTTACATTTGCTGAGGAGAGCTTTACTTCCAAGTATGTGGTCAATTTTGGAATAGGTGTGGTGTGGTGCTGAAAAGAATGTATATTCTGTTGATTTGGGGTGGAGAGTTCTGTAGATGTCTATTAGGTCTGCTTGGTGCAGAGCTGAGTTCAATTCCTGGGTATCCTTGTTGACTTTCTGTCTCATTGATCTGTCTAATGTTGACAGTGGGGTGTTAAAGTCTCCCATTATTATTGTGTGGGAGTCTAAGTCTCTTTGTAGGTCACTCAGGACTTGCTTTATGAATCTGGGTGCTCCTGTATTGGGTGCATATATATTTAGGATAGTTAGCTCTTCTTGTTGAATTGATCCCTTTACCATTATGTAATGGCCTTCTTTGTCTCTTTTGATCTTTGTTGGTTGAAAGTCTGTTTTATCAGAGACTAGGATTGCAACCCCTGCCTTGTTTTGTTTTCCATTTGCTTAGTAGATTTTCCTCCATCCCTTTATTTTGAGCCTATGTGTGTCTCTGCACGTGAGATGGGTTTCCTGAATACAGCACACTGATGGGTCTTGACTCTTTATCCAATTTGCCAGTCTGTGTCTTTTAATTGGAGCATTTAGTCCATTTACATTTAAAGTTAATATCGTTACGTGTGAATTTGATCCTGTCATTATGATGTTAGCTGGTTATTTTGCTCGTTAGTTGATGCAGTTTCTTCCTAGCTTGGATGGTCTTTACATTTTGGCATGATTCTGCAGTGGCTGGTACCGGTTGTTCCTTTCCACGTTTAGTGCTTCCTTCAGGAGCTCTTTTAGGGCAGGCCTGGTGGTGACAAAATCTCTCAGCATTTGCTTGTCTGTAAAGTATTTTATTTCTCCTTCACTTATGAAGCTTAGTTTGGCTGGATATGAAATTCTGGGTCGAAAATTCTTTTCTTTAAGAATGTTGAATATTGGCCCCCACTCTCTTCTGGCTTGTAGAGTTTCTGCCAAGAGATCCGCTGTTAGTCTGATGGGCTTCCCTTTGAGGGTAACCCGACCTTTCTCTCTGGCTGCCCTTAACATTTTTTCCTTCATTTCAACTTTGGTGAATCTGACAATTATGTGTCTTGGAATTGCTCTTCTCGAGGAGAATCTTTGTGGCATTCTCTGTATTTCCTGAATCTGAACGTTGGCCTGCCTTGCTAGATTGGGGAAGTTCTCCTGGATAATATCCTGCAGAGTGTTTTCCAACTTGGTTCCATTCTCCCCGTCACTTTCAGGTACACCAATCAGACATAGATTTGGTCTTTTCACATAGTCCCATATTTCTTGGAGGCTTTGTTTGTTTCTTTTTATTCTTTTTTCTCTAAACTTCCCTTCTTGCTTCATTTCATTCATTTCATATTTCATCGCTGATACCCTTTCTTCCAGTTGATCGCATCGGCTCCTGAGGCTTCTGCATTCTTCACGTAGTTCTTGAGCCTTGGTTTTCAGCTCCATCAGCTCCTTTAAGCACTTCTCTGTATTGGTTATTCTAGTTATACATTCTTCTAAATTTTTTTCAAAGTTTTCAACTTCTTTGCCTTTGGTTTGAATGTCCTCCCATAGCTCGGAGTAGTTTGATCGTCTGAAGCCTTCTTCTCTCAGCTCGTCAAAGTCATTCTCCCTCCAGCTTTGTTCCGTTGCTGGTGAGGAGCTGCGTTCCTTCGGAGGAGGAGAGGCGCTGCGTTCCTTTGGAGGAGGAGAGGCGCTCTGCTTTTTAGAGTTTCCAGTTTTTCTGCTCTGTTTTTTCCCCATCTTTGTGGTTTTTATCTACTTTTGGTCTTTGATGATGGTGATGTACAGATCGGTTTTTGGTGTGGATGTCCTTTCTGTTTGTTAGTTTTCCTTCTAACAGACAGGACCTTCAGCTGCAGGTCTGTTGGAGTACCCGGCCGTGTGAGGTGTCAGTCTGCCTCTGCTAGGGAGTGCCTCCCAGTTAGGCTGCTCGGGGGTCAGGGGTCAGGGTCCCACTTGAGGAGGCAGTCTGCCAGTTCTCAGATCTCCAGCTGCGTGCTGGGGGAACCACTGCTCTTTTCAAAGCTGTCAGACAGGGACACTTAAGTCTGCAGAGGTTACTGCTGTCTTTTTGTGTGTCTGTGCCCTGCCCCCAGAGGTGGAGCCTACAGAGGCAGGCAGGCTTCCTTGAGCTGTGGTGGGCTCCACCCAGTTGGAGCTTCCTGGCTGCTTTGTTTACCTAAGCAAGCCTGGGCAATGGCGGGCGCCCCTCCCCCAGCCTCGCTGCCGCCTTGTAGTTTGATCTCAGACTGCTGTGCTAGCAATCAGCGAGACTCCGTGGGCGTGGGACCCTCCGAGCCAGGTGCGGGATATAATCTCGTGGTGCGCCTTTTTTTAAGCCCGTCGGAAAAGCGCAGTATTCGGGTGGGAGTGACCCGATCTTCCAGGTGCCGTCTGTCACCCCTTTCTTTGACTAGGAAAGGGAACTCCCTGACCCCCTGCGCTTCCCAAGTGAGGCAATGCCTCGCCCTGCTTCGGCTCGCGGATGGTGCACGCACCCACTGACCTGCGCCCACTGTCTGGCACTCCCTAGTGAGATGAACCCGGTACCTCAGATGGAAATGGAGAAATCGCCTGTCTTCTGCGTCTCTCACGCTGGGAGCTGTAGACCGGAGCTGTTCCTATTTGGCCATCTTGGCTCCTCTCTCCTCTCTTCACTTTAATAATGGATTAGTTTTCTGCCTTCTCCTGTGGGGAATCTTTTTGGTAAGGGAGGGAAGAAAGATTAGTTATTCTTGTGCATCAGTATCTTTTTCTTTTTTTATTGTAGTAAGAACATCTAACATGAGATCTACCCTCTTAACAATTTTTTAAGTGTACAATACAGTATTGCTAACTATAGGCATGAGGATGTGCAGCAGATCTCTGGAACGTTTCACTCTTTATAACTGAAGCTTTATACCCCTTGAATAGCAGCTTCCCATTTCCCTGTCTTCATAGCCCCTGGCATCCACCATTCTACACTCTTTCTGTGGGGTTGACTATTTTAATTACCTGACGCAAGTGGAATCATGCATTATTTGTCTTTCTGTGACTGGTTTATTTCACGTAGCATAAAGTCACCAAGGTTCATCCATGTTTTTGCATATGGCAAGTTTTCCTTTTTAAGTCTGAATAATATTCCATTTTCTACATATACCACATTTACTTTATCCCTTTTTCTGTTAGTGGACATTTAACTTGTTCTCACAGCTTGGCTATTGCAAATAATGCTGCAATGAATATCTCATAAGTCTCGTATATGTCCATAGAAGATCATGAAAATGGACATGTCTCTGGGTATTTTGAATTGGTGGGACAATTTTGCTTAAGGGTAGGCATAGTGGGTGGCTCTACATTTGAGAGTTCTAATTCCCATTCCTATATATATTTCTTTTCTTTTTATTTATTTATTTTTTTGAGATGGGGCTCTCTGTCACTCAGGCTGGAGTGCAGTGGCACAAACATGGCTTACTGCAGCCTCAACCTCCTGGGCTCAAGTGATCCTCCCATCTCAGCCTCCCAAGAAGCTGGGACCACAGGCATGTGTCACCATGCCTGACTAATTTTTTTTTTTAATTTTCTGTAAGCATGGGGTCTTGCTATGTTGCCTAGGCTGGTCTCAAACTCCTGGGCTCAAGTGATCCTCATGCCTCAGCCTCCCAAAGTGCTGGGATTACATGTGTAGGCCACCACACCCAGCCTTATATATATATTTCTAATTTTGCCTTAGCCATGCCCTTAAAAACTAATTCTACTTTCAACTAGTTTTTTTTTTTCCACCTTCAGTCTGTAGTATTGTTCACATTTTGAAAACAATACCTACAGTAACCTGTGAGGTAGGACATGATAGTGTTTTATTGGACCCCTTTTACTTTATGAATTGGAAAAATTAAATTTGCATGTAGTTTGTAAAAAAAAAATAAAGAAAGAAAGAAAAAAGAAATTGATTGAGATTATTTCAGCAGCCAGAAGTGTGGGACAGGCAGGGCAGTTATTCCTCCTTCTCAGTTTGGAAACTGAAGCTCAGAGAGTAAACTTGTCAGTGATACAGTTATTCAAGAAGTTGTCTTCAGTTGAGAGATACGTTTTTCACCTGTAGCTTCTGGTATTGGAACAGTACCTTTTTAGACTAAACAAATTACGGTTAAAATTATAAGGGTATTTTCGGAGTACCTGGAAAAAATCAGCATTTTGCTTTTCTAGTTCCATTTAGTAGGAAGACAGGAAAGTTTGGTATACCTGAATTACATGTGAGTTATTTCTATTTTTCTAAAAATTCTTATAAATTGTGTAAGGTAAAAATGACTACTTCTTGTTTTATGGTAAATATAGTTATATCCTTTCAAGCCACTGCTGTACAAAGTTGTGAAATCTCCCTGAGGCTTTTTCCCTCATGTCAGCTTCAGGTATCCAGTATCACTTATGCTTGATAATGATTGTATGAAAATCATTCAGAATTATACTATGTTTTTTCATATAAAGCTTTTGTTTTACTAATTTTGAAATGACTGTTCCTCCATTAAGCGAATACAGCCCTAAGCATAAATTTGGTTTGTTCATTTAAAAATGGTCTTTTTTTCCCATCTTAGTTCTGGCTTTACTAGGGAGATAGATTGGCTGAGGTTGTCACCTAATTCTGGGAGGTTAAGACCCTTTGTCTTTTGCTACCCATTTCTGAAATAACCAGAAGTCTAGCCCATCCTAACTTTTCTCTCGATGATCCTTTTCTTCTTTTTACTTCAAGGTTCCAGCCCTTCATTTGACTATCAGTGCTGTTTCACTAGTTAGCCATGATCCCTTTCATCCACCGTGTCTGGATTAGAACTGTATTTTTAATTTGATGCTGTGGGCAGTTTTGATAGTTACAGATCCTGTGATACATTTAAATGTGTTTACAAGGGGAACAAATGAAACAATGCTGCATGAAATTTGCCTTTCTTTTTTTTTTTTTTTCCCCTTGGAGACAGGGTCTGGGTCTATTGCCCAGGCTAGAGTGCAGTGGTGCGATGTCAGCTCCCTATAGCCTCTGTGTCCTGGGCTTAAGCCGTCTTCCCACCTCAGACTCATGAGTAGCTGGGACTATAGGCACACACTACCATGCCTGGCTAATTTTTTATTTTGGTAGAAGATGAGGTTTTGCCATGTTGCCGAAGCTGATCTTAAACTCCTGGGCTTAAGTGATCTGCCCACCTCAGCCTCCCAAAGTAATGGGATTATAGGCGTGAGCCACCACACTTGGCCTTTTCTTTTTTTTATATTTATTTAATTATTTTATTTTATTGAGACAGAGTCTCACTCTGACACCTGGGCTGGAATGCAGTGGCTATCATGGCTCTCTGCAGTCGTGAACTCCTGGACTCAAGTGATCCTCCCATCTCAGCCTCCTGAGTAGCTGGGACTACAGGCTTGCACCCATGCCTGGCTAATTTTTTTATTGTTACTTTTTTGTAGTGACAGGCTCTCGCTACGTTGCTCAGGCTCGTCTTGAACTCCTGGCCTCAAGTGATTCTCCTACTTGGCCTCTCAAAGTGCTGGGATTATAAGCCTGAGCCACTGAACCCAGCAAAATTTGCCTTTCTTAAACTAATTTATCTCTGTTGGGTCCAAGAGCTTACAAGTTGGTTGTCATTTAATATGTTAAACACTAGAATATTTTTTAGTTGAAATTTTATTTTTTCCCTTTACATGTTGTATCCTTTAGTGCTTTATTTCACTAATAAGAATTATAGTATGCAATCATTTCCCACCTCTATATTCAGTATATCAATTTTTGTTTTTCCTTTCTACTTCTGTCTTTTGCTATAATTTGCTGTAATACAGGTACTTTCATCAAGGCATCCAGTTCTTTATATCATTCTATATTTTTACTTGGGAGAAATAGAAATGTTGCTAATTCCATCTTACTGACAATACCTAAATTATTGTTTGTTATAGAACATAATGATTTAAATATACAAAACACTAAACTGTTTGAGATTTTTTACATTTTATGCGTGCAGAATTTACATTTTATGTGTGCAGAGACAAAAATTGTTATAAGATTACAAGTTAATGTGCAAGATGATTTCCGATTCATGAGTTTCAGGTTTTGATAGCATATCCTTATCCACTAGATTAGTCTTTTAAAAATGTGTATGATAGGGAAAAAATCGAGGCCATGAAATTCTGAGACTTATGGGAACTAAACTTAAATGTTCGTTGTTAGATTTTTTTTTTTTTTTTTTTTGCTGCGTATGAAGTTCTAGGCAGTCATTGTCCAACAACATTAAATACTGAACATATGGGAAAAGCATATGATTTTTCGAAATGTTTTTCTAAAGTAATCTCATTCTACATACACTTAAGAGCAGTTATAATGCTTTAGTGACACTTGAAGTAGCTATTTAATGTGATCTCACCACTATAGGGAAGGCCGTTGCATGACTTTTTTGTGTGTGCTTAACTGCTAAACAGGAGAATCTTTTCCTGAGCAACCAGCTGGGAAGGATTTAATTTGACATTCTCCCTACTAGGACCCCCCAAAGAGACTCATTCCCTCCAATAGTTCCTACAAGTTCTTTCTCTTTCCTAAACTTGCTGTTACTAATTTACCCCTCACTCTTCTTCAAGGCAAAGCATCTGCAAGGTTTTCAGTCCTTTCCCCCTCCCGTCCTGTCCCCATCAGTGTTGAAATGTATGCTACAGTTATTATGGTTGTAATTTGTTATGCCATGTTGATCTTCTTGTGCTTTTCATATCAGAACAATGCATTTTTAACATTCTGACTTTCTTTTTCTCTCAATTGGTAACTGACTATATAGAAAATTTATATTTATGGATACTATTTCTTTTTTAATAAGTTCAAGGGAAAACATTGATAAAGGAAAATTTATCCTTTCAACTTTCTTTAGGTGCCAGCATTATTTTCATATTAGGAAGCAGGAGAAAGTTAAGGAACTCTGAGCAATACTAGAATGGTTATATATATTTAAGTTTGTATTAAACCTGTTGGAATGGTAAAGAAATTTACTGACATATTTAACCATACAAAATAGTGTTGCTAAAAGACTAGTTTTTCTCTTTATTCTGTGCATATGTATATATATGAATGTGTGGGTTTTTTTTAAGAAATTTTAAAAAAACTTAATCTGCCAGCTTTTCTCTATTGGAATTTGCGAACAACTTGTAAAATTGGAATTACAGAATATTAGAATAGTCAGTTATGGAAAGTCACTTCATTATCCTTGTGTCACTAAATAACGTATAAAGTTAAATCAGAAGTGTATTCATCTCTGAATTTCTAATCAGTTGTTTTTAGTTTGCAGAAAAAACTTCAGCATGTGCCAGGAACACAACCTCACCTTGATCAGGTAAAGAAAAAAAATCTAAATCCAAAATTCCTAATCAATGTTTTTAAAGGACCTCTTTAACTAGATAGGCTATGTTTAGGACTATTTTATTATAAACTTTTTCTAAAATGGTATTTTTGAACTGTATTGATAATTTTTGGAATCTTAAATGCTTTTGACATAGTCTAATTCTATTTCTTAACACATAATAGGAATTCATCAAACCAGATTTGTTTTAGAATCTGAGGAAATCATGCTTTCTAGCCTTTCCATTCTGTAGATTGCTTAGCATATTGGTTAGTTCTGATAGGGATTACTCCTTAAAAGCAGCCTGGGGGTTCTATAGGCAGTCTGTTTTTAAGTATGTTGAATTGTTTAAGGAAAGGTCTGATATAAGCATGGCTTATTTAAATAAAAATTGACTTGGAGTTTCACCTTCAGGTAGCACTATAAATTTGAACTCCTTAAGATGTTTTTCATGCTCTAAAATTCTAATCCCTAAGGTAAATATCTAAGATGCTAGGAACAATTTAAATATAATTTTACTGTACCTGCGTTTCTGTTAAGCAGATCATAGATCGTAGAGCTTTAGGATAACTTCTTTGTTCCTCTTAAAACCCTGAGGGGTGGAGTGGGGGATGTGTAAGTGAGCAGTGTGCCTAATCTTCCTTCCTCTCTCTCAAGTGATCACTCAGTTTTTGAATTGCTATTGGTTGTAATAGGGCCGAGATAACAGCTACTTGCATTTGTATTCATTTTGGTTCACATTTATGAGCAGGTTTGCCACTATGTTTGTGGCACCTTTCCCTGTGAAACTTTTGTTAATAGGATATTCCTCTTCACTTATCTTTAAAATGAATAAATGAGAGAAATACAAGTCCTTGGAGATAGAATTTATGGTAAAAAAACAAAAAACCCAGTTCTTCATGATAGTCGGTATCTGTCATATAGCTGAACATGAAGCACATTTGAGCTTCTGGGTAAAGAACGTGATGCCAAGAATCATAGGGATGAAAAGATGAAGCAAACGCAGCGCTCACTTTCCATGAGCGTTTGGGGCGGCCAGTGTCTCCATCCATAGAGCCTCGAATGAACCTCTATTGTGGCGGTTACGATGCCTTGCAGTTTGCTTGAAATGCTTTTGCCTGGCAAGAGTCTATACATTCCTTACGTATAAAATCTGTATTGCTTAGTACAGGGCTTGGTGGGTACTCAGTGAGTATTTGTTACAAGAATGAAAAGCTGCGTTTCTCAAATGGGGCATAAATCAGAATCGCATGTGGAGCCTTTTTAAAAAAAATTCGATAACTCAGTAGTTCTCACCCTCAGTCTCCAGGATTGGGACTTGGGTATGTGTATATTAATGTATATTTTTAACATTTTATTATGGAAGATTTCAAAGATATAAAAGAATAAACAGAATAGTAAAGTGAACCCCTTGTATGCATCACCCAGTTTAAATGGCATCAACATTTAGCTGATTTTATTTCACCTATCCTCCCAACATTTCTTTTGCCTGGAGTATTTAAAAAAAACAAATGTATTTTAATAGGAAATTTCAAACGTGCGTAAGAGTAGAATGGCATAATGAGCCTGTATGTACCTATTGCCCTTGGTGTAGTGTATTAAAGCAAATTCCAGACACTATGTCACTTTACTACTAAATAGGGCATATCTATATTTTTGTAGCCTCTGTAGGAGATTCTGATGCACTGTCCTGCTTTAGATAATATAAACATAGGGGAAAATAGTATCACAGCCAAAGGGCTATGGGATTCAGAGGCATGAACAATTTCATTTGGTTTAGTGGATCTGGGGTGTAAGGGAGGAAATTTATCTTTTCCTCGCCTATCACTAGATTCATGGCTGAGGTCTCTCTAACAGAAGACCAACTATCAAGAGAAATTTCAACATAGAAATTTATTTAGTAAGTTTTACTTGACACAGGAGCCTTCATAAAACATACCTGTGTATGTTTTCTGTTAGTTATGATATGGAAGAGGATAGTAATGGAGAAGCATAATTAGATAAAACAGTATGATCTAATAATAAACTGGGAAGAACTTAGCAAGGCCTGTTTGCTCAGATTTTTCTCTGTGACCCTTCATATTCAGACTTAAGGATGTTCTTTTCCTCTGTGTATAGAGAGGGCACCTCTTAAATGAGGGTCTTATGACCTGCATCAGCGGAAGGTCAGAAAATCTTTCCTAGGTTTTATGACCTGCTTCAGGAGAGAAGGTGAGAGTGACCTTCCTGATTCTGCCATTTTCTCAAATATTGAGTTGCCATATTTTGGGATAGCATGTCCTGAACCCCATCAAATGCTTCATGAGGATAGTTTTTTGTTTGTTTGTTTTGGTTTTGGTTTATTTATTTGCATACAGTAAAGCATGCAAATGTGTAATTTTAGTGTACAATTCGATGTTTGGGTTTTGTTTTTGTTTTTGTTTTTTTGGTTTTTTTTGAGACGGAGTCTCGCTCCGGCTGGAGTCTCACCCAGGCTGGAGTGCAGTGGTGTGACCTTGGCTCACTGCAACTTCCTCCTTCTAGATTCAAGTGATTCTCATGCCTCAGCCTCCTGAGTAGCTGGGATTACAGGCATGTACCACCATGCCTAGCTAATTTTTGTATTTTTTTTTTTTTTTTAGTAGAGATGGGGTTTCACCATGTTGGCCAAGCTGGTCTCAAACTCCTGACTTCACCTGCTTCGGCCTCCCAAAGTGCTGGGATTACAGGCATGAGCCACTGTGCCCGGCCTCAATGTATTTTTACATATATTTGTACCTATATATCTGTCTATATGCACATTCAAACACATATCCTTCTAACTCCCACTCAGGTCAAGATACAAAAGATATCCAAAATTGTAAAGAGTTCCTTTTTGCCCCTTCCTAGTCAAAGAAGGGGTAAGTGCTATTCTGACTTACTTAACAAAAAATAACCTTGAACTGGTAGGATTTTTTTGACGGTAGGATTTTTTTTGACCGGAAGAAGTAAGGAAAAGAGCAATACGGATGTTTAAAAATGAGAAGGTGAGAATCTTATAGATGAGTAGGTCTCTGGTACAGAAGTCTTAGTGGAGAGTTGGTACTGGAATCCTGGTCTAAGGTATTAGGTTTTAATTTGCTAAACAAAGAGAACTCAAGCAGTGCTGTCTAGGAGTGTTATGTAAGCTAGATTGGACTTTAGAGTCAGGAGACCATGCGGGAAGATACTGTGTGATAAGGGCCTGAAACATGTTGGTTACAGTGAGACTAGAAATGGGATAAATCCAGAGCTGTTTCACCAGTAGACTTGCCTGAATATCCTGTCTGACTGAGTATGGATCAGAAAGAAAAGAAGGGGTGATGGGAAACGAGCCTAGATTGACTAGAGAAACCTAGAAATAGAAAAATCGGGAAGGCAAAGTGATTTGAATGATAATGCCATATATTCAGTTGTCCCTGGTGGCCAGATATTATAGTATAGATATTATACAGGCAAAGAAGAACAGAGGGATAGAGTGTGAAGGTACAGATTTTGAGTTTAAGCACATTAGGGGGCTTAGTGTTCTGGATGAAGAAAACCTATAAAAGTTATTGTATGTTAGGTATTGTTTGCAAAAAAGTAGAAAATGGAGAAATAACCCAGTGGGTTAAAGAAGAAACAGACTAAATAAACAAACCTGAGTAAGTTGTTCCTAAATTTTATTTTAGAGACAATTCCTCATTTTGCTTTAGTTTTCTCAATTATTGCCTCACTTTTCTGTTTCTTTCTGTGTCAGCATACATGGAAGAAGGAGTTAATTTTAGATTCAAAACAAAAACTGGAAAAAAAAAGTCTGAAATGGGTAATACCTAGGACCTAGTATATATGTGTTATTAAGGCTCTATCCCTGAATTTTTAATGCAGTTATCTATTTTTCATGGATTCTTTGTTTATTCCCCATAAGGAACACCTGGGTTTGGAGAGTGGGAAGGTAGATGAGAAAACCCAAGTGACAAATAATGTTTAGTTTATTATTAGAACCAACTATGAGTTGTGACCCTTATCTTCTGCACTGGGAATTACAGATTTTTTTCAGGGTTTTTCTAACGTGAAAAGAGTTTATTGGTGTAGGAAAACATCTGGTTCCAAAATATAGATCATCCTTATTGAGCCCCATGATGCGTTATCTTAATTTTTAAAGCCTTTTTTGTCTCATACTGGAGTTTATTGTACCCCTTAAAAATATTAAGTCACATATTTAACCTGATAAAAGCAAAAATCATTATAAAAATCTTTAGGCTGGGTGTGGTGGCTTATGCTTGTAATCCTCACGCTTTGACAGGCCAAGGTGGGTGGATTGCTTAAAACCCAGGAGTTGTAGACCAGCCTGGGCAACATGGTGAAACCCCATTTCTGCAAAAAATACAAAAAATTAGCCAGGCATGGTGGCATGTACCTGTAATCCCAGCTACTCGAGAGGCTGAAGTGGGAGGATTGCTTTAGCTTGGGAGTTCAAAGCTGCAGTAAGCCATGATTGTGCCACTCTACTCCAGCCTGGGCAACAGAGTGAGACCCCATCTCAAAAAAATTTATTAAGTTAAAATCTTTAACAATAAAGCAATTTGGAGTCGTATTTTGCGACATTCTCAATATAGTTTTCCAACTTGCATTAAAATACATTTTAAACATTTTTGAAGACTAAATTTATTTTTTTTTAACTGACAGTTATGTTTCATTTGACAACCTTTTGCTGTATATTTTTATGTGGACTTTTAGGTATTGTAGTGATTCCTTTAATGAAGAAATAAAATAATTGTCATTTAAAAAGTGCATATTATTATTACCTTATGCTATAAAAATAGTTTTAAAATAGAATATGTTTATTAAGATTTAAAAATAAGTATAGTCATGCACCGCATAACAGCGTTTTAGTCAGACTGCATAAGATTACGATGGAGCTGAAAAATTACTGTCACACAAATACTTACCATTGTGTTATCATTTCCATACACTGGTCAGTACAGTAACATATATGCTGTACAGGTTTGTAGCCTAGGAGCAACAGGCTATACAGCATAGCTTAGGTGTGTAGTAGGTTATACCATCTAGGTTTGTGTAAGTACACTATCATGTTTGTATAACAACAAAATTGCCCAACAGCTCATTTCTCTTTATGTATCCATGACTGTATATTTTTTATTGTGGTAAAAAACACTTAACATGAGACCTACCTTCTTCCACAAATTTTTAAGGGTACAATATAGTATTGTTAACTGTATGTACATTGTTATATAGCAGACCTCTAGAACTTTTCATCTTGCATGACTAAAATTATACCCATTGAACAGCCCCTCCCAATTTTCGTCTCCCTCTAACCCCTGGTAACCACCATTTTACTTTCTGATTTGATGAGTTTTACTGTTTTAGACACCTGATATTAGTGGATTCATGCAATATTTGTCCTTCTGTGACTGGCTTATTTCACTTAGTGTAATGTCCTCAAGATTCATCCATGTTGTAGTATATGACGGGATTTTTTTTAAGGATACATAATATTTGGTTGTATGTATATTACCACATTTATTTTATCCATTCAACTGTCCTGGACATTTAGGTGGTTGTTAGTGTCTTGACTGCTGTGACAAAATAAGTACTTTTAAAAGTCTCACATTTGCAAGTTCAATTTGAACCTTTTTTTAGTCTGCTTGTACTTCTCTTATCAAGCAAGAAAGCACTTTTCTGCTTTTTGTATTACTAGTAACAGTGGAGATTAAATATCTCATGTTTTTGGGCGTTCTAGAGCCCAACACATCACCTGTTCCTTTCCATACTACCACAACTGACACTCTCTGGAAAGTGCCACCTCCCTGCAGCAGGCCAACCAGCACAAAAATAGTACATTAAACCAGCAAAGCTAAGAACCCTCAAAGAGTACATTTCACCCTCCTACCGCCTCCACTGGAACAGGTGCTGGTATCCACAGCTGAGAGACCCACAGATGGTTCACATCTCCCGACTCTGTGCAGACTACCCCCCAGTACCAGCCTGGAGCCTGGTAGACTTGCTGGGTGGCTGGATCCAGAAGAGAGATAGCAATCACTACAGCTCAGCTCTCAGGAAGCCACATCCATAGGAAAAGGGAGAGAGTACTACATCAAGGGAACACCCCGTAGGACGAAAGAATCTGAACAACAACCTTCAGCCCTAGACATTCTCTCTGACAGAGCCTACCCAAATGAGAAGGAACCAGAAAACCGACCCTGGTAGTATGACAAAAGAAGGTTCTTTAACACCCCCCAAAAAATCACACTAGCTCACCAGCAATGGATCCAAACTAAGAAGAAATCCCTGACTTACTTGAAAAAGAATTCACTAGGTTGGTTATTAAGCTAAGGCACCAGAGAAAGGTGAAGCCCAATGTAAAGATATAAAAAAAAAAAAAGATACAAGAAGTAAAGGGAGAAATATTCAATGAACTAGATAGCATAAATAAAAAACAATCAAAACTTTAGGAAATAATGGACATACTTATAGAAATATAAAATGCTCTGGAAAGTCTTAGCAATAGAATTGAACAAGTAGAAGAAGGAAATTCAGAGCCTGAAGACAAGGTCTTCTAATTAACCGAATCCAATAAAGACAAAGAAAAAAGAATAAGAAAATATGAAGAAAGCCTTCAAGAAATCTGGAATTATGTTAAATGACCAAACCTAAGAATAACCGGCATTCCTGAGGAAGAAGAGAAATCTAAACGTTTGTTAAACATATTTGGGGGAATAATTGAGGAAAACTTCCCCAGCTTTGCTAGAGACCTAGATGCAAATACAAGAAGCACAAAGAACATCTGGGAAATTCATCGCAAAAAGATCATCATCTAGGCACATTGTCGTCAGGTTATCTAAAGTTAAGATGAAAGAAAGAGCTGTGAAACAAAAGCACCAGGTAACCTATAAAGGAAAACTTACCAGATTAACAGCACATTTCTCAGCAGAAACCCTGCAAGCCAGAAGGGATTGGAACCCTATCTTCAGCCTCCTCAAACAAAACAATTATCAGCCGAGAATTTTGTATTCAGCAAAACTAAGCTTCATATATGAAGGCAAGATACAGCTTTTTCAGACAAACAGAGAATTCACCACTACCAAGCCAACAGTGCAAGAATGCTAAAAGGAACTCTAAATCTTGAAACAAATCCTGGAAACATAGCAAAACAGAACCTCTTTAAAGCATAAATATCACAGGACCTATAAAACAAAAATACAATTAGAAAAACAACAAAAACCAGAAAAACAAGGTATACAGGCAACAAATAGCATGATGAATAGAGTGGTACCTCACATCTCAATACTAACATTGAATATAAATGGCCTAAATGCTCCACTTAAAAGATACAGAATTGCAGAATAGGTAAGAATTCACCAACCATCTGTTGCCTTCAAGAGTCTCACCTAACACATAAGGACTCACATAAACTTAAGGTAAAGGGATGGACCAAGACATTTCATGCAAACGGACACCAAGTGTGAGCAGGAGTAGCCATTCTTATATTAGACAAAACAAACTTTAAAGAACCAGCAGTTTAAAAAGACAAAGAGGGACATTATATAATGAAAAAAGGCCTTGTCCAACAGGAAAGTATCACAATCCTAAACATATGCACCTAACACTGGAGCTCCCAAATTTATAAAAGAATTACTAATAGACCTAAAAAATTAGACAGACAGCAACACAATAATAGTGAGGGATTTTAATACTCCACTGACAGCACTGGACAGGTCATCAAGACAGAAAGTCAACAAAGAAACAGTGGATTTAAACTATACCTTGGAACAAATGGAGTTAAAAGATATATACAGAATATTCCATCCAACAACCACAGAATATACGTTCTGTTCAACAGCACATGAACTTTCTGTAAGATAGACCATATGATAGCCAACAAAATGAGCCTCAATAAATTTTAAGAAAATTAAAATTATATCAAGCACTCTCTCAGACCACAGTGGAATAAAACTGGAAATCAACTCCAAAAGGAACCTTCAAAACCATGCCGATACGTGGAATAACCTGCTCCTGAATGATCACTGGGTCAAAGATGAAATCAAGATGGAAATGTAAAAATTCCTCAAACTGAATGACAATAGTGACACAACCTATCAACCTCTGGGATACAGCAAAGGTGGTGCTAAGAGGAAAGTTCATGGCCCTCAATGCCTCCATCAAAAAGTCGGAAAGAGCACAATCTACGGTCACATCTCAAAGAACTAGAGAAACAAGAACAAACCCAGCAGAAGAAAGAAGACCAGAGCGGAATTAAATGAAATTGAAACAAAACAACAAAAAAAATCCAAAAGATAAATGAAACAAAAAGCTGGTTCTTTGAAAAGATAAATAAAATTGATAGACTGTTAGCAAGATCAGCCAAGAAAAGAGAGAAAATCCAAATAAGCTCAATAAGAAATGAAACGGGAGATATTACAACTGACACCACAGAAATACAAAAGATATTCAAGGCTACTATGAACACCTTTACATGCATAAACTAGAAAACCTAAAATAGATGGAGAAATTCCTGGAAAGATACAACCCTCCTAGCTTAAATCAGGAAGAATTACCCTGAACAGACCAGTAACAAGCAGGGAGATTGAAATGGTAATTAAAAAATTACCAACAAAAAAATGTCCAGGACTAGACGGATTCACAACAGAATTCCACCAGATATTCAAAGAAGACTTGGTACCAGTCTTAAAGACACTATTCCACAAGAGAGAGAAAGAAGGAATCCTCCCTAAATCATTCTATGAAGCCAGTATCACCCTAATACCAAAACCAGGAAAGGACATAACCAAAGAAGAAAACTACAGACCAATATCCTTGAACATAGATGCTAAAATCCTTAAGAAAATTCTAGCTAACTGATTCCAACAACATATCAAAAAGATAATCCACCATGATCAAGGGGTTTCATACCAGGGATGCAGGGATGGTTTAACATACACATGCGCGTAGCCAAAGCAAGACTAAGCAAAAAGAACAAATCTGAAGGCATCACATTACCTGATTTCAAACTTATACTATAAGGCCATAGTCACCAAAACAGCATGGTACGGTTATAAAAATAGGCACATGGACCAATGGAACAGAATAGAGAACCCAGAAATAAACCCAAATACTTACAGCCAACTGATCTTCAACAAAGCAAACAAAAACGTAAAGTGGAAAAAGGATACCCTTTTCAACAAATGGTGCTGGGATAATTGGCTAGCCACATGTAGGAGAATGAAACTGGATCCTCCTCTCTCACTGTATACAAAAATCAACCCAAGATAAATTAAAGACTTAAATCTAAGACCTGAAACTATAAAAATTCTAAAAGATACCATTGGAAAAATCATTCTAGACATTGGCTTAGGCAAGGATTTCATGAACCCAAAAGCAAATGCAATAAAAACAAAGATAAATAGCTGGGACTTAATTAAACTAAAGAACTTTTGCACAGCAAAAGGAACAGTCAGCAGAGTAAACAGACAACCTACAGAGAAGGAGAAAATCTTTCATAATATATACATCTGAAAAAGAACAAATATCCAGAATCTACAATGAACTCCAACAAATCAGCAAGAAAAGCAGTCCCATCAAAAAGTGGGCTAAGGACATGAATAGACAATTCTTAAAAGAAGATATACAAATGGCCAATAAACATATGGAAAAATGCTCAACATCACTAATGATCAGGGAAATGCAAATCAAAACCACAGTGCGATACCACCTTACTTCTGCAAGAATGGCCATAATAAAAAAATCAAAAAAATAGTAGATGTTGGCATGGATGTGGTGAACACGGAACACTTCTACACTGCTGGTGGGAATGTAAACTAGTACAACCACTATGGAAAACAGTGTGGAGATTCCTTAAAGAACTAAAAGTAGAACTATCATTTGGTCCAGCAATCCCACTACTAGGTATCCACCCAGAGGAAAAGAAGTCATTATACGAAAAAGATACGTGCACACGCATGTTTATAGCAGCACAATTCGCAATTGCAAAAACGTGGAAGCAACCCAAATGCCCATCAATCAATGCGTGGATAAAGTAACTGTGATATATATATACATACAATGGAATACTCCTCAGCCATAAAAAGGAGTGAATTAATGGCATTCGCAGTGACCTGGATAAGATTGGAGACTATTATTCTAAGTGAAAGAACTCAGGAATGGAAAACCAAACATCGCTATGTTCTCACTCATAAGTGGGAGCTAAGCTATGAGGATGCAAAGGCATAAGAATGACACAATGAACTTTGGGGACTCAGGGAGAAAGGGTGGGAAGGGGATGAGGAATAAAAGACAAAAATTGGGTGCAGTGTATACTGCTCAGGTGATGGGTGTACCAAAATCTCACAAATCACCACTAAAGAAGTTAACCAACACCACCTGTTCCCCAGTAACCTATGGAAAGAAAGAAATGTCTCATATGTTTCTGCCTAAATTGGTCTTTAATACTTTAGCGATTCTCTTGAGTTTGGATTATAAAATAGTTTTGGTCTTTTTGTATTTTCTGCTGTAAGCCTGTATGATTATGTAATGGTGAGTAAAATTGCTAGGCCAGATATGCAGTTCTAGGAAGTTATGCAAAGATGTGCTTTAGTATATTATTTTCTACCTTTTTAAATTCATTTTGAGCTTGGCTTTTGAGCCTCTGTTTTCCAAGGTGGGGTGTATGTTTTTATAATGTTATGCTTAGCCCTTGTGTATTTTCATCTCTGAGTTTGAAATTTGGGGTTATATTGGCAAAGGGAGGTTTGGGTTTTAATTAGGTGACCTGTTAGAGGAAATGTTAAGCTTCTGTTTCTTTAGGGTAGACAGTGAGAGATTTATCAAGATAAAGAAGAAAAATAAATCCTAGAGTTAATATTCAATACATGATGATGTCACCCTTACTAAAGCCAAAGAGGGCATTATCCTATCATTCTCATCGCTAAGAACTCTTCTCCTCTTGGCACATGCTTATTCAGTTAAAGATAAGCCAAGCCTTTCTTTTGTATTTTTTTTTTAAGAGAACAAATTTACTTTGGTTTTGAGTTTTATTCCTGGCCCTGGGTAGCTTATTTTTTTGACCCTTATTTTCCCCAATTTATAAAATGAAATAGTTATCTTCACTCCCCAGGATTGTTGTGAAGAGTAAGTCAAAAGATAAAATGAGGTGACTCAGGCAAAAGTACCTGGCCCTGTGTAGTGAGTACATTGTATGTGTTACATATATTCTTATTGCTGAGAATCCACGAAAGAATGAATTAAATAATGAGGACCCTTTCATCAGGGTTTTTGAGTGAGTTTTTTAAAATACAAGGTAGTAGTTTGTGTAAATACTAAATCCATTGGTACCTGTGCAGAATGTAGGAAATGGAGTTGCTAATTCCAAAAAAACAGCACATATGCTGAGGAAAGTATAATACCTAATATATATGGTTTAAGCAATGTAAAATTCCATGAATATGTTCCTTTTCATCTTAAAATTTGTGATTTAAAAAACATTGATATTACTATAAAGAATTATTGTTATTTCCCTTGATTTACAGAGTATTGTTACAATCACATTTGAAGTACCAGGAAATGCAAAGGAAGAACATCTTAATATGTTTATTCAGGTGAATGCAATTTTTAACTGATAAATGATTTATCAATGGTTTTGTTACATAGTTGTTGCTATTAGCGATGGTTGGTCTTATTAAAATATGTCACTTGATACAGAATCTCCTGTGGGAAAAGAATGTGAGAAACAAGGACAATCACTGCATGGAGGTCATAAGGCTGAAGGTACAGTTTACTGTTGCAGACTTTCGGACAAAGTCCTTTTCTTGGCTGTTATAAAAACTATATTTGGTTTTAAACAGAAACACTGGTTTTAGTACAAATCATCTTTGTCTACTTTCATTTTTCTTTATTATTTTCATGACTGAAAAGGAGCTTTGGAAATCACTGCATAAGGCTTGATTTATTTGCACAACTTTCTTTAGGGTTGCAGCTAGAACAAACCTGTGTGCTTTGAAATGTTACCTTCTGCTCTCTGTTCCCAAGTACAGAGAAATAATGTTGCAAATCTCACTTCTGCTGAACATTATGCTTCCTGATGCATTTAGCAGACACTAAACATTTGTCATACTCTAAACAAAGTTACAAAGGACTAGAAGAATTCTTGTTCTGTATTTAGAAACCCACTCACGTTACTTGATATTTGGGTATTTAAGTCATGAAAGGTATTTCTTCTAGGAAGCAGTGATTCTAAAGTGTATGCTTAACCAGTCAGTTGAGTGTCTACTCTTGTGTGTTCACAAGTGTGCACAAAGTTTTTGGTAAATTAAGAATATTATTTCAAATAAATTAATTTCATCCCCATAGGAGCCAGTTTATCAGATAATTCATTTTTCATTTCTGCAAATCAATACACAATGAGCTCATATTCAGATAAATATAATAGTTTTTCTTTATTTCATCATTGTTCATTGATTGCAACCCATTTCTAAAACAAATTATTTAATATAATCAAACTCCTTTAACTTCTCAACTTTTCCCACTAAAACTGTGAAACATTATATAAAATCTTTAATCAATAGGATATGATACATATTTCATCATTTTGTTTCAGGTTTTGGTTGTGATAAATAACACTGAAAAACCATCCTAATATATGTATTAACTTTATCATTAGAAAAGGGGATTGTTCAAAAAAAAATCAATACACAGAAACCTTTTTTGAAAATTAAAAACATTAAGAAACTTCTTGTAATTCACAAATAATTGGAATTAAGTAATTTTCTCAGCTTAAGAGTTTGTATTTTTTAAGTGAATATCAGTAATTAATCCATTAACATTGATGCTCTATTTCTGCTTTTAAGTTTGAACTGAGGCTGATTAATGTTCAGTCAATTCTCCTTTGAGCAGGGATTGGTGTCAATCAAAGACAAATCACAACAAGTGATTGTCCAGGGTGTCCATGAGCTCTATGATCTGGAGGAGACTCCAGTGAGCTGGAAGGATGACACTGAGAGAACAAATCGATTGGTCCTCCTTGGTAAGTCTGAAAGGATTCACAGTTTTAAAACAAAGTGAAAAATATATTTGAAAGGGATATCATGTGCCACTCAAACAGATTAACCATTCAGGTCCTCTTTTAAAACTAAATAAGCTTGTGGTCAATGTTTCATCTTTATCACGTTACAACGTTCGTAAAAGCTTGTTAGGACTTTTGTTCTTCTTCAGTTTTAGAAAAGTGGTTAATCCAAGGACCAATGTGACTTTGATGTACTGACCTGGAAAGTTAAAGATGGAATCACTCAATTACTATTCTTTTTGTAAATTTCTAAACACCATAAAGCATTTAATGAACTGGAATTGATAGGTGAACTGTGTCATTTTAATAAGCATAATGTAATCACGTCATATTTTGTTTTGTTTGCAGGCAGAAATTTAGATAAGGATATCCTTAAACAGCTGTTTATAGCTACTGTGACAGAAACAGAAAAGCAGTGGACAACACATTTCAAAGAAGATCAAGTTTGTACATAACACTAGAGGCATTTCTTATCAAAAGGATTGGATAATAAAAATAAGTTTCTACTGGGTATATTTCAAGCATTTATTTATTACTTTAGTTACGAATTCCAATATACTTTAAAATGGTATTTGTTTTACAGCATACATAAAATGTAGCAAATCGGTACTGTAAAACATTTAACATTCATACAGTTATATATAATATCCTTTTTTTTAAAGAATGGTATTTCACAAAAATGTCTTTTGAAATTGGCTTTGGAGTTTACATATACTGAACATGAAAGTTTATAATAATGATGATACAACTTTCAACATTGTCATTTTTTCTTAGAACTTCAGCTGATTGCAGAGATATAATGATTACATTGTTATTAAATTTTTTTAACACAAGTAAGTGTCACCATTTTATGACATGAAATAAAAGGTTATGACTGTTATTGATGTTGATGTTGACGACCTGATCACCTGGCTGAAGGAGTGTTTGTCAGGTTTCTCCATTGTAAAGTTACTCTTTTCCCCCATTTCATACTGTGCTCTTTGGAAGGAAATCACTATGCACAGCCCACACTAAAGGAATGGGGAGTTGTAGTGTACTTTTTTGGGAGTGGTCTACATAATTAATTGAAATTCTTCTGCAAAGGACAGTTGTCCCTTTCGCTTTATTAGTTCGATCATTTATGTTTATCAGTGTGGACACATGAATATTTTATACTTTGGGTTACAATTTAATACTGCTTTATTTTGTTGCTCAAATTAGCCCAGCTTTGACCATTGGGAACTCTTTCCGTTATCTCCTGTTCCCGCCTTTGACATGCCCCCATCAATGTGGGTTTCCGTTATCTCCTGTTCCCGCCTTTGACATGCCCCCATCAATGTGGGTTTCCGTTATCTCCTGTTCCCGCCTTTGACATGCCCCCATCAATGTGGGTTTCCGTTATCTCCTGTTCCCGCCTTTGACATGCCCCCTCAATGTGGGTTTTGTGTTTTGTTTTTGAGTGCCTCCTTATTTTTCTCCTGCATTTTTAAATAACCCCGATCCCTATTGAAGCTGGCGCTGGGAAAACTAACAATACTCCCTTTCCCAGGTCATCCGATTCCTATGCTGATGGAGGAAATGTGCCTCACATGCCGGGGGCGCTGGGGAGGAGGCGTCTGGGATTTTGTGGTTGAATAAGACACCTGGCCTGGCCCTCCTGGAGCTTAGTTTAGTAGGTCACACAAGCAGTCATTGGTAAATTTGGGATTCAAACAAATCTGTTAGGCTCAAACCTGTCTGTTATTTGTCCTCCAAGCTTCATATAAACTGAGGAGCCTTAAAGGGTAAAAACTTCAGGAGCAGCAAAGTTTCAAAAAAAGATCAGCAAGAAAGCTCTTTTCCAGATTTTATCCTGAAGGCACTAGCTACTTTAAGCTATTTTTTATTATATTTTGCCCTTGCAGTTGGCGTTTGATTTCTCACTGAACATTCGTTGTCATAATTATAGACACTATGTGACTATCAAGGGCATAATATTCTTTCATGCTGCATTTTTATTAGATGGCACCTCAAAGTTTTCCCAAGTAGGTGGGTTTTAAATTATGAATATATACCGTGGCATAGTATCTTACTTAGTATTTTAATAAGATCCTTATTTATATAACAAATATTTTTTTTATTCCTCTGTAGTGCTACTTTAGTCTCTGAGCTAATTTTCATGAAGCCAATCTAAAAATCGTGTTACTTCTAAGGATGTGGAGCGAGTGAGATGAACAGTTGTGCTGTCATATTGCCCCTCCCCAGTGCAGACAGTGAATGAGGACCCACTGATTTAAAGGCAACACTGCAGCCCCTTCTTGCCTCATTGAAGTCCCAAGTTTTATTACAGTAAAAGCACTTAATGTTGACATTTCTGAAAGAATGAAGAGGCCGGGCGCGGTGGCTCACGCCTGTAATCCCAGCACTTTGGGAGGCTGAGGCAAGCGGATCATGAGGTCAGGACATCGAGACCATCCTGGCTAACACGGTGAAACCCCGTCTCTACTAAAAATACAAAAAAATTAGCCGGGCGTAGTGGCGGGCGCCTGTGGTCCCAGCTACTCGGGAGGCTGAGGCGGGAGAATGGCGTGAACCCGGGAGGCGGAGCTTGCAGTGGTCCGAGATTGTGTCACTGCACTCCAGCCTGGGCGACAGAGCGACAACGTCTCAAAAAAAAAAAAAAAAAAAAAAAGGAAAAAAAGAATGAAGAGCCAGAGCCAGGCATAGTGGCACGCCTGTAGTCCCACCTACTCAGGAGGCTGAGGCGGGAGGATCACTTGAGCCCAGGAATTCAAAGCCAGCCTGTGCAACATAGACCCTGTCTCTAAAAATGAATTGGTTATAAAGGATGAAGAAAGGAAGGAGGAAAGGGAGAGAGAGAAGCCCTTATAGAGTGGGTGCATTTCTTGTATGTGGGGCCACTTTGTAAGAACAGGATTTTTCAAACTGGGCCCATACTGGTATGTGTGAAATCAATTTAGTTGGTTATGGCCATTTTTTTTTAAAAGGAAATATCAGTGATCACTATAGTGTAAGTATATTGTTTCGTGAAAGCCATCTTAGTTATGTATTATGTCTGTATGTGTAAGATTGTGATATAAAATGTATTTCTGTGGTTAAATATTCAAAGAAATTGGAGAACCATTGCTACAAGGGGACAGAGGACTCCGTGTGAGCTCTCCTGCCTTCCCTGAATAAACTTACACAATTTAGTGCTGGGACATTTGAACCTTTTCTGAAAATTTGAGTCAGGGGAGAGCATCTTGGGGAGGTGGGAAGGAAGGTAGAAGGAGCAAAGCAACACCCCCCTGAAGCCTGGGAATATTGTCAGAACCTTAAATATAATTCAGCTCACCATTCTGGGTAAGGACAGACTCTACCAATGAAAATGGGTGATTACCAGCTGTGAAACACAAAAACATACTTTTACGGTTACACATTCCTTTACAAACAACCGTGTACATTTCAGCCTCCTGCCCCACCATTTCTTTTCTCCAGGAGGGAAGGCTGCATGTCGAGATGGTCGTAGAATGTTGAGTATCCTACTTTCCTACCTCGCTTTTATTTGCGCGGGTTTAAATGCGCCTTAACAGAACCCGTGCAAAGGCTTGCCTACTTGTCTGGCTGCACCGGATGAGTAGAGCATCTTCCTTGGTGGCAGGTGGGTGCGAGGAGGAGGGGGCTGGGCTTTTCTCCGGACGGTGTTTGCCCAGAAGACCATCATCCCTGGACTACGTTAGGAGGAAGTGGCACCGCTCCGAGGTAGGGGAAGAAGGGTTATAAAGGGGGGAGTCCACCACACATGGTCTTGAAGAAGCTTTTATAAAAGGCAAAGGCATCTTTGCCGGACGTTGTTGCAAAGGAGTAGAAACAAGCAGAGGAAAACATCCCAAAGGGTAACCACTAGCGTTCCTGCTTCTTGCAACATTCATCCCAGGCTTCCAGCTCAGCCCGCCCCGGGCCAGGTGATCGGCCGCCACATCCCCTGCGACTGAAGCACCTGCTCCGCCATGAACCTGCCAAGAGCTGAGCGCCCTCGCTCCACACCGCAGCGCAGCCTCCGGGACTCCGATGGGGAAGACGGTAAAATCGATGTCCTGGGAGAGGAGGAAGATGAAGACGAGGTGGAAGACGAGGAGGAGGAGGCGAGCCAGAAGTTCCTAGAGCAGTCGCTCCAGCCGGGGCTGCAGGTGGCCCGGTGGGGCGGGGTTGCGCTTCCCCGAGAGCACATCGAGGGCGGCGGCCCGAGCGACCCCTCAGAGTTTGGCACCGAGTTCAGGGCACCGCCAAGGTCTGCGGCGGCCTCTGAAGATGCCCGGCAGCCGGCAAAGCCCCCCTACTCGTACATCGCGCTCATCACCATGGCCATCCTGCAAAGCCCGCACAAGCGCCTCACGCTCAGCGGCATCTGCGCCTTCATTAGTGGCCGCTTCCCCTACTACCGCCGCAAGTTCCCCGCCTGGCAGAACAGCATCCGCCACAACCTCTCGCTGAACGACTGCTTCGTCAAGATCCCCCGCGAGCCGGGCCACCCAGGCAAGGGCACCTACTGGAGCCTGGACCCCGCCTCCCAGGACATGTTCGACAATGGCAGCTTTCTCCGGCGTAGGAAGCGTTTCAAGCGCCACCAACTGACCCCGGGAGCCCACCTGCCCCACCCCTTCCCTCTACCTGCTGCACACGCCGCCCTGCACAACCCCCGCCCAGGCCCTCTGCTTGGGGCCCCTGCCCTGCCGCAGCCAGTCCCGGGGGCCTACCCCAACACCGCCCCCGGGAGACGCCCTTACGCTCTGCTGCACCCGCATCCTCCTCGCTACCTACTGCTCTCGGCCCCCGCCTATGCCGGGGCACCGAAGAAAGCAGAAGGCGCGGACCTGGCGACCCCCGGCACCCTTCCCGTGCTGCAGCCCTCACTTGGTCCTCAGCCTTGGGAGGAGGGCAAGGGTCTGGCGTCGCCACCGGGAGGCGGATGCATCTCTTTCAGCATTGAGAGTATCATGCAAGGGGTCAGGGGAGCGGGTACAGGGGCTGCGCAGAGTTTGTCCCCGACCGCGTGGAGCTACTGCCCCCTGCTCCAGCGACCGTCAAGCCTGTCGGACAATTTTGCAGCAACAGCAGCAGCATCAGGAGGAGGACTGCGCCAACGGCTGCGCTCCCACCAAGGGCGCGGTGCTGGGCGGGCACCTGTCGGCCGCGTCGGCGCTGCTGCGGTATCAGGCGGTGGCAGAGGGCTCTAGGCTGACATCGCTGGCTGCCCCTTTGGGCGGAGAGGGGACCTCACCAGTTTTTTTAGTATCGCCCACGCCCAGTTCCCTGGCCAAGTCCGCAGGGCCCTCCTAGAGCCAGGTGGGAGTGGGGAGCGATCCGCAGCTGCTCACTCCACCTTGCGCGGCCCATACTGGGCGTGTGCATCTGAATCCTGCTGGAGAGCAAACACGAACTTCTGTTCCCTGCAAAATGGTTAGAAAGAAACAGCTGGATTACGTTCCTCTAAAAACCACCTGAACGTAACCTTCGCAGGGCGTCAAGTCATCTTTTCTTGCCTTCGGCTGTGGCTTCTGTGGCTTTCCGGATTTGCACATTTCCTGGGGTACTATGAACGTGAGTGGGGTATTTTGTTCTGGCATTAGAAGAAAAACAAGCAAGCAAACAAAAACACAGCCTCCGATGCCAAACATGTTCCCCCTTCTTCACTTCCTTGGAACTGGAAGTGTTATTCCTAAGTCTAGTGCAAAATGCTTCTACTCTCTGTGTCTTCCTGATAGGGATGTTTAATGTAAGTAGGATATTAATTTCAGAACATTGATTTCTTATCTGTGTGTCTGACGTGCCATCTTTAATGTTAAAATTAAGGTGTTAAAATTAAGCCTAGTTATATAGACGAAATAAAATGCTAAGTCACTACACTACATCGTTATTTTCTATTACGTCTCATTCTTCCCTTTCTAAATGGAACTTTTTAAAACCTACATTATTTTCCCTCAAACAATTTATTTTCACAATTCATATTTATTATAGATAGCAGAAGTAATCCATTTTAATATGGCCTTTAAAAATTCCAAATATTTGAGGTTGAAAATGTCCTGGCTTTTAAAATAGGAAATTTACTATTTATGAGACTTCTAAAAGAAAAGAATAGGAGGGCATGTAAATATATTCTCCATTTATTTTTCCTCACCCCCCAACAAGCTGGAAAACCGTTTGAGATCAATTTGGAATGTAGTGGCCAACATGTACTCAGGGAAAATAAAAGGCTATAAATGTACATATATATATATATATATATATACATTTTTTAAGCACTAGAATTTTCAAAACTTATTTCTTAAAAAAAAAAAAACTCTGAAAAGACTTTGCAACTAGAAAGGTTTAAGTGTTACTCGGCGTCAGGGGACGGAGTGGGGGGAAACCAGACAAGAACGCCCATCATGAATTGCTCCCCACAAAGAAAACATATTTCTAGGAACTTGGCCGTTTTCCCCTGTCCCGAGTGGGGTTCCCGATTCCGTGCCGCTTTGAGGGAAGCTGCTCTGTGAATGTGAGAAAGTTTTTCCCCCAGCCCCCATCTACTCCCCACCCCCAGCTATGAATTTCTTATTTCAGGAGGGAGGACAAACATGGAGACACACATTTTTACAGGAGTCTAATTGGCCGATTTTTCTCCGGCTTCTCTTCTCCATCCCGTCTCTTGGAATTTCTTGGCATGCCCTACCTGAGATCCCCTACGGGAGATTTCCTCTTGGCTCCTGCGGTTCTGAGGACGTTCTGAAAAGTTCCCAAGCCCCACCTTTGGTAGCTGCCCAGACCCCAGCTTCCAATTCTTCCCTCTTCTTTGCACAGGCAGCCGTCCGCCCCACAGCCCCACCAGCGTCCAGAAGAGACCACTTTTAGCAAATCCGGCAGGGCTGGGGCAGTCTAAGAGTTTGGAAACAAACTGAGAATAGAGGGGTCCTATGTCATGCCAGCTTCTCGCTGGTTTACGCTCCAACTCCCCTCTGTCCGTTGTGCGAAAACGTCTCCAGGCCGACCTTCCTTCATTTATTGCCAACAAACGTCCTGGGAGAGCGGCTACAGCCGCTGAACCCAGAAGGGACTTTCTCTAGGCTTTCTTGGCACCCTCCCAATCATCTTCCTTCTCTTGCCCGAGGGCAGACCACCCGGCTACGAACGTGGGTGACTGAGGGTCAGGCCCCTTCCCGGAACCGCCTCCAAGCTCCTAATTTTTGCCTAATGTGAAACATATCCAAAGATGAATACTTAAACCATCAGTTCCGTGGCGGAGTAAATTGAACGTTGTTCTCCGATCAAACAGGAGCTTCGGGTCCACCTGTTTGGAAGCACCCAGGCGGCTTGGAGGGGTCCGGCCTTCGGGCGCGACCCGCAGGGGTTGCCTTGCCCGGCTCGCGGAACGGACGTTTACCCGTCGCAGCTACGAACCCACCAACGACACCAAGCACTGGCCGGGCAGACCAGGCGTCGTGGAGGCGCCCCAGCCCCGCAGCCCCCCGCAACGACGCGTCCCAGGGGTGCGCAGTGCTTGGCGCGGTGCCCGGACCCGGCCGCCTTCCCGACCGCGCAGAGCGAGAGGCCACACCCTGGATCCCAGGCCGGGTCCCTGCGGTTCTGGGAGGGAGGTCCCGGACGCCTCCCAGATCTCGGGCTTCTGTAACCCCGAGGCCGGGTTTTAAAATCACGGCTCTTCCGAGTTACACGAAGAGTCCGTGGTCAAGGGTCAAGGGCGGTCTTCGACCCTCGGGATCGTCTTCTTGAGAAATGGCTGAGAGCTAAGCCTAGAGCTGCCCAGGGAAGGAAGCCAAAGAGCTGGCGCCGAGCGCGGAGGGCTGGGAGGCGCGGGGAGGCCCCTTACCCGCCCCACTGTCCTGCCCGCCAATGACGCCGATGACAGTGACAGCGTCGGCCGAGTGCTTCCCCTGCTCCGGGTCGGCCAGGCACCGGGTCCTCCTTCAGCACTCGCAGCACGCACTGAAGAAGACGCTACGGAACTCTCCGTTTTCCAGACTCGGGGGAATTAGGAAACTCGCCCGGCGACCCTCGCGCAGTAGCACCGGGCCAGGTTTGCTTTCGGAACCGCTGACTGCACTCGCCGCCTTTCCCGCCTGGGCCTCTCGCGGGTCGCAGGGGTGGAAGCCCGACCTGGGCCAGGGCCCGGATTTCTTCCTCCCGGCCTCTGCGCCACCGCCCCCGGTGCAGGACGCGCTTTGCTCTCGCCGAGACCCAGACGCGCTGAAAGCCTCGCGCGGGCAGTTCCCCGCCCCACGCCCCGGGCTGCGCGTTCTCCCGCAAAGCCTCTGCCGAGTGCGCGCAACGGCGCCGCCGGACTCCCCGGGACCGCGCTCCCGCGCACGCCTGACCGGAGCACCCCGCTTCACGGGGGCGTTCTGCGCGTCCTTCCTCCCCGGTGCGATTTCCATTCTTTTTCCTCTCGCGGTCCCCAGGAGCCCAGGCACCCCTCGACTCCCCGGGACTCCCTGCGGGCCCGAAGCCGCCTTCCCGAGGCGGCGGAGTTGGGCAGCTCCGGGCCCCGCGCCGCCCCGCAGAGCCGGAGTTTCTCTCCGGAGTCTGGATACAGCTCTCCGCTTCGTCGCCGCGCACTGGACCCCGGTAGCGTGGAGCCTGCCCGGGAAGCTGGGCTGCGCCGGCCTGGGGCGAAGGTCCAAGGGGCGCGGGGGCCGGGACGCGGGGCTGTGGCAACGACCGGCCCTCTGCGAACGCTCGGGCCGGCGGGTCCGGGGCCACAGGCTGGGAGTGGAGCTGGCGGCCACTGGGGAGTAGAGAGGACGCCCAGGAACAGGTGCACCAGGGTCCCGGCGGCTGGGCCGAGGGTCGCAAGCAGAGGGGACCGGCGGCTGCCAGCAAGTCCCAAGCAGATGCCTCTGGCGGGGCAGCCGCATTCTACAGCGCCCATTCCGCGTACATCGAGTATCCAAAATGAGTAAAATCGGTTTATACGTTGGAATGTAGCTTATGATTCCAAAATCTCATCTCCAGGCTGCCTAGATCACACGGCCCCGTTTCATTCATTTTTACTTAATAACGGTCGTTGGACAATTTAGAGAAGCAGCAGAAACCACGAGAAAAACAGTGGAGTCAAACGGCGGTAAGGACTGACAAGGCTGGCGGGGACATTGAGCAAACGGCGGCTTCTGAGTTGGCACCAGTCCTTCACCACGTTGTGTGGGAAGTGTGGGGAGTCAGGATTCCCACTCCTCCCCAGCCTTCCGGAAAAATGCTCGGAAATTTCCTTCCACATTGACACCTGATTACAGTCTACATAGTAACCTTATTCTGATCGTTAATGTAACCTTCTCGTAATCTCTACAAAAATACTTTAGTTTTTCTAGCTGTGTTTTCATGTAATCACTGAAATTATTTTTAATTGGTTTTAAGCATTCATTGATTCCATATACACCACCTGCAAAAAAGTTACATAGGTGATCGCTAACAATACTAGAATTCGCCCCATCCAAAGGAAACATTAGAGTAGAAAAAGAAAAAGGATTTGAGAATCCAGTATGAAATTCAGTTAATCATTACTTCCCTGTTACTCAACTACCTTAACATTGTCAGGTTTACCTGAACATAAACTTCATTTTCTTAATTGTTCTTAGAACGAAGGGATATGTTTATTGAAATCAGTAATTAAGAATATTTTGGGACAGTTATGATTTACTTAGCCAGTGAAGCAGTTTCTATTCCCAAATCCAGGCAAAGAGAACAATAAGATTAAACGTAGCCTAAGAGATTTCCTTTTTGTCAAATAATGTGATTTTGCTATGTATAGAGGAGATGTCTATATGTAAGGGCATATTTATGACCAGTAGTTCCTAAAATTAAGGGGACTATTATTGTGTTACTCAAGGTATCAGTTGTATAGGATACATTATGTCATATTTCAAACAATGTTTATAAAGAGATTAGTATAATTAACCTGTATGTACTTCTCCTCTGGGCCAACCTTGTGTCTTCTTTGTCTGCTGACAGTCCCCTCCCCACTGAATTATTTTGAATCAAATCCCAGATAGTCTATCATTGTATTGTATTTTTGAATATTTCTCTAATAGATAATAATTCCATCAATGAGACTGGGTGCAGTGGCTCCTCCCTGTAATCCCAGCTCTTTGGGAGGCAGAGGTTGGAGGATCACTTTAGGCCAGGAGTTCAAGACCACCCTGAGCAACATAGCAAGACCCCATTTATAAAAAAGAATATTCCCATCAACGTAACCACAATACCATTATCACACCTAAATAATCCATTAATAGCATCGGTTTATCCAGGCAATATTTAAATATCTTCAATTGTCTAAAAACTTTTTGTTTAGTTGGTCGGTTTGAATTAGAATGCTAATAAGGGTTACGTATTGTGTTTGGTTGATATGGGCTATTATATCTCTTTTAGATTTCCTCAATCCTCTTTTTTTGTTTCCCTTGCATTTTTTATGGGAGAAACTGAACTGTTTGTTCTGAAGAAGCTGACATTCTGGACTTTGTAGCTGCAGGTAATAGTTTTTTGGCAAGATATTCCCAGGGATAAGGTCGTTTATTCAGACTTTTGAATATTGGCAAATAATAATATTGTTTGTAGAGGGAGAAGGATTAGTCAAGATATTTTGAAGAATCAACTATTGAAAAAACAAATTTTTATCAGAGTAAGCATGGATCTGGTAAAGATTATGTGAAATTTTCCTAAGTGCAAATACAATCTAAAATTGTAATGTCTTACAATTAAAAAATAGATTATTTTCCATATATTTATAGAAATATAAATGATCAATCAACTATTTCATTGACAATTTTAAATCTAGTTTTATCTTGAGGAGAATAAAGTTTTTTATATCTTTAGTATTTTAGTTGAAGATCCAAAGACATTTTATGTTAAAACTTTAGGTTTTATATTGTTTTGTGTTTTAAAACATAAAATCTAAAATGTGGTAATATCCATGAGGTGCAGAGAGAGTAATAGCACAAATTCTGTGTTCATGAAAATTCATTTTAGGATAACTTAATTAAAAGGACTCAGGATTTGAATGATATTAGATTAGACAGAAAAAAGTTCACTTGAGTGTAAGACATAAGTAATAAAAACCAAAGGTAGCTAACTTTTGTAGGCTTCTTTTTCTTTAACGAGTATGCATATGAAATAAAATTTCCATGTCCATGTCCATTTTTCCAAGGTACATAGGGCTTCTATAATTTCGTCTATTTCATCCTGCAGTTATTTTCACGGGTCTCTGTGTCCACCACTATCTGGAATCTCTGAGATGGTGAAAACGAAATCTTATTCTTCTTTATATTTCAAACAATTCCTAGCACATTATCAAAAATACCTGATAAAATTTATTGTGTCTGTAATACTGGTAAGCATGTAAAAGGGTGGTAAATATATAGGCTTTAAGTTTAGATAGATCTAAATATTATTAAAATTACCAAATTATTGTTTTTAAAAAGCATTAGTTTCCTAGGACAAATAGAGATTTTTAGATAAGGCTGGATTTGTAATACTTTAAGCAACAGGTCACAGTGCTTAAGTATTTAATGCCGATTTGGCAAGCAGCTGATGTTTTATATAATGCTGTCGGGTATTTTATATTTGCGTGTATTTTCTGATGCACTGGATCCAGCACTTCATGTCACGTCATATATCTGTTTATAATGTATACAAATGTATTTTCATATATATTTGATGTTTGATGGCTTTGAAACTTTAATCTTGAAATAGATTTTAAATTTTTATTAAAACTATTTAAATAATTACTGTAAGGAAAGAGCTCTTATTAGTTGAAAGAAAATGTAGATTCATGTTTCCTTGGAGACTAGTCTAGTTTCCAAGGATAGACGGCAGTGAGGAGTTGGGTATCTAGATGGAATTTCTGTTGGTTTGGATTCCAGCTCTGCTGCTTACCAGCTTTGTGACCTCAGGCAAACAACTTAACCTCTCCAAGCCTCAATTTCCCCATCTATATAATGGTGATATTTATAAGTTTCACCTTATAGGGCCATGGTGGGGATCACATGAAATAGTGTATGTGAAGTGCTTAGTACAGTGCCTGGCACATACTCAATGCTCTATGCATGTCAGCTAGTACTTAATGATGCTAATAAACATGTTATGTCCCTAAGCACGGGTGGGATCTTGCCTGACGTCCTTCTCTCTGCGTCCTGGTCAGTCTTCACATGGTGGGCATCCTTTATTTCCGGTCACACACGGGTGGTACACAGAGCGTGCTGTTTCTTCCCTGCCAGAAGGTTCCTGCTGCAGCTCTCCTGCTAGTTTAGCTTAGCCTTCTGGTTTGAGGGATGAGTCACATGTACCATCACTTCCCAGGACCAACAGGACCTTTCAGGAAAGCTATCCCTGCTTACACAGAGAATTGCCCTTGCCTAACACTGAAGCCTGGCAGAGTAACATGAAATAACCACAGCAATTCTAAAATTAGAATTAGCACGCCTAGAATAACAGGTATAACCTTCTCTTGTACTTTATCACTTGCTTCATTTCTGCTCAGCCTAATTTTCACTTGATGTGTAGATTTATTTTTTGTTCACCCATCCAGAAAATGTTGACTGAGGAATTACTCTGTGTTAGGCGCTGTTGTAGGAGCAAGGGATACAATGATGATCAAGGCAGATGCAGCCCTTACCTTCAGGTCGTGGAGTCCGGATACAGACTGGAGGCAGGCAGCTGTAAGATGTGTGACAAATGCTGCGCTGGATCAGCCCATGGTATTAGGAGAGCAGGTAAGGGAGGGTGGGGACGGGAGCGGACAACCTGGAGGAAGAGGCACCTAAGCAGAGTCCGGAAGGCTGAGGAGGAGTCAGCAGGTGAAAGAGAGGGGAATCATGACATGCCACCTCAACTGTAGGGCACGGCTAGCTGGCTGACTTAGCTGCTGTAACACCGGATTTTTGCAAGACTCCCTGAGTATTTCTCGTGGACTTGCGAACAAATCTGAGCAAGAAAACCACGTAATTTCTTTTATGCCCTGCCCAAGAAAGCCACCTGGAGGGGCAAGGGGACCTTAGCAGAAAGAAGCTGGAGGTGGGGGGAGAGCAGGGTGATGTTACTCTCCATATGGTGGGGGGTGGACACCTCCCTGTCACATGGCTCGTAATATCCAGCGGGGGAGAGGGGGCTGACTTTCCCCTACGTTGTTGGTAATATCACCCCCCTCTCTCCCGCTAAATATTAAGTACAATATCACAGGTGGGGCGTACACCCCCGGCGATGTTTGAAGTAATATCAACTTCTCCCCCTCTGGATGTTAGAAACAATATCACAGGGGGGTGTACACCCCCCTGCGATCCTGGGAGTAACATCATCCTCTTTCCCCCGGATATTAGGAACAATATCACAGAAGGTGTTTACAACTTTTGCAATGTTGGGAGTAATATCATCCTCTCTCACCCTAGATATTCAGAACAACATCACATGGGAATTGTACCCTTCTGTTTATTGAGAGTAATATCATCCTCTCCCTTTCTGTATATTAGAAACAATATCACAGAGGGCTGTGTACACCCCCAGGAATGCTTTGAGTAATATTATCCTCTCTCTGCCTGGATATTTGGAACAATATGACAGGAGTTGTGTACACCCACTGTGATATTTGGTTTAATATCAACCTCTATCCCCTGGATATTGGGAGTAATATCCATCTTTAGCCCCTGGATACTAGGGACAATATCACAGGAGGGGTGTATACACACGGCGCTATTGGGAGTAATATCATTTTCTCCACCCCCTGATATTAGGTACAATATAACAGTGGGGACGTGCACCCCCTGGGATATTGGGAGTAATATTAATCCCTTCCCCTGTGGATGTTAGGAACAATATCACAGAAGGGGTGTATACCCCCAGCGATATTGGGAGTAAGATCATCCTCTCCCAACTTGGATATTAGGAACAATATCACAGGGGAAGTGTATAACCCCTGCGATATTGTGAGTAATATCATCCTCTCCCAAAAGGGAGATTAGGAACAATATCACAAGAAAGGTGTACACCTCTTCTGATATTTGTGGTAATATCATCTCCTCCCCTCATTGATATTAGGAACGATATCACAAGGTGTGTACAGCCCCTGCGATATTGGGAGTAATATTATTCTCTCTTCCCCTGGATATTAGAAATAATATCACAGGCGGAGTGTACAGCCAACCCCCTGCGATATTGGGGGTAATATCATCCTCTTTTAAACTGGATATTAGGAACAATATCACAGGGGGCTTGTACACTTCTTTTGATACTGGGAGTAATATCATCCTCTCCACAAGTAAATAGTAGGAAAAATATCAAAGAAGGTGTGTACACCGCTTGTGATATTGGGAGTAATATCATCCTACCTCACCTGGATATTAGAAAAAATATCGGGGGGCGTTTACACCACCTGCGATATTGGGAGTAATATGATTTTCTACCCCAGTGGATATTTAGAACAATATCACAGGGGCAGTGTACACCCTCTGAGACATTGCGAGTAATATCGTTCTCACCCCGCCGCCCCCACCCCAGATGTTAGGAACAATATAACAGGCAGATTATACACCTGCCGCAACATTGAAAGTAATATCATCCTTTTCCCCCTGGATATTAGGAACAATATCTTATGGGGGGTTTACAGCCCATTCCATTTTGGGAGTAATAGCAACTTCTTCATTGCTGGAAATAAGAAACAACATAGCAGTTCTGGTGTACACACCCTGTGATATGGGCAGTAATATCATAGACTCTCCCCCGGCGTATTAGGAACAATATCAAAAAGGGGTGTATACCCACAGCGATTTTGGGATTAATATCATACTCTCCCCCCTGGATATTAGGAACCATATCAAAGAAGGAGTGTCTACCCCTTGCGATAGTGACAGTAATATCATCCTCTCCCTCCCTGGATATTAAGAACAATAAAACAGAATTGGTGTACACCCCCTGCGATATTGGGGGTAATATCTTCCCCTCCCCCGCTGGCTATTAGGGACAGTGTCACAGAAGGGGTGTCCACTCCCTGCTATATTGGGAGTGAGATCTTCCTCTCCGTCCCTGGATATTAGGAACAATATCCCTAGGGAGTGTACACCTCCTGCAATAGTGAGACTAACATCATCCTCTCGCCCCCTGGATATTAGGATCAATATCTCAGGGGTGGTGTACATCCCCTGCGAAACTGGAAGAAATATCATCCTCTCCACCTTTGGACGTTAGGGACAGTATCACGGGGGAGGTCTACGCCCCCTGCGACATTGGGAGTCATATCATCCGCTCCCACCCAGGATATTAGGAAAAAAGATGACCGAAGGGGTGTATACCCACTGCGATATTTTTCATAATGTCATCCTCTACTCCCTGGCAATTACGAATAACATCATAGAGGGGTGTACACTTTCTGTGATATTGGGAGTAACATCCTCTACCCCTCGGATATCGGGAACAATTATATTAAGTATTAATATTCATAAATATAATAACAATTAATAGAAATCATCGATATAAATAATTACTATAAAGATAGTAAAAGTTAATACGGATTAAAAATATTAATGGTTACTATTAATAATAGCAACCTCACTATTAATTATAACAATATCGGTAATTAATGTTACTTAATTAAATCAATACGTGATGTTGGTAATAAAACAATAATTAAGATTAATAACTAATATTGAAAAATGACAATACTAATAATTAATTTTAATCATGCATAATCATATTTAAAAATCATTAATGATTAGTAAAGTTATACTATTAATATTACCATTGATAATTATTAAGACTGATGTTTAATAATTAGTAATATTATTAAGACTGATGCTTAATAATTAATCATATTATTTCTCCTAATACCGTAGGGGGTGTACACCTACCTGTGATATTGTTCCTAATATCCAGGGATGGAGAGCATGATATTAGTTTTAATATCTCAGTAGGTGTACACTCACCCTGTGACACTGATCCTAATATCCAGGGAGTAGAGTATGACATGACTCCCAACATAGCAATGAATGTACAGCCACCCGGTGATATTGCTCCTAATATTCACGGAAGAAGCGTAGGATATTACTTCCAAAATCGCAGGGAGTGTACACCTCTTCTGTGATATTGTTCCTGGTATCCCGAGGGGGAGAGGATGATAATAATTCCAGTATCGCAGGCTGTGATCACCCACCCTGTGATATTGTTATTAACATCCTGAAAGGGAGAGGATGATATTACTCCCCGTAATAGATAGATATTACTCCCCATAACAGCGCAGGAGGTGTACACCCACCCTGTGATATTGTTCCTAATATTCAGAGGCCGAGAGGTCGATATTACTCTCAATATGGCAGGAAGTGTACACCCCCGTGTGAGATGGTCCTTAATAATATTCCAAGGCGGAGGGGGAGATATTACTCCCAATATCGCAGAAAGTGTACCCCCCCAGGGATATTGTTCTCATGATCCTGGAGGGAAGAGGATGATATTAGTTTAAATATGACAGAAGGTGTACACGCCCCCACTGATACTGTTTCTAATTTCAGTGTGGGAGAGGAGGATATGACACCCAATATCGCAGGGAGTAGAAACACACCTGTGATACGGTTCTTAATATTCAGGGTGGAAGAGGATGATATTACTCCCAATACAGACGGGTGTACAACCTCTGCACACCGAGGGTGTACACCCATCTGTCAAACAGCACATAATTTCCAGAGGGGGAGATATTACCCCCAATATAGTAAACAGGCTGTGAGTCCACCGTGGATCGTAATCACTCGCGGGGGAGAGGAGGTGGCTCTTACTCCCCATATCGCGGGGGGTGCCTCCACCCCTTCCGATGGGGGTCCCAAGACCCAGGGAGGGGAGAGGGGCTGGCTCTCAGTCTCCGCCTCGCGAGGTACCTCCCCACCTTGCGATCGGGGTCCCAAGAGCCAGGGGGGAAGAGGGGCTGGCTCTCTTTGTGGATGATTCTTTTTCCATTCTCAGGCAGTTTTCTTTTTTCTTTCTTTTTTTTTTTTTGGAGGCTGAGTCTTGCTCTGTTGCCCATGCTTTGCTGGATCTCGGGTGACTGCAACCACTGCCTCCCAGGTTCAAGAGATTCTCCTGCCTCAGCCTCCTGAGTAGCTGGGACTAGAGGCGTGTGTCACCACACCCAGCTAAGTTTTGTATTTTTAGTAGAGATGGGGTTTCACCATGTTTGCCAGGATGGTCTCTATCTCCTGACCTTGTGATCCACCCACCTCAGCCTCCCAAAGTGCTGGGATTGCAGGTGGGAGCCACCGGGTCCAGCCTCTCCGGCGATTTTCATACCTGCATACTCTGATCACTACTCTGTTAAACAGTCAAGGAGGGTAAGTATTATCTTCAGATTTCCAGAGCTCTGTCTCTGTACAGCCCTCTCCTCCTCAATATTCTGCCCTATGAATTCTAGCCACATTGGCCTTCCCAGACTCACAGTTCTGTCTTCTCAACTCAGGAAGATCTCTGAGCTCCATCTGCATTCTTTCTTCCTGTGCTGTGGCCTGGAAAGTTTTCTAAGGTGTTTGGGAGGTCAATTGTGGGGCTAGCCTCATTTGTTTCTCATCTCTTGAGGATCACTGCCCTTTGATGCTTGATTCCAGTGATTGATTCCCTTTGTTGCTTGAGGGCCATAGTTTCATATATTTTGTCCAGTATTTTTGTTGTTTTAGGTCAGAAAGTAATTTTGGTCTCTGTTACTCCATCTTGGCCAGAAGTGTAAGACCTAAGCATTTACACATCAAAATACTGCACACATAATTTTAGTTTAAGCTACCTTTAAAAAAATCTGCTTCATTTTCCATTAAGCATTCTATTTAGGGTATTACATTGGTTTTTTTGAAATTCTGTTATTGGCAGTTTCTATTGCCTATCAATCCCATTTAAAGATAGTGCATAGGGTATTCTAAAATAGCTGTTAAGCAAAGAGAAAATTGGGCCTGATAGGGTGAGAATCACAGCTCTAATACCTAGAGTGACCTTATAATGTATTGTCCAAAGGAGATATTTTTGACAGTGAAAGAGGGTGTTGTTAGTAATTATATCAGGACCATGGCCTAAACCAGGACTATCCCAGGCAGCCTGGGACATATTTGTACCCCATCTCTATTTAATGCCTTTATACAATTCTTTACTTAATTCTACCAGCCTTTATTGAGCCTGCTTTCTTTGTCTAGCTGAGTGCCACGTGCTGACGTCACTAAGATCAATACAGCAAACTCTGAAAGATGGACAGAGAGACAGGAGATGGTCCTTTATAATGCAGTGTGATCTGTGCTGCAATAGAGGTGAGCACAGGGGCCTTACGAAGGCTCAGTGAAGAGCATGCTTGACTGCAGGGGAGGGTGCTTAGGTTAGAAAAGATGAGTCGAAGTATGTTCATAGGGAGCATGGGATGAGAGGTGGTGGGAAAGGTATTCCAGACAGTGTGTGTCAAGGCCAAGAGCCAGGGGAACACAGGTAGGGCTTTTTTTTTTTCTTCTAAGATGGAAGAGTGTTCTGATCAGCTGGAAAACAACGCACATGGGAAGCTGTACAGAAATGAGTGGGGAAAGGTAATACTTAACAGCAACAACAGTTAATATTTAGTGCCCACTTACGACATGCTGGACACAGTTCCGGGTGCTCTGAACATATTCGCTCATTTAATCTTTACAACAACCCTATGAGGTAGGTACTATGATTATCCCCATTTTCAGGTGAGGAATCTGAGGCACAGAGAGAGTAAGTATGTTGCCCAGGGCCACGCACCAAGTATGTGGTAGGTCCTGGAGTTGAATGCAGAGCCCCTCCACTCTAAACTCCTGAAAGCCAGATGCTACAAGGCGTTGTTATTCCAAGTGGAGGAATGCTAAGGGCATCATCCTGCAGGTGACCAGGAAACCCTGAAGCATTCGAAGCAGGGGAATGGCTTAAAACAAGGTGGTATAAGAAAGTGCTCCCAGAGCAGCATGAAAGTCTGGTGTAGTGGAGGTCTCCGCTAGCCACAAGAGGTGGTAAGAGGCTGAGCTGAAGCAGCTGCAGCAGGGATGCAGAGGATACATTCCCCAAACCATAATGGGCAGAGTCCTTTGGCTTCAGTGACCACAGCCAAGGGTGCAGAGGAGAAGCCCAAGAAGATGCCAGGTGTCTGGCTTATGCCCCTGTGTGAACGTGAAGCCTCTCATTGACATGCAGGTTACAGGAGGAAAAGCAGGTTTATTTGGGAAGGAGGCTTCTAGACCATGACTTCCATTTTAGCCATGTAGTTTTTGAAGTGCTTGTACAAGTTCTAGGTGGAAATGTCCAGGAGGCAGTGGGGAACTCAAAGTAGATCTCAGGAGAGAGGCTTAGGCCAGAGGGCTTGGGGAATCATCAGCATGGGGGTGGGAGGAGAGCTGGTATTTGGATGAGATTGCAGTGGAGCATGAACAGAGTGGGAAAAGGTGGTGATGAACCCAGGGACTCCAGTATGCGGTAGCTGGCTGTGAGATTAGGAAGCAATGAAGGAGGCCGAGAAGGATGTCGGGGAGAAGCATCAATAAGGAATAAATGAGTTGCACGTGCTCCAGAGAGGCCAAATAAAGACTGGATTTGGCTCTCGCGGGTCATACACGAAAGAATCTTGGAACCAAAAGGAAAACGGTGGTGGTTTCAAGGGTATATTCTGTTTCTAGGTCTGCTGTCACAAAATACCAGAAACTGGGTGTCTTGTTAAAACAACAGACATTTTTTCTCTCACAGTTTTGGAAGCTAGAAGTTCAAAACGAGGTGTTGGCAGCACCATGCTCTCTCTGAAGATGCTAGGAAGAATCTGCTCCATGCCTTTCCATTCGCTCCTGGGGTTTCCTGCAAGCCCTGACATTCCTTGGCTTGTAGATACACCACCCCAGTTTCCGCCCCCATCATCACATGGCCTCCTCTCTGTGGGTGCCTCTGCGTTCCCTCTATTCTTCTTCTAAGGACACCGACACCAGTCATAGTGGATTAAGGGTCCACTCCTAACTAATTACATCTGCAACCACCCTATTTCCAAATAAAGTCACATTCTAAGATTCCTAGGGAGAACATGAAGTTTTGGGGGTGTGTGGATACTGTTCAACCTGGGACATGGAGTAAATAAATGGCAAGAAAGATTACAGATGACTTTAAGCTAAAGAGGGAGATAGGGTTAAATGTAGGACTTTTTTTTTTTTCCAGGACGGGAGAGGTTTAAACATGTTACTACATTGAATAAATGAAATAACCATGGACATGGAGTGGCTAAAGATTCTGAACTAAGTGCAAATAGTTGATAGCGCAAGCTCCCAAGGGGCTGGGGCCTGGAGCGCAGATGGATGGATCCACTGTGGGCAGAACTGGGCCGTGGGAGGGGTGTGCCGATGCAGATGTGTTTGAGTGTGGGGGGCCAGAAGCTGACTGGGGCGAAGCGTGACAGTGCAGCTCCAAGCACGCTGGAGGTGTTCACCAAGCAACTCAAGAGCAGATGGCAGAACGAGCAGCTGAAATAACAGCTTGTGAAATCAACCCTACTTTGTGGGGAGAGGATTGGTTAAGGATTCTAGCCATGAGAACCAAGAAGAGGAGGATAATCTGTTCATGCCTATTATGGGGCTTTGGGGGAGCAGTTTCAGCCTCAACCTGGAGAATGTTTTAGAAGGCCAGAGAAAGGAACCCTGCAAATCATGTGAGCTGGCCCCTCACTTTCAGATGAAGTGTCCATACAGCAGTAACGCCACCCTCTGTAGTGGTTCTAGAGTGTGGCAATCTGGAGGGGTCATTATGGAAAAGGGCTGAAGCATAAGAATGTAGGCCCAATACTGAGATAGAAAGAGGATTCTCTGAGATGACTTAGGCAGGGTGATGGTGGTGGAGGTGGGTGTAAGAAGCCCTCTGCTGCCTCAGTCCGAGCATGGAGTTCAATTGGTCAAGAGCAGAGCCAATCACCATTTAGGCCCTCTTGTTAGCCTTAATTTATTCCTCGGGTATGGAGAAGACTCCTCAAGATGCATTCAGAGTGCAAGCTCCCTCTTCCGCAGCAGAGGACTGCCCTGCAGGTTTGCAGTTCTGTCATTTGGAAACTCCCTGATGTGTCCCTTGGCTCTTCCCATTCTTTTGCTTCAACACATTTTAAGACCAGGCACCTTAACTGCAGAAACAGCATGAAAAACAAGTAGGTTTCAGGAAAAATTATCCCAAGTGGAGTCTCTACTGTGCTCTGTTTATCAGATGTAAAGCTTAAAACAGTGTAAGAGTTTTTACAGAGTGTATTCATATCACACCAGTTTTGGGTCCATAGACCGGGGCTTTTTCTAGATCAAACCGTTCAATTGTCCTGTTGATCCTGGCCTACAATCTGAGTGGATAAAAAATATTTTAGGAGAGATGAGATTCTAACCCTCAATGGCAAAAAGCAGGGCTGAGCCCTAAGCCCACGTTTTTACACATATTTTACAATTGAATGTGTTGCACTACCGCTAGAACACTAGTTCTCAACCAGGGGCGATTTTGCTTTCCAGGGGACATTGGCAATGTCTGGAGACATTTTTTTTTCCATTTTCAAAAATTGTGGCAAAGCACATAACATAAAATTAGCCATCTGAACCATTTTCATGTGTATAGTTCAGTGGCACTAAGCACCTTCACACTGATGTGCAACCATCACCACCATCCATCCATAGAACTCTTTTCATTTTGCAAAACTGTAACTCTGTACCCATTAAACACTAACTCGCCATTTCTCTCTTCTCCCAGCCCCTGACAACCATCATTTGACTTTCTGTCTCCATGATTTTGACTACTCTAGGTACCTCAAATAAGTGGAATCATACTGTTGAGGGATTTTTGATGGTCACAACTTGGGATGGGGTGCTGCTGGTGTCTAGTGGGTAAAGGCTAGGGAGGCCACTTAACATCCTGCAATGCACAGGATGGTCCCCACAAGAAAGCAATAACTAACCCCAAACGTCAATCCTACCAAAATTGAGAAACTCTGAGCTAGAAAAATCCCATGAGTAATCTTACACCATGGAGTATCAGTCAATAGAGACTAGTTATGTTGCAATAAGAAACCACCTCCAAATTTCTGTGGTTTAAAACAACTTATATTTTTGCTCTAACATGGAGCATCCTTAATCAGCAATCCAGGCTGGTGGGAGTTCCATCCTGACCTGGGCTTCTACGATGACTGAAGCAGAAAAAGGATCAGTGATAAATTGTGCACTGGCTTTTAAAGCTCCCATTGGAAGTGTCCAGGTCATTTTCGGTCACACTTTCTTGGCCAGATCAAATCACAGGTCCACATCTCACTTCAAAGGGAGGAAGGAAGTGCATTTTTACTCTGAGGAAATACAACCACCACACCTAGCAATTAAAAATAAACCTCATAGTGTTATCACCTGCTTGAAGTGCTGATATCAGAGCAAGCCTACCAGTAGGAGTGGTGCAGGCTGCAGGTTTTTGGTTTGGTTTTCTTTTGTTTTGTTTTGTTTTTGGAGACTGCACTCCAGCCTTAGTCTGTCATGCAGGCTGGAGTACAGTGGTGTCATCACAGCTTATTGCAGCCTTGACCTCCCCACACAAGCGATCCTCCCACTTCAGCCTCCTGAATAGTTGAGACTACAGGCCCGTGCCACCACGCCTGGTTAATTTTTTGTATTTTTTTGTAGAGATGGGGTTTCACTATGTTGCCTAGACTGGTCTTGAACTCCTGGATGCAAGTGATCCACTTGCCTCGGCCTCCCAAAGTGCTGGGATTACAGGCGTGAGCCACCATGCCTGGCCTAGAAGCTCATTCTTATTGGCCAGAAGCTAGAGAGTGATCTAAAGACTCCAAGCCAGGCCAGACTGGTTTCAAGCCTTAGGGCTAGTGTATTAATGAATGAGGTTCGAGCTTCTATGGCATGGGAACTGAGGGGCACCACAACACTCAGCTTACTCAAGGGACCAATTCTAGCAGCCTTCGAAGGAGTCTGAAAAAGGTAGCCTTGAATTAGTTTCCGGGTGAAAAATATTTGTCCCAATTGAAGCAAGTACTACTAGTGACTGCCTCTGCTATGGAAGCAGGGGTTACCTGCTTACCTGTGAGCAATAGGATTTCTTGGGGTTGATTTTGCAGGAACATGTACCTCCATGTGGCCAAACAAGCAGGGTTGCTTAGATTTGCACCACAGGATATTAAAGTGGAAAGGAATCTTAAACATCTAATTGAGGGATGGCAAATTGGGTTCATTGTAAGGGTCACCTCTGACCCTTTGGTTGTGGCTGCTAGGAGCACTGGGTGGGAAGAATTCCGTAGTTTTTTCCAGAGAGAGACAGCCATGCTTCATTAGAGAGTCTAGTGGGCATGGAAGGGAGGGGGTGAGTTGTTGTGCCTGTAACAGGATTTTGCCATCCCTAGTTCTAATCCAACACTTTGAGAGCTGAGGCTCAGCTCCACGAGTGATTTATAGAGGTCCTTCCTTTATTGCTTTTATGTCACCACATCTAGAATTAGGTCTTCTGCTTCCAAGAAAGTCAGCTGCCTCATTACCATGTAGCATAGTTAGATTCCCCATTTCACGTAGAAAATAAATATTTATTGAGGGCTGGCCAAGTGCAGTGGCTCACGCCTGTAATCCCCGCATTTTGGGAGGCCAAGGTGGATGGATCATTTGAGGTCAGGAGTTCGAGACCAGCCTGGCCAACATGGTGAAACCCTGTTTCTACTAAAAATACAAAAATTAGCCAGAAATCCCTTGAACCCAGGAGACGGAGGGTGCAGTGAGCCAAGACTGCACCACTGCACTCCAGCCTGGGCGGAAGAGAGAGATTCCGCCTCAAAAAATAAAATAAATAAATAAATAAATTCACAAAAATATTTATTGAGGGCCCACTTGGTTTTTAGCACTGAACTAGGAGCCGAACATAGAGCAGTGAATGAATAGGCCAAGTCCCTGCTCTTCTTGGCCTTACATTTTGGGGGAGGAGACAGATTAGTAATTATTAGGAGAATTATTAGTAATTATTAGGAGAAAGCAGGAAATTTCTGCTTTCATGGGTGGGATACCAGAAGGTAAATCATTATGAAAGGATATTGTGGGACAAGTTTCTATAGCATAGATGTATTTTAGGATGATTGGGGCTGTGTGTTGTGAGCACGGGATCTCTGAGGCAGTCAAAGGGCACCAGGAACCTCATCTCTTAAGACGTGCATGCACCGTAGGCTGCCGTTTGTGTCCCTCACTCTGGCCAAGCTCCCTTCTTCATCATGGCCTTTGCACTTGCTGTTCTCTGTCTGGGGAAGAATGCTCTTTCCCTAGAGATCCAAATGGCTCACTCCTTCAGTGTCTTCAAATCTCTGTCAAATATCACCTAAACAGAGAGGCTTTCCCTGGCCTCTAGAGGACAAAGTAGCACATTTTCTCACCCACTTACCCTGCTCATCCTTCTTTATAGCACCCCTCACCACCTGCTGTATTATTTGTTTATCATTCAGCTTTCTCTCTAAAATGGAAGATCTATGAGAACAAGAACCTGTCTGCTCATTGAGGTGTTCCTCTAGAAAAATGTCTGGCCCATAGCAGGTGCTTAATCAACAATTTGTGAAGGAAAAGTGGAGGAAAAAAAGATAGGAGAAAGCAAACTCATGAAGAAGAGTGCTTGGGTGGGGTGGGAGGAGAAGAGGGCAATGGATCCAGGCCCTACAGGGATTCACTGTTCAAGCAGAAAGTCCAGGGAAAGCCACATGGCCTCCTTCAATCGGATGAGCTGGAGCTGCTGACATCCCCTGCAACCTGGGAGCCAGTGCATGCAATGCTCCAGCTGGGTCTAAGGACAGAAGGAGGCTAATGAACAGCCACCTTCGGAGCAACAGGGTCACTTCAGTCCTCCCTGTTTACTTCCAAGCTGCTGAGAGTCTTATGCACATTTCCTCTTCTCACTTGCCTCTTCACATCCCTAGCTGCCGCAGGAATTTATGGCTTAATTAAAGTGGGAAGCAGGGTTTATACATGTTTATATAAAGTTATATTTTCCTCCACCTCTTTGTTGGAAGAAAACTCAAATGTTAAAATTCTTAGGAGCCCAGGAGTTCGAGACTAGCCTGGGAAACATTGCAACCCCATCTCTACAAAGAATAAAAAAATTAGCTGGGAGTGGTGGTCCCAGCTACTTGGGAGGCTGAGGCAGGAGAATCATTTGAGCCCAGGAGGTTGAGGCTGCAGTGAGCCATGTTAGTGCCATTGCACTCCAGCCTGGGTGACAGAGTGAGATCTTGTTTAAAAATAAAGAAAGAAAGAAACACCTAGAAAGGACACTAGAGATAAATCTAGTTCATGCTCCTTGTTTTCTATGGGAGGACACTGAGGTCCAGGGTCACACAACTCACAAATGGCCAGCCGACGGAAACCCTGTAAGAGGCAGAGTGTGAGGAAAAGGAAGGCACTTGTGATAACCCCACTGGTGGGCAGGAGCTAAGCCTCCATAGGTGGGGAAGGGAATTAACCCCAGGACACAGGCTCCAGTCTGGGGGCTTGAGATGCTCAGGGGACACCAGTTAGAACTAAGGCAGGAGGCCAAGGCAGAAGCTGTGCTCCTCTGCCTGGATGTATGAGGGCAGCAGAGGAAGAAGAGTTGGCAAAGCAGCCCAGAAACACATGAAGAGGAGGAGTGAATGTAAGTAGAGCATGCCAGAGATGGCAGATCAAGGCAGGGAGTTAAATTGAAGGAGGCGGCGGCCGCGGCCAAGGGTGCACAGTGATTCAAAGTTACAGTTGGTTATGGGCTGAGGAAACAGCTTTCTGTTTCACTGCTGTGAGAGGCAACCAGGTTGCAAGGAAAGGAGGCGAAGAGGGAGGCGTTAACATGGAGGAGTGAATGTAGACAGAACCTTCCAGATGTTGGCTGAAGATAGAAAGGAGAGGGAGGAGGGGTTGTGGAGGGAGAAAGAAGTTAAAGAGTATTTTTTTATATGGGGAGATATGGGAGTTTTGGGTTTTATTTTTGGCTTGTGAGAATGAGCTAATCTTGTATAAAGGGATTAAAGATTTTTTAAAAAATTTATCTCTGAGCCTTAGGTCTTTCAACTTTAAAACAAAGATAAAAAATCTATGTCTTTGGCTTATGAGGATTAAAATGTGAAAACACATTACTCCAGTGCCTGGCACATTATAAACACATAATACATGGTAGCTATTTTAAATATTTTATTATAAACTTATGTAGTGCTCATCTGGAGGCCTAGGAAAGTGTTATTGAAAGTATTTTAAATCTTAGTATCTTATATTTATCATTTATAGGGTATAGTAGATTAAGAAATACTTCACGTATTTTGAAAGATTGGGCTGGAAACATACCCGAAGAAGCATTCTTTTTATTTCTCATGTACATGTGGACATTATACATTTTAATTAAGTGTTATTATATGAGCCAAATTCCCTCCTCATGGGTGTTAGTAGGAGTTGACCTCGAAGAAGGGAGGATTTGGTTGTGGATTTATGACTCACATCTGCGAAAGGAGTAAGGGCGAATAAGAACAGGAAACTCTCTGATAAGCAATTTTACTATGTTTTCATTTTTATCTGAAACTCTGTAATCCAAGACTGGGGTAACTTTTCATATTTTTTAAAAATACTTTTTTATAGGCTGGAGTGATCTTGTGTAAGCAAGGATAAATCATAGACGTTAGAGAGACGTTTGTCTCTGTGCTGTTTGGTGCAAATTCCATGAAAAAGAGCCAAGGCAGGGGGTGGGGGTGGTTGTCAGGAAACCAAGGGATGAGATGTTTTTCTTTTTCAAAGATGACACCTGTGATGCCAACTAGTGAGCATGGGCGAACAGAGCGGAAAGGAATTCGTTACAGTCCTAAAGAGGGATAAATGCATCTGGTGTCAGATTAACTCCAGCGAACAGCCTCACTCAGTCCTAAATACTGACTCAAAAGCATGTTGATTTCAGTGTGAGAAACAGATGTGTAAAGGTGACTTCTCATGAAGTCAAATATAAAGCAACATGCCTAGGTCTTAAAATCATGATGTTGAGTGCAACTATAAGAAAAAAATGGGCTTACTGATATAATGTTATTATGTAATTTAAAGCCACATTTGTATATCAAACAACCTTGCCTATTTCTACAGAGATAGTTGTTTTTTCTTTTTTTTTTTTTCTTGTGACAGGGTCTCACTCTGTTGCCCAGCCTGGAGTGCAGTGGCGCCATCTCAGCTTACTGCAGTCTTGACCTCCCAGGCCCAAGTGATCCTCCTACCTCAGCCTCCCGAGTAGCTAGGATTACAGGCACAGGCCACCATACCTGGCTAAATTTTTTTGTTTTTTATTTTTAGTAAAGATGAAATCTTACTATGTTGCCCAGGCTGATCTCAAACTCCTGGGCTCAAGTGATAGACCCACCTCCATCTCCCAAAGTGCTGAGATTACAGCCACCGCGCCCCCGGCCAAGATATAAAGTTTAAGGACACATGTCAAACATACTAGAGAGGTTGCTGATGGGATAGGGAGGATGAGTGTGAGCATCACAGACGAGGGAAAAAGCAAAATGAGACAGCGGCTTTGCCCAGATGGACAATGAAAATGTGCTATGAGTTAAAGAGCATGATTTTTAAAAGGAGAGAAATCTTTTAGTCATTGGTCTTCTCTTTGTTCTGGCTTAATGAATCTGCTGCAAAGGCAAATAGCTTTCAGGCAAACTTGCTGTCCTAGTGGTAACATTGGCTTCAAGGACTCCTCGAGCGGTTTGGGATGGCTTCCTGAGGGTGACAAAGAGGAGCTGTGTTTTCAGCCAAATATCCGAACCAGGACCACTGCCTGCCGCCACGCCCCAGCGGGCACCCCTGCTTTGTGTTTATCTGTGGTGGCTCCGCTCGCCCACCTGGGTGGGAACCCCGAGAATGACTCCAGACTTTTCCAGGGACTGCATGCCAGGGTATTTTTACAATTTATGTGTAGACTTTGTTCGGGTGGAAAAGTTATTTTATGAAGACGAAACAAGCAATTGGGGTACCTACCTTATGGCATTTTTTACCTTGAGAGTGTTAAAAATACCCCTCCCCTAACCAAAACCCTGACAAATAGAGCCAGGGAAGGCCATGCAAAAAAGGATTCTTGGGCTTGTATGCCTGATAACAAAAAATTATCACAGAAGACTGCAAAAAACACAATCTTGCACAAAGCCCATTGCAACTTTGCACACAACAATGCTTCTGAAGGATATTTGCCCAACAACTGCCTGTCCAACCTGGGCCTGGCCTCACCTTTGTTATTGATCTTTGTAGCCAAGGATAATCATTTCCAAATGATCATATAATCTTCCTCATTTTTTCTTTTGTCTTCCTTTACCTCCGTGAATATGCATATAGTTTACTCTGGCTTGCCTATTTCTATTGCAAGGCTCTGTTTCCAAACGAATATCTTTTTCTTGTGGAGAGCCTCTCTCTGTTTGTTATTTAGGGTGACAAGAGAAATGTGAACATTTGAGAGCTCAGGTAAAAGGCCTTAGTCTATAGTGAAACTTTTTTGCACCCTTAGATGCTTACTTCCACTACAACTTGCAGGTGGGCCTTGAAAAGTTCTTGGAATAAGTTTGAGCTTCGATCTTGTCCGGTTCATTTAGCATAGATTCTCAAAATGTGGTCCCTGGACCCACAGCATTAGCATCGCCTGGAGATTGTTAGAAATGCAAATCATCGGGCCTCATTCCAGACCCTCAGCTGGAAACTCTAGGGGCATGGCCAGACCCTCTGTAGCTGAACAAGCCATCCAGGTGGTTTTGATGCAGCTAAAGTTCTGGAACAACTAATGTAGCCCCATTTGGAAAACTTGGCTGTACAGGCCTCCCTAGCTGGTAAGCTGCTAGCATTTTTTGTTTGTTTGTTTGTTTGTTTTGATACAGGGTCTTGCTCTGTTGACCAGACCGTGACCTCCTGGGTTCAAGCGAGGACTCAGCCTCCTGAGTAGCCGGGACTACAGGTATGTGCCACCACCATGCCCAACTACTTTTTGTATTTTTTTTTTGTAGGGATGGGGTTTTAGCCCGGGCTAGTCTCAAACTCCTGGACTCAAGCAATCTGCCCACTTTGGCCTCACGAAGTGCTGGGATTATAGGCATGAGCCACTGTGCCCGGCCCTGCCAGCTTTGTATAAGCTGAGGAGTTCTAAAAAATACCTAGACTCAGGGCAAACCCCAGACACTTAAATCAGATTCTCTGGGAGGTGAAGCCCAGGCACTGGTATTTTTAAAGTCTCTACAGATGGTTCTAATGTGCTGCTAAGTTAGAGAACTGCTGATCTAGACCAGGCCTTTTCAAACTTAATGTGCACGTGAATTACCTGGACCTTGTTAAAATGCAGATTCAGTCTGCATAGGCCTGGGGTGGAGCCTGAGCTTCTGCATTTTTAACAAGTCTCTAGAGGATGCTGCTGCATCTGGGCTGCTAACTACACTTGGAGATAGGAGGTTCTGGAGAGCAGAGGAAAGAGCATGAACCATAACCTAGGGGCTGGTAGTCCTGACTTCCAAGCCAAGGTTTGCCTTTATGTGGCTGGCAACTTGCTTGGACTCCTACCTCAATTCTTTGGGCCCAAGGTTTGTCCTGCCTCAGAAGGATGTCAAGAAAATTGAGTGAGTAATGCAGAATTGTTTCTTAAAGTGTGTGCAGATGCTCCATGAATTTAGAGAGTATGTGGATGCACATTACTAAATTTTAATAGTTGTGAACATGTTGTTATGAGTACTTAGAACAAGTAATAATGGCTTTTGATGTATAGCAGTAAGAAAGCTTCCTTTTAAAAGACATGTATTTAAGTTTCAAAAGTGGGGCTATTTAAAAATATATGAAATAAATAATAGTAGAGGTAATTGACAGAGCAAAATTATGAAGGCAGGATGAGAATGACTCAACTTTGGGAAATGCTGAGAAAGCAGATGCCCAAGGGCTATGAAAACTTAAAAAATAGGTAGCACTTGATTTTGATTGGCTGAATGAGATGATGTGTTTGATCATTTATGGGGTTGGCATTTGGCAACATGCACTGGGCGGCTGGGATCACTGTTTATTAAAAAATATTTGAGTATCTACTTTGCACTAGATACTCTTTTAGTCTCTTGGAAAAGGGATTGGGGCAGGCAGGATAAAAACAAATCATTTATGCCCACAAGAAAATTGCAGGAAGATAAAAGTCATGAAATAAACTCTGTGCTTCTAATTTAATATTTTTTTATAGATTATGAGAAAAACGGTTTGCTCACTATCAGCTAGGAAAGCTGTCTTAGCACAACCATTCATTCTTGCACAAATCAAAATCAAGACAAGCCAGATGTAATATTTTTTTACAGATTATGAGATAAAAGTTCTAATTTAATTTTTTTATAGATTATGAGAAAAAAGTTTTGCTCACTATCAGCTAGGAAAGCTGTCTTAGCACAACCATTCATTCTTGCACAAATCAAAATCAAGATGAGCCAGAAGGCTCCATTCTGACAGCTTCTAATGGAGAAGCTACATTTACTGGACATGGGGAAAGTTGCTGGGCTCTAAGGACTGTGCTCATTTCTTGAACTAGATAAATGGTCTTGGTGTAGCATAATACCAAAACTTCTTGTCGCAGCCCGTAAGGACAGAACTCAATCAGCCTGAAAAGGAAGTCAGTGACTCCGACTCAACACAGGAATGTTCTGTGATTCCTAAAGAAGGATGTAGGAGTGTGGCACAATTCAACCACAGTCTGTGGCCCTGTGCCTCTGCCTTGACATGAGTGGGATTTCCCAGCTGGTCATTTTCTTCTTATCTAAGACATTGGGAACAAATTACTTGACCTCCTCTGGGCTTCAGTACTCCCACTCATCAAATTAGAGGACTGGGCAGTCGCTAGGCTCTCTTTAGGCATCATATTTTAGTTTCTGTGATTTTAAATTTGAGAAGGGGTGTCTAAGGGAGAATACATAGGGGAGGGGGAAAGGCTTATTAAAAGTGTAGTTAGACACTGAATTTTTAAGAATTGCATTTTGTAATAATACCTTTACCTAATCAGGACTGACAGTCTTACCTGATGATAGCACCTGGAGGAATGGCTGCATTCAAAAATAAAAATGAAATAAAACAAGACCTTATTTGAACTTAGCAATAATGCTGATTCCTCTTTTTGATTTGAGGAGGTTATAGCTGTTGTAAATGCTTGAATTGGTTCTGCCCAGGCAAAACGGAGTCAAGAGTCCATGTCTGATGAATTTTAACAATGTAGACAATAAAAAGGGTTGCTTAAACTGCCCCTCTTTTACCAAAACACATTTACAAATGAAAGAACAACACTTCCATTTTTTAAAAACATTTTTTGAGATGAAGTCTTGCTTTGTCACCCAGAGTGGAGTGCAGTGGTGCCATCTTGGCTCACTGCAAACTTTGCCTCCCGGGTTCAAGTGATTCTCCTGCCTCATCCTCCCGAGTAGCTGGGACTACAGGCGCCCACCACCAATCCTAGCTAATTTTTGTATTTTCAGTAGAGACAGGGTTTCACCATGTTGGGCAGGCTGGTCTCGAACTCCTGACCCCAGGTGATCCGCCGACCTCGGCCTCTGAAAGTGCTGGGATTACAGGCGTGAGCCAATACACGTGGCCAAAAAATTTCCATTTTTAATTGCAGGGTCTGGGGAATTAAAACGCATCCATAATTTCTTGCATCTCTCTGCTCGGGCTTGCATGAATGCAGAGGGATGGGGAGGACTTCTTGAGGCAAGCATCCCCCTCTTGTCGCCTGCCATCTGGAGAGAGAGGGCTGTGATTTATCTCACTTTAATCAGGAAGGACCCGATGGGTGGATGGAGAGGTCTGATGGCTTTGTTGTTCCATGTGGGAAAGAAACGGACAGAGTGAATTTGTGTATGATCCCTAAGGAGAAAGCGTCTTTGTGCTCTATTTCTTTTTGACCTGGAGCCCCTGAAAGCAAGCTAGTTACAAGTTGAAATAGGCCGTTTCTAAAGTGTGATTTTGTTTGTGTATGAGCCTTGATTACAAAGGGGGAAAAAACCCGCTTAATTTACATACACCAGATGTAGTGCAGGATCCCCTGGGCTGTCTTTTCAGGTATCAGGAAACTTTGATGAAAGTCGCTTGTCTCATCTAGGAGTCATTTCATATTGTTTAGCAGAGCCTGGTATTAACATTTCCTTCCAACTGTTTACTGGAATCTGTGTGTTCCCTTCAAGTGATGCATACTAGGTGCACAGGCGTCCTGCCACTGTCATCCTAATCTTTCCGTGCAGACAGGAGCAGAGGGGAGAGCGCTGAGCCAGGCCCCAGCTTGCTTTTCTTTCCTGACTCAGCCCGGCTCCGCTGCACTTCTCAGCTCTTGCTGTAGGTGGTGCTGTTTGACCATTTTCTTCATGTGACCCTCCACTCGGTAATATAAATTCATTCGGAGGATGACCTGATATCAAAAAAAAATCCTTTTGATTAGTAGAATCAACTTATTTCTTCACACGATACTCTTCCCACTGAGACACATGGAGACAATTCTGACTCCAGGTTTGCAACCTTGAGATTTCTCTCAGATGCAATAAAAAAAACAAAAAAGCATTTTGAGTGGCACAGTGATGCCTAGTGCATGATCATGTTTGTCTGCTCAAACATAAAAGGGAAACTGGTGGGTTTGAGGATGCCCAGCAGCACGACAGCTGCCAATGTAAATGAGCGGTATAGAGAGAGAGGGGGCGGGAGGGGACTACAAACTTCAGAATATGAGCTGATCGTTTATAAAAAAAAAAAAAAAAAAAAAAAAAAAAGTCAAAAGGGAGCCCAGGATGGTGCAGGAAAAAGGAGAAAGGAAGATTTTCCTTGCAGCTAATCAGGAGAGTTCATAAGGGCTGATTACATGTGTGGAAGCCTTAAGTTCTTTTTTTAAAAAAATGTGAAAGTTTGCATGTATGTATGTATGTATGTATGTATGTATGGCTTCGTGTATTACCATTATTATTGCAATCAGCAAATGGATTTACTTCCTTTATCTCATGGGCTCCTTCCCACTCACTTTTGGCAGCACATTTTCCTTTCTCCTTCATCCCAGAACACCAAAGAACAGATGCGCTTCCTAACCCTGGCTCCAGGGGACTTTATACAATGTAAACAGTGCACCTCTAACGTGGTTCACCGCTTAGAGAATGTGTGTCCCATTTTAAAACTGTGACTCCTTTATATTTTGCAGTGCTTATTTTAATAAGAGACATTGGACTTGTGACTTATTTTTCATGGAGGAGTGAGCTTAATGGTTGAAAGTAATCGATAAACTTGTTTTTCCTCTGATGCCATCAGCCAAGATCCTATGGCAATAGTAAGAGGATGACACTGGGCTGGCACCCCCTCCATAACATATTTGGACCATTTTTTTCCCCCAGAATGCACATGCAATAGCTTTGGTTTGGTAAGAGAGAGATGGTGTACTTGGTTTCCTTCTGTCACACTTTTGGTGAAATGAATTAGACTTTTAAATCAGGAAATTCAGCGAGATGAGTTAGATTTTTACACAAGAGCAATGGAGGACTTCCAGCTGGTTGGGGGAATGATACGGAAATATCTTGCTAAATCAGGGTCTGGTGGAATGCTGCTCCCCTGGCAGGCTCCTCTTCACAGGGAGCAATCTGTGGGTTGCTTATAGAACAGAGCGAGCAGGAGGCATAGCATGGTCTTGCTCGTGGGAAGACCCGGTGTTCAGATGTCTGTCATTAGGAACTCGGTGTGGGCTTTTTCAAGCTAAACTGAAGCAGCAGTTCTATTAGGAAGAGCCTCTCAGAGCAGCATCTTCTGTTTCTGGATACTCTCCCTTTGAAAAGCCAGATTTCAGCAAAAAGCTTTGCTAATGGTGAAATTGCACAACTGAAACCCTATGGGAGCAATGGGAAAGATGGAGAAAGAGGTGGTTATATCATGTACTTCAACAGTTTATTTAGAGGCTGTTGACATTAGAATAACAAGCCAAGACAAACAAAAATACTCATTTTGGATGAAAATATTGTCTTTTCATGTTATTATAGATAGCTGAGTCCTAAGACTTATACAGAAACACATTTTCCTAATGAGTGGCTGATTTTTCTGGTTGTGCAAGTAATATCCAAATTATTGTACCAATTTTTGTCTCAGGAGCAAATATTGTATTGCATATTGAGCTAATCACTTGCCCTTTCTAAGGTAAGCCCTTACCTCTGCTTTCCCTTCATCTTGTCATTTCTGTTTGTTGGGTACAGGTTTCCTGTTGGTTCTTTCTGTTGGCTCTAATGTAACATGAATGAAGTTCTTAACATCCTTTCAGACATAAACACAACTTAGCTCATTGTTTCTGAGTTCATATAGAGGTTTTCTTGCCCCTGAGACTTTCATGTCAGACAGCTGGATGTTGCTGTGTTCAAGGCTCTATATGTTGATTTTGTATCCTACAACTTTACTGATTTCACCTATCAGTTCAGTTCTAACAGTTTTCAAATTTTATTTATTTGTTTTTGTTTTTTAAATATTGTACGTTTCATTTTAGAGTCAGGAGGGTAGATGTACAGGTTTCTTACACAGGTATATTGCACGGTGCTGAGGTTTGGGCTTCTAATGATCCCACCACCCAAGCAGTGAGCATAGTAATCGACAGGTAGTTTTTCAACCCTTGCTCCCACCATCCTTCCCTCCCACCTTTGGAGTCCCCCAGTGTCTATTGTTCCCTTCTTTGTGTTGAGTTCTAACCTTTTTTTAGTGAAGTTTGTAGGGTTTTCTATATATAACAAGATCATGCTGTCAGTAGAGACAATTTCACTTCTTCCTTTCCTATTAGGATGCCTTTTATTTCTTTCTATTGCCTAATTACCCTGAGAAGTGGTGTCTGTGGGCATCCTTGTCTTGTTCCTGATGGTAGAGGAGAAGTTTCAACTTTTCACCATTGATTATGGTGTTAGCTATGGGTTTGTCATACATGGCCTTTATTTTGTTGGGATACAGTCCCTCAATACGTGATCTGTTGGGTGTTTTTTTTTCACCATGAAAGGGTTTCAAATTTTGTCAAAAGCTTTTTCTATATCTATTGAGATGGCCATATAGTTTCTATCCTTTATTTTTCTAATATGGTATATTATATGTATTGATTTGCTTATGAACCATGACATGATCGTGGTGAATGATTCTTTCAATGTGCTATTGAATTTGGTTTGCTAGGATTTTGTTGAGGATTTTTGCATCTATGTAGATCAAGGATATTGGCCTGTAATTTTCCTTTCTTGTAGTGTTCTTGTCTGGCTTTGGAATCAGGGTAATGCTGGCCCTGTAAGATGAGTTTGGAAGTATTCCCTCCACTTCAGCTTTTTGGAAGAGTTTGAGAAGGACTGGTATTAGTTCTTCTTAAAATATTTGGTAGAATTAATCTGGGAAGCCATCTGGTTTTGGGTTTTTCATTGATGGGAGACATTTTCTTACTGATTCAACCTCCTTGCTTGCTATTAGTCTGTTCAGATTTTTTAATTTCTTCATGAGTCAATCTTGGTAGGTTTTACGTGTCTGGGAATTTATCCATTTCTTCTAGATGATCCAATTGGTTAGTGTGTAATTATACCTAGGAGTTTCTTAGGATCCTTTGTATTTCTGTGATATTGGCTATGATGTTTCATCTTTCATTTCAGATTTTATGCTATATTGAAAACATGAGGCATAGCAGGTAGGGGGCACTGGTCAGGACTTGGGGTATAAACTGGCAGATGTTAAGGTGGGTGATTCTGGTTAACTCAGAAACTCCAAAGTCCCGTGTGGAAGAATTAACTGCCTGTACTCGCCTAGTAATGTATATCCTTGGTCAAAAAAAGATCCAGCTGAGAATGTTGGATGAAGGGACCAAATCAATATTCATCATTATGTTGAAAACAAGTCAGATTGGCTGCGGTCTTTTGACAGCAGGTCAGTGGCTAAGTCTATTTGAACAAAGTTAGGGCAGGTTCAAGAGAGAATCCTGAGATCGGTATTCTTTGTTCCATACAACCTTGCCTTTCAGTTTCTTCTCCCCATGCCTCCAGGATGTCCCTGCACAGCCCGTAGGGCCCCCTCCTTCAGTACCTTGCCTTACGAAGGGGAGAAAATGAGTTTTCCAATGTTAGCATATATTTAGCCTTCCAAAATTTCTATTTTAGGGGAGCTCTAGGAAAACAGCAGATTACTCTAAATCCCCAGGTAAAAATCTGAAATGGTGGAATTTCATACGACCAGGAGACATATTTTGGGGCAAGTGGGCTTTTCACAATCACTTGGACATGAAGGCATCTGCTTCTTCTATGCCTAAAATATTCCTTCAATTTAGTAGTTTAATTCCTCTTCCTCTTTTTCAGATTTCAAGACAATACATGTACTGACTGAACAATTTGGATCCAAGTTTCACTGTTTAACTGCCAGTGTGACCTTGGGCGAGTCACTTAATCTTTTCAAGGCTCAATTTCATCATGTAAAGTGGAAGTACAAACAATCCCTGACTTACAATATTTTGACTTATGATTTTTCAACTTTAAGATAGTTTGAAAGCAATACACATTCAGCAGAAGCTGTACTTTGAGTACCCATACAACCATTCTGTTTTCCACTTTCAGTACAGTATTCATTATATTACATGAGATATTCAAAGCCCACTTTATTATAAAATGGGCTTTCTGTTAGATGATTTTGCCTAACTGTAGGTTAATGTGAGTGTTTAAGGTAGGCCGAGCTAAGCTATGATGTTTAGTAGGTTAAGTGTATTAAATGCATTTTCAGCTTACAATATTTTCATAAGTTTATTGGAATATAACCCCATTGTAAATTGAGGGGTATTTGTAGTAATGATATCTCTTCAAGGAGACTTTGTGAGCCTCTCATAGGAAAATGCATACACAGATGCATATAAATATATAATCTTTCTTTTCCATACATATGATATTCTTTAAGGATATTCAAAAATCTGGAAACAGTTGCCTCCAGGGAGATAAATGGTAGTGGGTTGGGAAACTTTTAACTGTATACGCTTTTGTACCTTTTGCATTTTGAATCAGATGAATGTATAATCTACATAAAATATTAAGATTAAAACATCACTGAATAACTTATCAGGAGTTTGGTGAACATAAGGGAAGGCCACCTATGGTGGCTGTATTTTATTCAGTGTTGGTCACTGTTGGGCACTTCATAGAGCTTATTTCATTTCATCCTCACAAGCGCCGTAGGAGGAAGGGGCCCCAGAGGGATTCATGGTTAGAATAGCAGAGTAGGAGCATTTGGCAGCTATATTCTGTGTAGGTGATAACTTAAAAGATATTTTTGTTATAAAATGTTTCAAACATACAAAAAATATAGAGAAGCAGTTTTCTATAGTTATTAAATATTCTTAAAATATTCTTAATGGGTAGTCATAGAAATTATCATCCAAAGTGGGATATTCTTGAGAGAAAAAGGAGGTTCTATTTATAATTATGGTGGGATAACAAACTTAAGATGAACAGCTCTAGACAAACTGGGTTGTATGGTCCCTGGAAAACAAGGATTACTGTAAATGTGAGTCCCGCCTTGTGCTTCTCTCTGTCCCACCAAGAAAATATGATCTTGATACAGATGTTCATTGTGTCAAGGCAACCATGGCAACCATGATCTAGATACACTGTTCAAGTTTTATGCTGATCCTACCTATATATGTCTCAGGAGCTTTCCAGAGTTTCCTTTGAGTGCTTCTAAATTTTGCATAAATGGTATGTTGTCCCTTGTCTCTTTTTAAAACCAGTAAGCCATTTTCCCTTATTTTCTTGGAAAATTAAAGGAACAAGGACCAGGAAATAACAATGTATTAGCTAAGGTTCTGTTGATTGAAAGCAACAGAACCTAATTCTGGCTAGCTTAAACCATGCTAGGATTTAATGAAGAATACTGCAGAATCTTAGATATCTTATGACTGGGAAAGAGGAGGTTCAGGCAGTTCCTGAGATGTCAGCAACAGGTAGCTGTCAATTAACTGCCCCCACACCACCCACTGCTGCCGTCATCAATATAGCACACCACAATGGCTCCCAGCCTCTGTACGTCTGGGTTCCGGTGTTCAAATTCTAGAGACAGCAAGAGAAATCCCATTGAGTCAGGGATCCTTCCCTGGGTCACCCTCCCTGCCTACGGTCAGAAATGCAGGATTATGTAGTAAAGACACAGCTAAAGAGGACCCACTTCACTGTATTGGGACCATTTGCAGGGGAGGCAAAATTGTGAGCTACGCACTTAAAGAGGTGATAACCATAAGTTTGCAGGAAAAAAAAAATTGGAGAAGAGAAGGATAACACTATCCTACGGTTTCTTCTGAAAATGGACGAAGGGAACAGCATTTCCATTTGGAAATTCTCTCCTGGCATTTCAATATTTATGGATTCTGAATTCTGAGAAAAATCAGTTGAGAAATTAGGAAAATGGGAAGGAACATTCTAATTTTCCTGTGAGAATTACAGCTTAATAGTCAGTATAGAGAACTTACTGGCTTGAAGAAATGCACTGACTTCAAGTCAGGCAAGATGAGGAAGCGCTGACATGTGGAGATGAAAGTTAAGGTGAACAGGACAGGAGCAGTAATGGAGCCTCAGTCAGACTTTCTTGTATCTGTTGCTGTGTTATAAGTGTGTGTTCATGGCCTTGTCCACTGCTAACAGTGAACCATTTCTGCAAATAAATATTAATGTGTTCATAGGCATAGTATATGTTTTACAAATCCTATGAGAGGTGTTCTAAGAAATGCCAAGTTTTAGAAACAAAATATGCCCTTAAATCGGCAATTTTGACAGTTGCTTCTTTCTAGTGCTATTCATCTTGCCAGGAGATCAGAATGTTATGTTATTTAAATGGTATTGGAGGGGATGATTGATGCCTTGTTTAACAATGTCATGTAAACAATGATTAAAGCATTAAGTATTTGTGGTGTTACCTTTCAATCTTTAAAGGACTTTTCTTTAGCATTTATTTTGTGATAATATTCATTTCTTTTTAATGTTTTCTCTATTAATGCTATTGGATTTTATAATCTTGTTACAATATGTTGGCTCATAATAATAAATCATCATTTGTTATCATATCTTTTTAAAACAGAAGACTACTAAAACTTTTCATATAATCCTGTTACAGAAAAAAACGACTATTTGCTTGTTATTATAGTCACTTATTATTTTTCAAAAACTTGTAAGTGAAGTGTTATGAAAATCATATGAATTTGGGAGTTCCCAAGCATTCTCAGAAATTCTATTTCCTTGTTCCCAAATCCCAATGATTAATATCTGCCAGGAGTCGGAAAACAGTGAAAGGAAGTAACATCCTATGTTGGATACCTGGTAGGGTTAGTGAAGAAACGTTATTGCTGAGCTCTGTGTTACGCTCACGAATGATGCCATTGAGGAAGTCACACTTGTTGAAAGGAACGCAGATACACAAAGAGTTTTGCTGCTGTCTGTTGGATAAGAACCCCCTGGTCGATTTCAGCTCCTACTGCAAGTTAGAAAAATCAATCCAATGATAAATGAAAAGTGACCAGTGTGCTGGGAAATAACTTATTTTTTGGCTTCAGAGGAAATTTTAGAAACAGTGCCAAGTGAAACGTAAAAACAAACTATGAAGACGTTCATGAATTTCCCTCTGAAGCTGACAGCCGTATTTTAGCAGATGGAACTCCTACTATTAGCCCAACTCTTGGGTTGAAACAGTGTGTCCAGGAAACCCTATGTTAAAATGCAATGTGTTGGGGATATTGTTCCTCTATTTGCTTGAGTTAATTTTCAAATTAGTGTACTCTTGCTTAGCTGTGCTCTGAGGGAATGAACAAAAGATTGGTAAACTCTGATGGAGAACACTGGTCAGGCAGGGCACATAGAATCCCTGGGGATGGTGGTTCCTGACAAATGGGGGAGGAGGACCTGAGCCAGGCTTGGGCTGGGCTGGAGGAACATGAAGATGGGATCTACTCACAACCCCCAGAACTGAGGGGTCCTGATAACACATTATTTCACCCTCAGCCATGCAAATTCATTATTTTTATGGATAAAATAGCTTTAAAAAACTAATTTACATTGAAATGTTAAAATATTTATATAGAGATTATTGGGAATCCCCTCCTAAAGCCCAAACATAAAAACTACCAAAAAAAAAAAAATTCCGTGTCGGCTAAGATTGCAAATGACTGATGGAATGTAATTTAAATTAAACATGGAAAATATATTTCCTCTTTAATAAAGATCTAAATTCTATTCTTTTTAGGAGCCTTCAGAAATGAAATTCAACTATTAAAAAAAGTATAGAGAAGCCTTTAGAAAAGAAACTTTTCTTTTGCTGTATTATATAATAAAGAACTTTGATGAGAATAGTTCTAAAGTGTTTAATAATCGATCACACTGATGTTTCTAGGTATTGTGGGGAACACCTAGAAATTAAATCTTCATCTTTGGCAGATCAGAGGCCTATTATTTTTAGGTAAAACAATTAAAATCTGCTTTTAATAAATCACAAATTTTGCAAGTTAGCCATTAATAGTAAGTGCTTTTCAAAGTTGGGCCCAATACATGAAAAAGCCAGAAAAACATACCTGCATTAGTTTTGCCCATCACCTTCTTATGCTGGCCTCAGGAGATTTATTAACAGCATTCAATATTTTAGGTAGGCTGGATGTGGTGGCTCATGCATGTAATCCCAGCACTTTGGGAGGCTGAGGTGGGAGGATGGCTTGAGGCCAGGAGTTCAAGACCAGCCTGGTCAACCTAGTGAGCCCCTCGGTCTCTCTGAAAAGAAAAAAAAATTTAGGTATCCTGTGGCTACCTCCAAAAACAAACTCCAGAGGAACTGAATTTTTTTTTTATTTCATGTGTTGGGATAATGGCTTCTTTTGCAGTTACTTACGAAGAATTTAAGGGTCAGTAAAAATATTTTTTCATCCTTAATAACATGAATTCTCTAATTTGTATGTGATATAATGCTAGATATTGTGCCAAAAGTGTTACATAGACATAATCCGTGCCCATTTTCAAAGATAATACTAATATAGAGAATAAGAATCATTATTATTGTAGTAATTATTATTTTAGTAATAGTAGTAATAATCAAAACAATTACATCAAACACTTATTAAACCCTTATTATGTGACAGGTACTGTTTAAGCAATTTCCACATATTAGCTCCTTAAATGTGATCACTAACTCCATGAGGTAGGTAGCATTATGTCCATTTTATAGATGCAGAAACTGAGCTTTGAAGAGGGAAAGCAACTTGCCCAAGGCCATGCAGGCAGTCATTGATAAGGGTGGGAAGCGAGAAGTTGAAGTCTGAGATGTAAGTTCACAGACACGAGTACGCAAACACGTACAAGATACTCGTATGACATGTGGGGTTGCTTGAAATATGTAATTGACTTTCCCCAGCACAAGAAAGTGTTTGGACAGATTTCAAAGGGATCTAACACTTCCTTAGAGGACTGCCCTACGACATTTTTCCGTGTGCTTTTCTGCCTCTTGTCCTATACTTTTGGCATTTCTTCTGCTCTTAGAGGCAATGAGTCAACAGCATATTTTTAGCACCTCCTGTGTGCATAGAAGTGGCCCCTGACTCAATGGGAGTGTATAACTACCATGGGCCAAATCAGCGTGCTTTCCTGTCAGCCAGGGGATTATAGAAGAACACGCTCCCCTGATTCCAACAGAACTTGCTGCCACTCTGATGTCTTCATTGTAAGGCCTCTAAATGAATGTTCCAGAAATTCATGTTAAAGGCACGTGTCATATGTGTAACTTGTAAACATTTGTGTACTTGTCTCTGTGTCCTTACACCTCAGGCTTCAACTCTTGTTTTTACCTTTATCAATGACTACCTGTGTGCTGTGTGGCTTTGGACCAATTGCTCACCCCCTCTAAAGCTCAGTTTCTGCATCTGTAAAATGGATATAATGCCATATATACATAGATATAGATATACATACACAAATATATATATACACATATATATGTGTGTATATACATATATATATAATATACAAACTGAAATATATAGTTAAATAAATATTTCAGTTTAAGTTTCAAAAATCACTGGAGGGTATTTTTATAATACCCTTCGGCAATTTTACCTGCTGCCTTTGCACATTCTGGTGAATTTCTAAATGGAAGTCTGATAGAGATTAATCTTTTAATGCATCATAAATAAAAAAATCACAGAATGATGTAGCTGGAGAGGACCCTGGGGATCTAAAGTGTTTCATGAAAGATTAATGTCCTTGATCTGTTTGTAAGTGTTTTGGAAAAATCTTCCATGGTCAAATAAAACTTGGCAATGTTGGATTAAAGTTAAATAGGTTTTTTTTCCTGCAGAACTTCATAGTCTTTAATATGCTAATGTGTTTTGTGAATCTACAAGGAATGAAGTGTTTCAATACTTATTTTACCCAGATTCTCATTTTGGGACAGGCTGGTCAAGCTGAGTCAGCTAGTATATTCTCTAGATGGAGATGATGGCTGATGCCTTTTTGAGAGCAAGAGAGTCCCCAGGGGAAGCAAGGGTATATCAGTTGCTCCTATTTCATGCCAAGGATCCTCAGTCTTTAGAGGCTCAGAGAAGGCTGAAAGGCTACTCTAGGCTATCAGGGCTACCATTCATTGTGACCCATGCTACAGAGAAGCTTTGAGCTCAGTGCAAAGGAGTGACCAGCCCTTGAGAATCAGGAAAATTTATTTATTCCTGACCTAGTCCACTGAGGACATACAAGGAATGGGGCAGGGGAGGGTCACCAGCTATGGTTACAAGCTAGTCTGATTCTCTTTCATTAAGAAAACTGGTCCCTGTGAGTTTAGATTGGGAAGCACCAGGTTAAAAAATTTTTAGGCCAGGAGTGGTGGCCACTGTACTCCAGCCTGGGTGACCGAGTGAGAATCTGTCTTAAAAAAAAAAAAAAAAAGTTAAGTGATGTCTTCTGTTGAGGACCTCTCAGAACTTTTAATATGAAAGTGTGCATTGTGAAGAATGGGAGTAGAGTGTACAGGAGTTTTAAAAGCTACTTGGTCATGAAACTCTTGCTTTGTGCAGGATTCGAGGGGCACTAACATTCTGAGGAAAATATTTTGGGAAACATTGATCTAATCCAAACTTCTCATTTTACCAGCAAACAACTGTGGGGCCCTCTAAGTTTCCTTTCTCCATCATTGTGACAAATTCATTGGAATTAATTCAATTAAACCTGGGGTCAGCTTTGAAGAGATTTATTTAGCAGGTAAATCTGTTTTGTACATTTTGAGGGAGTTCTGAGTTTCCATAGTCAAAAACCACAGATCAATTTAACCAACCTTTATGGAATATCACCTATGGCCCAAAGACCCTTTAGCTACAGTGATGGTCTACGAAAATATAAACTGTAATTCTTGCAATACAGGAGATTAGTAATAATGGTAAATATAATGATGATGACACCATGAATAGCTAACATTTATTGAATGCCTTTCTATTAGTCAGGCACTTTACTAAGTATTTTAATCCTCCCAACAATTTATGAGGTAGGGATTATAATAATTCCCATCTTATAGTGAGGACACTGAGGTTAGGAAATTATCCTAGCCTAAATGTTAAGTATAAGCATGAATAGAAAGGTGTTATCAGCCTATAAGACATTCCTTTATGAGTGATACAAAGTCCTATATAAATTCAGAGAAAAGAAAAGTGGTTTTAGAAATCCTTGATCAGTGAGTGTGAAGCACGTGGTGGCCCGGTTACTGTTTGGTTGCCCATCTGTCCTCCCTCTGGGGATCAGCACCCCCTTACTTTGGAAGAATTGTTTTCCTTTTCACTGTAAGTTTCTTTCTGGCTATGCGGTGGGGCACATTGCCTCAAACTAGCCCTGTTCCAGTCTTTGAGAACCTTGAAATTGGAACCAAGGGAAGAGGATTGCCTCTTGAATAGTAATTCTCTAAAATCTAGTCTGAGGTGCTGGTGCCTAATCCCTGGGTCTGTGGAAGGAGCTGGGCTGTGAGAGGGGAGAATGATGTTGATGTCAAGAGAGAGGCAGGTGCTAGGAGCAGAGAGATGGAGGCCTGGAGGGTTTCTGGGCTTCTCTGAGGCTTAGGGTTTGGATCATTGTCTTCGTTACTGGAACAAAGGATTTACCATACCTGCTCTTCTGGGAATGAAACTGTCCTGCTTTGCAAAATGAAGTGTCATTAGAAAGAGATCTTAAAAACCCCACACCATAGACAGGTGCACAGATCCCTAGAAGTGTTAAAGTTCTGTCTGTTGGATGCTAAGCCAAGACTCTTAAGTATGTTCTAAAGAGAAACTGGTGTGTGTAGGCTGTGCACTCCCAGGGAGATAAAAAGTTAGGAACTTTATGGGTTGGGCTTGGTGGCTCACACCTGCAATCCCAGCACTGTGGGAGGCTAAAGTGGGCAGATTGATTGAGCTGAGGAGTTCGAGACCAGCCTAGGCAACATGGTGAAACCCCATGTCTACAAAAACTACAAAAATTAGCTGGGCGTGGTGGCATGTACCTGTAGGCGGGAGGATCGCTTGAGCCCAAGAGGGAGAGGGTGCAGTGAGCCATGATTGTGCCACTGCACTCCACCTGGGTGACAGGAACTTTATGGGGAATGGGATCTTGGAGACTGAGTAGAGACTAGAGGAAAAAAAAAAAAAAAAAAAAACTACCTCCCCGACTGGCCACACTATTCTATTTAAAAAATGTTAATTGACAAATTAAAATTGTATGTATTTACGGAGGTATAATGTGATATTATGATATATGTATACATTGTGGAATAATTAAATCCAGAGAATTAATAGATTCATCACCTCAAAACCTATCTTTTTTGTGGTGAGAACATTTGAAATTTATTGTCTTAGCAATTTGGAAATACACAATACTTCATTGTTAACTACAGTCACCATGCTGTGCTGTAGATCTCAACAAAATATATTCTTCCTGTCTCAACTAAAACATTGTACTCTTTGACAACATTTCCCCATTCCTCTCACCCCCTCCAAAAACACCCATTCTTTATGTTGAAGAGAATGGCTAAAAAGTCCCAGCAGGTTTCAACTGACGGCTTCAGTGGTTGTCCCATCACACTTCAATGTTATTAATAAAAAGGGGAGGGGCAATACATAATTCGGACAGGCTGAAAGTACCATTGTAACCACTTTCTTGACTTCACAGAAAAAGTCCTCTTGTTTTCATCTGTAAAATGGGAACTGCGTGAATACCATTCTTCTTTTCTTCAGCCTCCAAAGGAAAAACAGATGCAAAGCCTTTTATCAATTGCAAAACAGTATACAATGTGTGTTATTACTCACAGTTGTCTTACTGTGACCAAACACTTTATAAGCCTGTGGCAAGTCAGCCTTACTCTCAGGAAGTGGACAATATTTGGGGAAGGAGAAGCAGCAGGATATTTCAGGACAGTAGCCTTGGTGGGTCCAAAAATTCCTTGAGAGAAATGGGAGATAGAACTTTCTTCCTGCTTTGGGTTTTATCCTGTTAGTCTTTTCTCTCTTCACTCCTATTTTCTATGGAGAATTTCCTGGTTTTGGAGTTTGGGTGCGTTTTATGGAGAGGAGGCAGAAAATCTTTAGCTCCAGCAGAATGAAAGGGTACATGCAAAGAAACCTAGCACAGTATCTGGTACCCAGTTCTCCTTTAACTTGGCTTTATTCATTCACTCCTGGTAGGGCATTAATAAGGGATTTAGCCCCCTCCTACTGAAAACGATTAATTCAGGGAAGAGTTCAGACAGTGTGGACAGATACAGTGTAGGCCAAGCCTGTTTCTAAGGCAGGAGCTGGGTAGGGAGGGTGAGAAGGGCGAGAAGAATAGGGAAATATGTGTCGTCTGTGTTGCTGCTGTTGCAACCACCACAACAAACAAATAAGTGAAAAAAAAAAAAAAAAAAGAATTGTCCATACCGGAAAGTGTGCTGTTTTGGAGGAGGCTGGGGCAAGTGTGGATGGCTCGAGTGGGTCCTGTTGGATTGAAGTCTGACAGTGGTGATTCCCTTCAACAAATGGTCGGGGTGGGAGGGTACACAGACACACACACACACACACACACACCCCACACGCAGCGCCCGGCCTCCGATTTCAGCGCTGGCAGGAGATAACCATTCTTAGCTCGCCTTTCCAGGGTTGTTTTTGGCTGAGGCTGTTCGCTGATGGCAAAAGGTTTCAGCCCCCTCGCAAATCCCTCCCAGTCCTTGTTCTAAAGAGAAACTGGTGCGTGTAGGCTGCGCACTCCCAGGGAGACAGGGGACGGGCCTGGCGCCGGAGAGGAGCCCGCACTCTGCCCGAAGTCTCGCCGCCCGCCGGCTGTTTTCTGGCGGAGGGTGCGCCCCGGAGGGCGGCGAGCGCGGGTGGAGGCTGCGGCCAGGCGCGGGTGGAGGCGTCGCCGGGGTCGGGCTAGCAGGCTCTGGGATCGGGCTTGTGGGACACCCCGAAAGTGAGTCCAACTTGGGGAGAAACTGAGGGCAGCTCGGGCGGTCTGGCAGCGGAGAAGGTGGGCGGGAGAAAACTTGGCAGCGAGGCAGAAGCGATCCCTGCCGAGGGAGTCAGCGAGCGGCCGCGCGGAGAGGAGGGGCGGGCGGTCCCCAGGCGGGCGGGTGCAGGGCGCGGGGCGCCGACCTGCTGGAGAGGGGCCCGGGCGCGAGGCGGAGTCCCGGCGCGCAGCCAGGCTGGCGGAGGCCCCCGGCCGGCTGCAGATTCCCTCCGGCCCCGGGAGCCGCAGCAGGACCGGCCGGGAGGCGCCGCGGAGGGGAGTCGCATCCCGGTGCGGACAGTGCCCACCGCGCCCTGCGAGGACCGGCGACCCACCGGCCTCTTCCAGGGCCAGCGCAGCTACCCGCCCAACTTCATCCGGAGCGCGCTGTCGTCCGTCGACCTGCGCGACCGTCAGGGCCGCACCACGGGGGTGGGCAGCGACGGCAGGTACTTCGGCAGGACGGCCGTCGAGGTCGGGGGGCCGATGGCCGCGGCCAACGGGGCGAGTGTCCGGATGCCCCTCGCTTCCCGCCGCGCCGCCGCCGCGCCCTCTCCTGGCCCTTGTCCGCCTGCTGCCTCCGGGCCCAGCTGGGAGGCCCCTGCCCGGCTTTGCTCCCTCACTCCCGCGTCCTCACCCTCCAGCGCCCCACTCCCGCCGCGCTCGCAGCCTCCCCGGCGCACCCCGGACACTGGGTTCTATTAGTACCCACCGCCCCCAAAAGCCCTGAGGGGTTTCCGTCGTTCCTGGAGCCACTCCGGGCGCCCTGGACTCTTCTCCGACTCTGCGCACATCCCGCACCTGCTCATTTTTCTTTCGGACATTCTCTTACCCGGCCCTGTAGATTCCAAGGCGGCTCCCAGTTTTCCATATTGTTCCCAACGCGTTCACTGCCCACAGTCCCCACACAAACTTCTTTCGCAGGCTCACAACATAGTCCCTCTGCCCCGTGCCCTTTTTGCAATAGTCTGCCAGTCCCCTAAGTCTTAGCTCTGCCTATTTAACAGTAGTGGTGTCTCAGAACACACACACACACACACACACACACGATCCCTGACATATTTGGCAAGAGTAGGCCCTGAAGGTTTTTAATATTTTGGTTCTTTAACCCAGTGGAATTACTGAATGATTTATTTAATTAGGGTGGGGATGGAGTGGATCCATTTGTTTGATGCTAAACAGCCTGAGCTCGCAGTTCCCAGGGGGCATATCTCTAAATGGTCTGAAATGAGATTTGCAGTGGTTTTCTTAATGCAATTCCCAACTTCTCTCCAAATGCCTTTTGACATCTGGCAACATTTCATGCCTCTTCCCCTTTCGGTTTTCATCCTTGTTTTCTCTCCCTTCTCCCACGACCTCGGTAGTCTTCTGCAATCCAGATTCTCAGACTTCAGGTTTTTCTCCCTCTGCCCCTTTCCTCTCTGTCCTGTAACTAGAAGCACCTTTTGGCATAGACCCATATCCCAGTTTCCTCTTTCCCAGGTCCAGCAGCATCTCAAGGACATCTACAAGAGGGATACCTAATTTCAGGGGTCTCTGAATTATATGTGGGAAACATCGTCTAAAAAAGTAATTTTATCCTTATTCATGCAACCAGACCCACACTCATAGAACTTTTCTTTAAGGGGAGTGTCTTGCAGATGTATAAATGAGTGTTAACATCTTTAAAAGCGAAACTGAACAATTCTCTGGCATTTGAATTCCCTCCTTCCTTCCCAACCCTCTCCTTTTCATTTTCTCATTTATTATTAAAAACACTTTTAAAGGATCTCCATGCTTCATATTTATCTACTATAATTCCTCCTTCTCGGTGTTGCAGGGATGGGGAAAGAGGATTTTTTAAAAACACAATAAAAAGCAATTGGGAGAAACAGGGCCAGTGGTGTTGGGGTGGGTAGTGGAATTGTGATTTTTGACTCCAGTAGACAATGATGCTGCATATATGGGGTTTGATTTCTCTCTGGCTCCTCAGTTGGGATTGATGAAGTTTGGCTAGAATCAGGGAGTTGAAGAGAGGTTGACAAATGGTCTTTCACTCTTCTCTGACAGGCTGTTCCTGTGGAGTGATGGAGAATAATGAGCCTTGGGAAAGCTATGGGAGCTCTCATACTCCTTCCCGAGCCAATTTTTTAGGGAGTGAGAGAAACAGGGCCTGTCCAATACTTGTTGTGGGTCAGGATATTTTTGAAGCTACGGTTGTTGATTTGCATGGGAAAATTATTATGTCTTATTATTTCTTGTCCCACTTTACCATAAGGGCTCCTCAGCTTCTTACTTCAATGGGTCTTCCATGACAAACACACTTTATTAACTCTAAGAGTGGAATTTATTTTAACAGATAATTAGCATAGGTCAATATATGCTTAAAATAGAGTCAAATTAAACCTACTAGCTGTTATAAAGGACAGATGACAAATTAAAATCCACATAGAAGCATCGACTCTTAAATAATCTGAAAGTACTACTTCTAAGAGGGGTGGGCATGGGTGAAGGGAATGGTGGACATGTTTCAGAATTTCAAACAGCCAACTTTAACCAATCTTTTCCTCATTTTGTTCACCTTCTTGGGGGCTTATGCTAAAGTGAAGTGAATAGCCATAAGGCTTCAGGAGAAAGGTGGTCGAAAAGAACTGGATAATTATAAGCAAAATTGGTCTCGAATGATTGAAAATTGATGAGAATGTGCTTGTCTCCTGATTTGGCATCCTGAGTTAGACTCAGGAATACTGAACTTGGATCCCAAAGGCTTTGGTCTTTTTTGATATCCTATTGGATAATCATAAGCAGGCTAGAAAAATAGGAAACTAGAATTTATTCTCTTTGAACTGACAAATCTGACCAGTGGGCTGCATTCTCTATATCTGAAAAATCTTGGTTTTGATTGAAAAAGTTAATTTTACAAAGCAATTTTCTTTTTTTAAATTAAATTTCATTTTTTTTTTTGAGACAGGGTCTCACTTTGTGCCCAGGCTGGAGTGCAATGGCACAGTCTTGGCTCACTGTAGCCTTGACCTCCCCAGATTCAGGTGATCTTCCCACCTCAGCCTCCTGAGTAGCTGGGGCTATAGGTGCACGCCACTACGCACAGCTGATTTTTGTGTTTTTACTACTCATAGGGTTTCTCTGTGTTGCCCAGTCTAGTCTCAAACTCCTGATCTCAAGAGATCTGCCTGCCTTGGCCTCCTAAAGTGTCATGAACCACCATGCCCAGCCTACAAAGCAATGTTCTAGGAAAAACTACAGTTACTCTTTGATTATGTAATTGCTGGAGAAGAAAAGCATGGCATTTCTAAAATGATGAACTATATTACTTATATTTTAATATCTCATAAAGTTTGAAATAGACATTTCAAACATAAACATGTATAAAAATTTTTATAAATTAAAAATATAAAATCAAAAACATTATAAAATTATTTTATTATAAAATTATTATAGAATCAAAAACATTATAAATTTAAACAACTTTTTTAAAAATTTATTTTGGGATTTCCCATGGAGTGATGGAGAATAATGAGCCTTGGGAGAGCTATGGCAGCTCTCATACTCCTTCCTGGGCCAACTTTTTTAGGAAATGGGAGAAATATACCCTGTTCAATGTTTATTGTGGGTCAGAATATTTTTGAAGCTATAGTTGTTGATTTGCTTCAAACTTTAAAAAATTTATTATAAAATTATGGGATGTAAAAAAATTTGTTATAAAACTTTGAAATTTTCAAACTTTCAGAAAAGCAGAGAGATGAGATTAATGGCACTCATAGGCAAACATAGAACATTGATTGTAAACATTTTGCTATATTTGTGTCATGATTATTTTTTGCTTGTGTTTGAAAGTATATTAAAGAAAATGATATTTTACCCCTAAATTATTTAGTGCAGATTTCTAAAAAATAAGAACATTTTCCTGTATGGTTACAAAATCATCTTTTCAAACAGAATAAAAAATAGTTTTTTTATATCATTTATTACCCAGTCCACATTCAGATTTCCTCAATTATTATGAAATGTCCTTTTATTTTTTGAGACAAAGTCTTGCTCTTTCACACAGCCTGAAGTGCAGTGAAACAATCATAGCTCATTGCAGCCTCAAACTCCTGGGCTCAAGTGATCTTCCTGCCTCAGCTTCCTGAGTAGCTAGGACTATAGGTGCACACCACCATGCCCAGCTAATTTATTGTTTTTGTAGAGATGGAGGTCTTACTACATTGCCCAGGCTGGTCTCAAACTCCTGGCCTCAAGTGATCCTTCCAGCTTGGTCTCCCTGAAATATCTTTTGTGGCTGGTTTGCTCAAATTAGTTTCTTCTAATCAAGGGACACACATTGCATTTGATTATTTAGCTCAAGACTTTTTTAACCTGGAAAATACCCTCACTCTTTGTTTATGTATTTATTTAATGAAATTGACTTGTTGAAAAACTAGTCAGTGGTCCTGTAGAATATTTCCCCTTCTGGAATTTTCTGGTTGCTTTTTATGGTGTCATTTAACTTTTCACTCTGTTTTTTCCTGGTTAACTGGAAGTTAGTTCTAAAGGCTTTTAGGCCTGGTATAACAAAATACCAAAAACTGGATGACTTATAAAGAACAGAAATTTATTTCTCACAGTTCTAGAGACTAGCAAGTTTAAGATCAAGGAGCATGCGGTTTTCATATCTGGTTAGGACCAACTTTCTGGTTCATAGATTGGCCTTCTTGCTGGGCCCTCACATAGTGGGAGAGACTAGCTAGCTCTCTGGGGCCTCTTTTATAAGGGCACTAATTCCAATCATGAGTGCTCTGTCCTTATGATCTAATGAACCCCTAAAGGCCCCACCTTTTAATACCAGCACCTTTGGGGTTAGGATGTCAACATATTAATTTTGGGAAGACATACACGTTCAGCCCATTGCAAGGTTTAGTTAGATTCAGGTTCAACTTCTTTTTTTAAAGACTATTTCATAGGCAATAATGTGTATTCACATCCCATCATCAGTGATGGTGAGAGGATCGCAAGGTTAGGGCGATCACTGCCTATCTCCTCTGTTATATTCCCCCTTGGGTCAAGCCAGTAGTCTGTGACGTGAACTTTGTACCATGTGTATATTCAGTTATGTTCTGTATCAATATTTACTTGATTGTTTTAGCATTTATTAATGATCCTTGCTTGAGTTGATTATTTCATTAGGGGTTTCAAAATGGTGAATTTCTAATTCTCTAATTCTATCTACATGTTTTAGCTGGCATTTTTCTATAAGCAGACCATTTTCTTCACAACTGGGTTATTTGGCTACCCTGAAACATAGTTCCTTCCGGGAAGGCAGAACATATGTTTATTTCTGTCTTTTAAAAATTACTGGTGTTTGGAGTGAAGATTAGGTGAGTTAACTACCTCCACAGGTGACAAATGAATTTTGTTTTGTCTCACTTTTGCTTTTTTGAATATCACTGTGGCTGCTTGGATTTTTATATTTAATTTGAATGGATTAGGGAATAAATGAGAAGATAGGTTTTATCTGTTTCTGTAGTTTTTATGTGGCTATGTGAACTTACCTTTAAAAATTCCCAGAAATATTTTAATTCCCCTTTAAAGATATAAACTATGTCATACTATAAAGCAAAAGAAAAACCAATCATGTGAAGAGTAAATAGTATCGTTTAAATGAATTGTGGTTAAGCTTAGTTTGTAACTAATTAGTTTTTTATTTTCTTTCTACTTTTATCTGCTTCAGAGCCTCTTCAGTGGTTTAGATCTTCTATGTGTCAAATTATTCTAATCTCTTAAAAAGTTTAAGAGCTAAAATACAACACAATGACTACAAGAATGCCTTTGTCCTTTTCTGGGTGGGTACACCTAAGGCAACTTCTTTGTCTCTTCTTTGTTCTCTTCTTTCTTATTCTTAAATCATCTTCAATATTGGACAGATGACAGCACTATGCCTGCCTCAAGATGTTTCTGACTTTTTCTTTTTCTTTTTTCTTTTTTTTTGAGATGGAGTCTTGCTCTGTCACCCAGGCTAGAGTGCAGTGGCACAATCTTGGCTCACTACAACTTCTGCCTCCTGGGTTCCAGTGATTCTCCCAACTCAGCCTCCTGAGTAGCTGGGGTTACAGGCATGCACCACCACGCCTAGCTAATTTTTTGTATTTTTACTAGAGACGGGGTTTCACCATGTCGGCCAGGCTGGTCTTGAACTCCTGACCTCAAGGGATCTGCCTGCCTTGGCCTCCCAAAGTGCTGGGATTACACGTGTGAGCCACTGCGCCCGGCCGTTTCTGACTTTTTCTAAAGTCTTCTTTCTCTGGAGATGACATTATATAATAGCACTGTTCAATAGAAGTTTCTTTGATGATGGAACTGTTCTATAATCTGCATTGTCCCAGCTACTAGCCATATGTGACTACTGTAACACTTGAAATGTGGCTAGAGCAACTGAAGAACTGAATTTTGCATTTTACTTAATTTTAATTAATTAAAATAGAAATGCAAATAACCATAAGTGGTTAGTAGCTACCATACTGGACAGCAAAGATCTATAATTCAGCATTTAAAATCGATTTTGTTTTGTTTTCAAAAATGGAGTCAGACTGTTACAACCCAAAAGAACTGTAGGTTAAATTAAGGTAAATCACCAAATACTACATACACATTTGGGAAATCCAAACCAGATTTTTTCATGTGATAACCACACCCTCTTTTGACTTTAGCCTTGGAGGTAATGGAGTATGGCAGAAAAAACCCTGTATCAGCAGCTGGAAGACTCACCTTCTTTTCCTAGCTCTGGCATATATTGACCAAAAGAGTCGAAGTCCATTCAGATGGTTGAGGGGCCTTGGAATTTTGTTTTTGGTTTTCACATACAAGTTGGAGGGCAGATGCGTTAGCCTCTTGAAATACCCAGAAACCACTTGTTTCCTCATCTAAAAATCAGGTATGACAGGATCATTTAATTATCCTGGAAATCAGATGAAGCACTGCATATGAAAGCACTTTGTAACATCGATAGCACTGGGAAATGTAAAGACCTTTTACTGAAATATAAAGGTGTATGGTCAACTGAATATATCTCAGATAATTATGATTTGACTGTATATATTGAATATAACCTGTAGTGGGCCCCTTGGTAAACAGCTTACAGTTTTGTTGCAAGTTTTAGCCAAGAGAAAATTTATTTGTTGACTAGTCATGCACTTTATTGGCCACATGATGAGCAGCAATGATATTAACACACAGTGCACCTTGCAGAATTCAAGAATGTCTCAGTGTCTTGTGAACTAGGAAGCTGAAATGCAGTGGTATGCAGAAGGCTGGCTCAGTAGGAGCCTTGGGAGTGTCCTCCAGATAGATGTTTGTGCAGGTTGTATTTGATTCCAGTTGGCCATGAAAAGCTGGTTGCTCTAAAGAATGAGAATATACTTGGTTTTGCATTTACTAGAACTATCTGGGGAACAAATCTTGGGGTGGAAGAAAGAAGGGAGGGAGGGAAAGCTGTGCTTCAATACCTAGGGCTTCTTTCCTGGAATGGATCTGAGAATCTGGGATTGGGTGGCTAATATCTCATCTCTAGAAGGGAGAAAGAACTGGGTGGTGATGGCTTTGTATTTTCTACTGGCGTTCACTACAGAATAGGTGAATGGAATGGGCTGCTATGATCCAGACATTAGGGAGGACAGGTTTGTGATACATTAGAAAACTTGAATGAGCCCTTCTATGATTCTCTCTTCCCTCTTTCTGCTTCCCTTTCTGAATCACCATCCCCAGGTTGTGGAATTAGCAAATCTATTATGTGAGCAATAGCAAACTTACAGGAGCCCTTGGCTCCATCTATCTCCCTGTTTGTGTCAGTTCATTCTGGATGCTTTTAGTCTGTGGTCTTCATTCACTCTTTTTATGGGGAAGTAAAAGGAGTGGGACAGATTATGAGAACAGCTGGGTCCTCCCAGTTGCTGGGGTGGTTATTTTAAGCTTTGTTTAATGTGTCCAGAGACCCAGATGGCATTTTTAACTAAGCTGCTTTATTAAATCTTGTGATAAAGCATAGTGATGTTTATTGAAAAGGCAGACACACATCAGCAACATTATGCGTGAAACTTGCTCTAAGAATTTTCTATAAAACATCTGTTCTCTTTCTCTTTGAGCCTTTTGTGAACTCTGGAAGTTTGCTAGTTTCTATACAGACTTGAGGACAAGAAGTTGGAACCCACTTTTGGAGATGTCCAAGCATAGGTATTGGAATCATTAATCCTAACCCTCTCAGTTTTAAGGCCCCGGATACCCTTCTGTTAGACAACAGTAACATGAGCAAGCACTGTAATAACATTTAAACAAGATTATTTGGAAATAATGGACAAGAAAAATTAGTATAAATTGTTTGGGGATTTTAAAATTAAAGATAAAAAGCTAGGGCTTCAATGACCTGTGCCAGCCTATAGCCTTAAGAGTCAATTTGCAAACACTCAAGATTTGGCCAATATGCCTCTACTACTTCTACTTAACACAGTCAAAGGGAAATTTTTAGATTCTTTCATCTGATT